>NC_000007.14:157144518-157457583 GCF_000001405.40 Homo sapiens | reverse complement strand
TTTGGAGTCTATGTTTTCATAAGAGCTGCCCGGCCTCCCACCCCCAAGCCCTCAGAACAAGGCATGCAGCACCAGTGGCCTGAAGGAGCTGAGTCCCGGGGCCACAGTCAGATGGACCAGGGCAGAACCTCTGGCCTGCCAGCCGCCAGCTGTGAGACGTTTGGGCAGCCCGCATATCCTCAGCAAGCCTCAGTTTCCTCATCTGAAAAATGAAGGCAGTGAAAGCCCCTGCTGCATAGGTTTCTGTGAAGATCAAGGGTGAATTATTAATAATGGAAAAGCAGGAAGGAAAAAGCCCCCGCAGAAACTGCAGACGTAATTTCAGTTTGGAGACGTCTCCGATAGCTGGGGAATAAACAGGGTTCCCTGCAGCTCAGAACGTGCAGAGGAGATCTGTGGAGTCCGGGTGGAGAGGCAGGGGACTCATTCACTCACTAACTGATGAATTCATGAATGTGAGGTGAAATGTAGCCACCCACAGTGGTCAAAGTTTTAATATTTTGGTCTAAATGCACGTTCAAAGCCTTTGGAGAAGGCAGAAACAATATGCAAATGGAATCTTAAAGCCAAAAAGTTGGTACAATAGGACTGGTCATCTAGTAACTCCAGTACTAGAAAATTTCACGTGGACTGCCAGCAAAATTCTAGAGCACTTCATTAAAATGATAGATTGGGAGGTTGTTTTGTTTTGTTCAGATAGTTGGCATTTTGTGAGGCCAGTATTACTCTGATACCAAAACCAGACAAAGACATCACAAGAAAACTAGACCAATATCTCTTAAGAATATGGACACAAAAATCCTCAACAAAATATTGGCAAACCAAATCCAGCAACATATAAAAAGAATTATAAATGAAAAACGTGGGTTTTATCCCAAAAATGCAAGGTCGTTTTAGCATCCAAAAATAATTTAAGGTAGTACATCTTATAAATCGAATAAAAAACAAAAATGACATGATCATCTCAGTACACGCAGAAAAAACATTTGACAAAATCCAACACCCTTTCATGATAACAACACTGAAAAAATGAAAATAGAAGTGAACTTCCTCAACCTGATAAGGAACATATACAAAAAGAAACGCAGCTAGCTTCCTACTTAATGATGAAGGACTGAAAACATCCCCCAAAGATCAGGAGCAAGCCAGGCATGTCTGCCGTCATCACTGCTATTGAATATTTTACTGGTTCTGACCAGAGAGATTTGGCAAGAAAAAGAAATAAAGGCCATTCAAATTGGAAAGGAAAGCCGGGCATGGTGGCTCACGCCTGTAATCCCAGCACTGTGGGAGGCCAAGGGAGGCAGATTACCTGAGGTCAGGACTTTGAGACCAGCCTGGCCAACACGGCAAAACCCCATCTCTACTAAAAATACAAAAACTAGCCAGGTGTGGTGGTGGGTACCTGTAATCCCACCTACTTAGGAGGCTGAGGGAGGAGAATCACTTGAACCTGGAAGGCAGAAGTTGCGGTGAGCCAAGATCACGCCACTGCACTCCAGCCTGGGTGACAGAGCCAGACTCCATCTAAGAAAAAAAAAAAAATTGGAAAGGAAAATTTGCAAACGACATAATCTTGTACACAGAAAATCCTAAGAAATCCACTAAAAAAAACTGTTAAAATTAACAACTAAGCTTATTAAGATAGCATAATATAAGATCAATATACAAAAATCAGTTTATTTCTATACACCTGCAATGGGTGATCCAAAAATTAAATTAAGAAAACAATTCCATTCACAATAACATCAAAAATAAAATACTTTTGAATAAACTTAACAAAAGAGAGTAAAATTTATACTCTGAAAACTAAAAAACATTATTAAAAGAAATTAAAGAAGATCTCAATAAATGGAAAGACATCCCACGTTCATGGATTGAAAGACTTGACATTGCCACAACAGCAGTCCTCCCCAAACTGATCTGCCGATTCAATGCACTCACTATCAGAATCCCAACTGATGTCTCTGTGGAAATTAAGAAGCTGATTCTGGAAGTCACACAGAATTGCAAGAAGCCCAGAATAGCCAAGACAATCTTGGAAAAGGAGAACAGAGCTGGAAGACTCACATTCTCTGATTCCAAGTCTTACTAAAAAGCAACAGTAATCAAAATAGTGTGGTACTTTCTTCATTATGGGATAGAATTGACAGTCTGGAAATAAACCCTCACATCTATGGTCAACTGATTTCCAACAAGGGTGCTGTGACCATTCAATAGGGAAAGGGCAGTCTTGCAACAAATGGTGCTGGGACAGCTGGAGAGCCACCTGTGAAAAAATAAAATAAAATTGAACCCTTACCTCACACTATATATAAAAATTAGCAAAAATGAATGAAAGACCTAAATGTAAGATCTAAAACTATAAAATTCTTAGAAGACAACATAAGGATAAATTTTCATGACCTTAGATTTGACAAAGAATTATTTGATATGGCCAGGTATGGTGGCTCACGCCTGTAATCCCAGCACTTTGAAGGGCCAAGGTGGGCAGATCACCTGAGGTCAGGAGTTCAAGACCAGCCTGGCCAACATAGTGAAACCCTGTCTCTACTAAAAATACAAAAATTAGCCGGGTGTGGTGGCATGCACCTGTAGTCTTAGCTACTTGGAAGGCTGAGGCAGGAGAATCACTTGAACCCAGGAGGCAGAGGTTGCAGTGAGCCGAGACCATACCATTGCACTCCAGCCTGGGTAACAAAGTGAGACTCTGTCTCAAAAAAAAAAAAAAGAATTCTTTGATATGACCCCAAAATTATAAGAAACACAAAAGAAAAAATAAATGCACTTCATCAAAATGTAAAACATTCATGCTTCAAAGGACACCATCAAGAAAGTGAAAAGACAATCTACAGAATAGGAAAAAATGTTTTCAAATCATGTATCTGAAAAGGGTGTCTAGAATATACAAAGAATTCTTACAACTCAATAGCAAGAAGAGAAATAACCCAATTTTAAAGTGGGCTAAGTATCTGAATAGATATTTCTCCAAGGAAGATATACAGATGGCCAATAAACATGTTAAAAGATGTTAAACAGGGGTGGAGCCAAGATGGCCGAATAGCAACAGCTCCAGTCTACAGCTCCCAGCGTAAGCGAGGCAGAAGACGGGTGATTTCTGCATTTCCAACTGAGATACCGGGTTCATCTCACTGGGGAGTGCCAGACAGTGGGTGCAGTGCACCGTGTGTGAGCCAAAGCAGGATGAGGCATCGCCTCACCCAGGAAGCGCAAGGGTCAGGGAATTCCCTTTCCTAGTCAAAAAAAGCGGTGACAGACGGCACCTGGAAAATCGGGTCACTCCCACCCTAATACTACACTTTCCAACGGGCTTATCAAACAGCACACCAGGAGATTATATCCTGCACCTGGCTGAGAGGGTCCTACGCCCATGGAGCCTTGCTCATTGCTAGCACAGCAGTCTGAGATCAAACTGCAAGGCGGCAGCAAGGCTGGGGGAGGGGCGCCCGCCATTGCTCAGCCTTGAATAGTTAAACAAAGTGGCTGGGAAGCTCGAACTGGGTGGAGCCCACCACAGCTCAAGGAGGCCTGCCTGCCTCTGTAGGCTCCACCTCTGGGGGCAGGGCACAGACAAACAAAAGACAGCAATAACCTCTGCAGACTTAAATGTCCCTGTCTGACAGCTTTGAAGAGAGTAGTGGTTCTCCCAGCATGCAGCTTGAGATCTGAGAACAGGCAGTCCGCCTCCTCAAGTGGGTCCCTGACTCCCGAGTAGCCTAACTAGGAGGCACCCCCAAGTAGGGGCGGACTGACACCTCACACGGCCGGGTACTCCTCTGAGACAAAAATTCCAGAAGAACGATCAGGCAGCAGCATTTGCAGTTCACCAATATCCGCTGTTCTGCAGCCACCACTGCTGATACCCAGGCAAACAGGGTCTGGAGTGGACCTCCAGTAAACTCCAACAGACCTGCAGCTGAGGGTCCTGATTGTTAGAAGGAAAACTAACAAACAGAAAGGACATCCACACCAAAAACCCATCTGTACGTCACCATCATCAAAGACCAAAGGTAGATAAAACCACAAAGATGGGCAAAAAACAGAGCAGAAAAACCGGAAACTCTAAAAATCAGAGTGCCTCTCCTCCTCCAAAGGAACGCAGCTCCTCACCAGCAACAGAACAAAGCTGGATGGAGAATGATTTCACGAGTTGAGAGAGGAAGGCTTCAGAAGATCAAACTACTCTGAATTAAAGGAGGAAGTTAGAACCAATGGCAAAGAAGTTAAAAACTTTGAAAAAAAATTAAGACGAATGGATAACTAGAATAACCAATGCAGAGAAGTCCTTAAAGGACCTGATGGAGCTGAAAACCATGGCACGAGAACTCTGTGACGAATCCACAAGCCTCAGTAGCCGATGCGATCAACTGGAAGAAAGGGTATCAGCGATGGAAGACAAAATGAATGAAATGAAGTATGAAGAGAAGTTTAGAGAAAAAAGAATAAAAAGAAACGAACAAAGCCTCCAAGAAATATGGGACTATGTGAAAAGACAAAATCTACATCTAATTGGTGTACCTGAAAGTGACGGGGAGAATGGAAACAAGTTGGAAAACACTCTTCAGGATATTATCCAGGAGAACTTCCCCAATCTAGCAGGGCAGGCCAACATTCAAATTCAGGAAATACAGAGAATGCCACAAAGATACTCCTCAAGAAGAGCAACTCCAAGACACATAATTGTCAGATTCACCAAAGTTGAAATGAAGGGAATAATGTTAAGGGCAGCCAGAGAGAAAGGTCGGGTTACCCACAAAGGGAAGCCCATCAGACTAACAGCTGATCTCTCAGCAGAAACTCTACAAGCCAGAAGAGAGTGGGGGCCAATATTCAACATTCTTAAAGAAAAGAATTTTCAACCCAGAATTTCATATCCAGCCAAACTAAGCTTCATAAGTGAAGGAGAAATAAAATACTTTACAGACAAGCAAATGCTGAGAGATTTTGTCACCACCAGGCCTGCCCTAAAAGAGCTCCTGAAGGGAGCACTAAACATGGAAAGGAACAACCGGTACCAGCCACTGCAAAAACATGCCAAATTGTAAAGACCATCAAGGCTAGGAAGAAACTGCATCAACTAACAAGCAAAATAACCAGCTAACATCATAATGACAGGATCAAATTCACACATAACAATACTAACCTTAAATGTAAATGGGCTAAATGCTCCAATTAAAAGGCACAGACTGGCAAATTGGGTAAAGAGTCAAGACCCATCAGTGTGCTGTATTCAGGAAACCCATCTTACATGCAGAGACACACATAGGCTCAAAACAAATGGATGGAAGAAGATCTACCAAGCAAATGGAAAACAAAAAAAGGCAGGGGTTGCAATCCTAGTCTCGGATAAAACAGACTTTAAACCAACAAAGATCAAAAGAGACAAAGAAGGCCATTACATAATGGTAAAGGGATCAATTCAACAAGAAGAACTAACTATCCTAAATATATATGCACCCAATACAGGAGCATCCAGATTCATAAAGCAAGTCCTTAGTGACCTACAAAGAGACTTAGACTCCCAAACAATAATAATGGGAGACTTTAACACCCCACTGTCAACATTAGACAGATCAATGAGACAGAAACTTAACAAGGATATCCAGGAATTGAACTCAGCTCTGCACCAAGCAGACCTAATAGACATCTACAGAACTCTCCACCCCAAATCAACAGAATATACATTCTTTTCAGCACCACACCACACCTATTCCAAAATTGACCACATAGTTGGAAGTAAAGCACTTCTCAGCAAATGTAAAAGAACAGAAATTATAACAAACTGTCTCTCAGACCATGGTGCAGTCAAACTAGAACTCAGGATTAAGAAACTCACTCAAAACCGCTCAACTACATGGAAACTGAATAACCTGCTCCTGAATGACTACTGGGTACATAACGAAATGAAGGCAGAAATAAAGATGTTCTTTGAAACCAATGAGACCAAAGACACAACATACCAGAATCTCTGGGACACATTCAAAGCAGTGTGTAGAGGGAAATTTATAGCACTAAATGCCCACAAGAGAAAGCAGGAAAGATCTAAAATTGACACCCTAACATCACAATTAAAAGAACTAGAGAAGCAAGAGCAAACACATTCAAAAGCTAGCAGAAGGCAAGAAATAACGAAGATCAGAGCAGAACTGAAGGAAATAGAGACACAAAAAGACCCTTCAAAAAATTAATGAATCCAGGAGCTGGTTTTTTGAAAAGATCAACAAAATTGTTAGACCGCTAGCAAGACTAACAAAGAAGAAAAGAGAGAAGAATCAAATAGACGCAATAAAAAATGACAAAGGGGATATCACCACCGATCTCACAGAAATACAAACTACCATTAGAGAATACTATAAACACCTCTACGCAAATAAACTAGAAAATCTAGAAGAAATGGATAAATTCCTCAACACATACACTCTCCCAAGACTAAACAAGGAAGAAGTTGAATCTCTGAATAGACCAATAACAGGCTCTGAAATTGAGGCAATAATTAATAGCTTACCAACCAAAAAAAGTCCAGGACCAGATGGATGCACAGCCGAATTCTACCAGAGGTACAAGGAGGAGCTGGTACCATTCCTTCTGAAACTATTCCAATCAATAGAAAAAGAGGGAATCCTCCCTAACGCATTTTATGAGGCCAGCATCATCCTGATACCAAAGCCTGGCAGAGACACAACAAAAAAAGAGAATTTTAGACCAATATCCCTGATGAATATTGATGCAAAAATCCTCAATAAAATACTGGCAAATCGAATCCAGCAACACATCAAAAAGCTTATCCACCATGATCAAGTGGGCTTCATCCCTGGGATGCAATAAACGTAATCAATAAACGTAATCCAGCACATAAACAGAACCAAAGACAAAAACCACATGATTATCTCAATAGATGCAGAAAAGGCCTTTGACAAAATTCAACAACCCTTCATGCTAAAAACTCTCAATAAGTTAGGTATTGATGGGACGTATCTCAAAATAATAAGAGCTATCTATGACAAACCTACAGCCAATATCATACCGAATGGACAAAAACTGGAAGCATTCCCTTTGAAAACTGGCACAAGACAGGATGCCCTCTCTCACCACTCCTACTCAACACAGTGTCAGAAGTTCGGGCCAGGGCAATCAGGCAGGAGAAGGAAATAAAGGGCATTCAGTTAGGAAAAGAGGAAGTCAAATTGTCCCTGTTTGCAGATGATGTGATTGTATATCTAGAAAACCCCATCGTCTCAGCCCAAAATCTCCTTAAGCTGATAGGCAACTTCAGCAAAGTCTCAGGATACAAAATCAATGTGCAAAAATCACAAGCATTCTTATACACCAATAACAAACAGAGAGCCAAATCATGAGTGAACTCCCAGTCACAATTGCTTCAAAGAGAATAAAATAGCTAGGAATCCAACTTACAAGGGATGTGAAGGACCTCTTCAAGGAGAACTACAAACCACTGCTCAATGAAATAAAAGAGGATACAAACAAATGGAAGAACATTCCATGCTCATGGGTAGGAAGAATCAATATCATGAAAATGGCCTTACTGCCCAAGGTAATTTATAGATTCAATGCCATCCCCATCAAGCTACCAATGACTTTCTTCACAGAATTGGAAAAAAACTACTTTAAAGTTCATATGGAATCAAAAAAGAGCCCACATTGCCAAGTCAATCCTAAGCCAAAAGAACAAAGCTGGAGGCATCACACTACCTGACTTCAAACTATACTACAAGGCTACAGTAACCAAAACAGCATGGTACTGGTACCAAAACAGAGATATAGACCAATGGAACAGAACAGAGCCCTCAGAAATAATGCCTCATATCTACAACTATCTGATCTTTGATAAACCTGACAAAAACAAGAAATGGGGAAAGGATTGCCTATTTAATAAATGGTGCTGGGAAAACTGACTAGCCATATGTAGAAAGCTGAAACTGGATCCCTTCCTTACACCTTATACAAAAAATTAATTCAGGATGGATTAAAGACTTACGTGTTAGACCTAAAACCATAAAAACCCTAGAAGAAAACCTAGGCAATACCATTCAGGACATAGGCATGGGCAAGGACTTCATGTCTAAAACACCAAAAGCAATGGCAACAAAAGCCAAAATTGACCAATGGGATCTAATTAAACTAAAGAGCTTCTGCACAGCAAAAGAAGCCACCATCAGAGTGAACAGGCAACCTACAGAATGGGAGAAAATTTTTGCAACCTACTCATCTGACAAAGGGCTAATATCCAGAATCTACAAAGAACTCAAACAAATTTACAAGAAAAAAACAAACAACCCCATCAAAAAGTGGGCGAAGGACATGAACAGACACTTCTCAAAAGAAGACATTTATGCAGCCAAAAAACACATGAAAAAATGCTCATCATCACTGGCCATCAGAGAATTGCAAATCAAAACCACAATGAGATACCATCTCACACCAGTTAGAATGGCGATCATTAAAAAGTCAGGAAACAACAGGTGCTGGAGAGGATGTGGAAAAATAGGAACACTTAACACTGTTGGTGGGACTGTAAACTAGTTCAACCATTGTGGAAGTCGGTGTGGCGATTTCTCAGGGATCTAGAACTAGAAATACCATTTGACCCAGCCATCCCATTACTGGGTATATACCCAAAGGATTATAAATCATGCTGCTATAAAGACACATGCACACATATGTTTACTGTGGCACTATTCACAATAGCAAAGACTTGGAGCCAACCCAAATGTCCAACAATGATAGACTGGATTAAGAAAATGGGGCACATATACACCATGGAATACTATGCAGCCATAAAAAATGATGAGTTCATGTCCTTTGTAGGGACATGGATGAAGCTGGAAACCATCATTCTCAGCAAACTATCGCATGGACAAAAAACCAAACACCACGTTTTCACTCATAGGTGGGAACTGAACAATGAGAACACATGGACACAGGAAGGGGGGAACATCACACACCGGGCACTGCTGTGGGGTGGGGGGAGGGGGGAGGGGGGAGGGATAGCATTAGGTGATATACCAAATGCTAAATGACGAGTTAATGGGTGCAGCACACCAACATGGTACATGTATACATATGTAACAAACCTGCACGTTGTGCACATGTACCCTAGAACTTTAATAATAATAATAAAAAGATGGTAAACATCACTTATCACTAGGAAAATGCAAATGAAAACTACCGTGAGATACCACTTCAAAGCCATCAGGATGGCTAATATCAAAACAGCAGAAAATGAAGCCAGGCACAGGTGGCTCATCCCTGTAATCCCAGCACTTTGGGAGGCCAAGGCAGGTGGATCACTTGAGGTCAGGAGTTTGAGACCAGCCTGGCCAACATGGTGAAACCCCATCTCTACTAAAAATACAAAAATTAGCTGGGCATGGTGGTGGGCACCTATAGTCCCAGCTACTCAGGAGGCTGAGGCAGGAGAATCACTTGAGCATGGGAGGCGGAGGTTGCGGTGCGCTGAGATCGCACCACTGCACTCCAGCTTGGGCAACAGAGTGAAACCCTGTCTCAAAAAAAAAAAAAAAAGAAAAGAAAACAGCAGAAAATGACAAGTGTTTGCAAGGATGTAGAGCAATCAGAGCCCTAATGCACTGATGATGGGAATGTAAAATGATACAACCACTGTAGAAAACAATATGGTGGTTCCTCAAAACATTAGAGGTAATTCACATAGAGCTACCACATGATCTAGCAATTCCACTTCTGGATATATGCAAATAGAAATGAAAAGCAGGGACTCAGATATTTACACGCCCATGTTCACAGCAGCACTGCTCACAATATCCAAAAGGCAGAAGCCACTCAAGTGTCCACTGACAGATGTAAGCAAAATGTGGCCCATTCATACAATGGAATATTATTCATTCACAAAAAGGAAAGAAATTTAGACACATGCTACAATATGGAGGGACTCTAAGGACATTATGTTAAGCGAAATAAGCCACTCACAAAAAGACAAATACTCTATGATGCCAGTCAGATGAGATACTAATGTTTACAGCAGTCAAGTTCACAGAGACAGAAGTAGAATGGTGGGTGCCAGGGGCTGGTGGGAGGTGAATGGGGAGTTCGTGCCTAATAGGGACAGAGTTTCCTTTTGAAAAGATGAGAAAGTTCTGGAGATGGATGGTGGTGATGGTTGCAAACTCACTTAATGCCACTGAACTGTATATTTTTAAATGGTTTAAATGGTAGATTTAATGCTATGTATATTTACTACATTTATTTTTTTTTTGAGACAAGGTCTCAGTCTGTCACCCAGGCTGGAGTGCAGTGGTGCAATCACGGCTCACTGCAACCCCAACCTCCTGGGCCCAAGCAATCCTCTTGCCTCCACCCTCTAAGCAGCTGGGACTACAGGTGCACAACCATACCTGACTTTTTTTTTTTTTTTTTTTTTAGTAGAGATGGGGTCTCACTTTGTTGCCCAAGCCTGTCTCAAACTTCTGGTTTCAAGCAATCTTCCCAGCTTGGCCTCCCAAAGCACTGGGATTACAGGCATGAACCACCAAACCAGGCCCTTTACTACAATTTTTAAAAATAAAAATAAAAGGAATAAAGCACAGGCACATGCTATGACGTAGGTGAACCTTAAAGCCAGGATGAGGAGGGCCCCCGGCATGCAGGCACCCATGCTGTATGATCCCATTCTCCAGAAAGTCCCCAGAACCCACAACTCATGGGGACAGAAAGCCAATGAGGGGTTGTTGAGGGCTGGAGTTGGGTGCGGGGTTAGGGGCATGGCCACTAAAGGATGCAAGGTGTCTTTTCAAGCTGATGAAAATGCTCTAAAATCAACAGTGCTGATAACTACACGTGTCTGTCTGTGAATCATTGAACTGTATGTTTTTAAATAGGTGAATTGTATTCTATGTGAATTACAGCTCAATAAGGTTGATTATAAAAAGAGAAAAGCCTATGGGGCTTGCCAAGGTGATGCTAACTGGGGCCTGGACGTGTTCACGTGGGACAGGGCCAGTCCCTTGCAGACCCCCCACAACCGCCAGCCCACCACTCACCTGTTCTTCCCTTCACCAGCCTGTCTCGAGCCCCGGCCATGTGTGCCCTGAAATACTCCAGGCCATGCGGACAGAGACTCCCTGATGATGGGGCTCTAATGATTAAGGATTAACCATTTAAGGAGCAAATGATTTTAACAATTAAAGGTTGGATCACCACCACAGCAAAATGTCAGGTTAAGCCAGAAGTTTCAAATCTTCCTAGAAAAAACACACAGTATATATGTATTTCAAACACCTGACGCTGTAGAGTTGAGGGCAAGGAGGGGTGTTGTCATACCCTTGGGGAAGGTCCCTGTCTGTGACACTTTCCGAGAGGGTGAAAACTCCTGGTAACATCGGCACAGAGGCTTCGCCGGCTTCACATTTGCCTTCAGACCTGTGCCCCACACACCAAAACCAAGGGCGTCCGGTCAGCTCAGGCCGCCTGGGTGGCTCGAAGGGCACACTCTGCTGGAGGCTGGAAGTCCAAGATGGAGGGGACCGCAGATTCAGTTCCTGGTGGGGGCCAGATTCCCAGCTCCAGACAACTGCCTTCTCGCTGTGACCCACAGGCTGGGGGAGGGAGCTCTGGCATCTCTTCCTCTTACAGGTCACAGGGCACTGATCCCCTCATGAGGTCCCAGCCTCATCTGAAGCTTGACACCCCCCAGTACCATCACACTGGGGACTCAGGCCTCAGCAGGTGGAATCTGGGGACACACTCGGGTGATGACAGAGGGGAACAGGGCGAGGGGTAGAAGGGTTAGGCCCTCTGGACCACGACCCAGGGGGACCCCCACAGCCAATACAGAGCCCGTCAGGGAGTATTGGGTGGCTGAGGACTTGGGGGAGGCAGTGGGTTTCGGGGGCTCCTGTTCCGCTCCTTCCACAGCTTCTGCATCCAGCAGAGGCCTCAGGACCAGGTGCCCACCACGGACTTTTCCAATGCTAGCAGGTGAAATGGTGGAGACAGAGCATTTAGAATGAGGAAGCCCAGGCAGGTGCCCACTGCCCCCAGGTCCCTTCCCCGAAGCCTTTGCCTGCAGCCGCTCAGCTTCTCCCTCGGGAGCCACCCGCCCCAGTCAGAGCCCCACAGGGCTGGGCTCCCGGTGTGAAGGCAGAGGATCCAAGTGGAGTCGGGGGAGGCCAGCCTGCAAGGGCCCTGCCCAAAGTCAGCTGGGACCCCACAGCCCCCACCCCCTGCAGCCCCAGCCTCCAGAGGGTTGACCCTGGTGGGAGAGGCTTCGTTCTGCTGACGCCTAGTTTCGGCTTTTCATAAAAGGGATTTTGTCATTGATTTTGCTGTCTTTTCAACACTTCCATTTGCCTTTAATTTCCCATTTAAGAAACAGCAGGATCTAGAGAAAGTTAATTATTGAACAGCATCAGCATTTAAAAAGAAAATTTTAAATAATTAAAAATACTCAAATCTCTCCTCCCCTCCACCCTTAGGGTCTCAGGGCTTAAACAGCAAGAAAAAGCCAAACAGGGGAAAAAAGTCTGTACTCAGTCCTCCCCAGCTGCCGCTGCCTGAGCTTCCCCTGCAGTTTCCCCGCCTTGGGAGGTGCCCCAGACTCCGTCCCCTTCGCACCTCTTGCACGGTTAGCTTGGCCACCGCAGCAAAACCCCACAGGCGGGGTCTCCAACAGCGGATATTTCTTTCTCACGGTGGAGGCTAGAAGATCAAGATCAAGGTGTGTGCAGGGCTGGTTCCTCCTAAGGTCTCTCTCCTAGGCCTGCAGAGGCCGTCTCTACCACGGTCCTCCCTGGGCCATCCTCTGCACACATCTGTGTCTTTATGTCTCCTTTTGTAAGGACCCAGTCAGAGCGGGTCAGGACCATCGTACCGCCTCCTTGTATTTTAATGACCGATGTAAAGGCCTGCCCTCCAGACACAGCCTCCTGGGGACGGGGCTTCAACATAAGAGCTGGGGGCGCAGGTCAGCCTGTCATAGCTCCCATCCCCTTGGCCTCAGCACGTGTGGTGACCTGAAGGACAGAGACCCTACCACCACCCTGCGGCCACCCGGTAGCCAAGTCCACAGGTGGGGCCACCCCTGAGCAGCACTCGCCAACATCTGGGCTTTGGGTGTGTATATTACACTTTGGGAAAGAGGTAAAAAGCAAGCAGACGTGGGCCAGACCAGGGTCCCCAGTCTGCCAAGGTGGTGGTTGTCTGAGTTTGGGCCGTGGTCCTGGGGCAAACACTGCCGCTGGCTCTGCCTCGCTGCTGTGCCCTGGGGGAGTGCGACCCCCACCTGTCTTGGCTCTGCAGATGGCCAGCGGGGAGCCCTTTAGGGGGACTCTCCTCTACTGCAGAGACCACGGGTACGGTCACGAGGGCCTCGCTGCAGCCCCCAGACACCTGGCCTGGGCACCCCCACCCTGAAGATGGTGTCAGGCTGTGTGACTAAGGGCTTCTTTCCGGGCTCAGCCCCCCGACTTCCCTCCAACACCTTTCCCCTTAGACCCTCGCAGACGCTCCCCTGGCCTGCCCTTGCCCTGTGCTGTCTGTCTTGGTCGGCATCCTAGTGACCACATTATTTCATGACTTTTAATTGAACAGTGTAAGTTAAAACTGAAGAAGGATCTCACCCACTTAACCCTGTCTTAAACTATCTGCAGCAGCCTATTTAAATGACCACAGAGAAGTCAACACTGTCTGCACTCAGCTGTTCTTACTTGCCTCCCACTTTTCAGCAAGCTGTGTCCTGCGCACCCTGACAGCACATGGGAGGGTACGGGGGTCTGGGCAGCCCAGGTCACTCTACAGTGGGTTCCGTCAGGAGAGTTATGATGTGCAGAGGCCACCGAGGTGAGGGACAAACGCACGGGCAGCGGCTCTGCGAGCCACGGAGGGCCAGGGTCCGGGCAGCGATGGGGCTGCAGGGGCTCCGAGGAGGGCAGAGGCTGCAGGGAGGCAGCACTCTGGGCTGTCCAGGGTGGGAAGTGATGTCGCCACGGGGTCCTCAACCCGAAAGAAGGAGGCACACGGAGGGAGAGTCCTAGTTGGAGTGAGGCTGCGGTTCCTCGGGAACACATGTGCCTGTGATCCTGGGAATCAAGCGTCCACCAGACAGAGACAGCGAGTCAGCCCTGCCGGGTCACAGGTCCAGCAAGAAGGCCTTGGGCCCTTGAAGACAGCGGAGGGGGGTCCGGCGTGCAGCTGGCACCTTCCCGCAGACATGCTGAGCCCCACAGCCCATGTGCGGATGGCGTGTTACACAGTCTAGCCCCGGGTCGGGGTGGGGGGGCGGTGGTTGAGACTGGGGTCTTGGGACTGGACACACCTGAGCGTGTGTGAGCTTCCTGAGCCTGCTGAAATGAACGCCCACAAGCTCGGGGGCTGAAGACAGCAGGAGTCTGTCCCCAACAGCAGGGGTCCCCAACCCCGGCCAAAGACCAGTGCAGGTCCGTGGCGTGTTGGGAGCCAGCGTACAGCAGGAGGTGAGTGGCGGTGCCGCAAGCATTAGAGCCTGAGCCCCGCCTCCCGGCAGATCAGCTGCAGCACTGGAGTCTCACAGGGGAGAGAACCCCATTGTGAATTGCGAATGCAAGGGACCCAGGTTCCACCTCCTTATGAAAATCCAATGCCTGATGATCTGAGGTGGAGCCGTTTCATCCCGGAACCATCCCTCTGCCAACTCCATCCGTGGAAAAATTTTCCACCAAACTGGTCGTTGATGCCAAAAATGTTGGGGACCACCCTGCTCTACAGCTCTAGGGGTCGGAGGTCTGGCCCAGGGCTCCCCAGGCTGAAGTCACAGTGTCTCGGGGCTGGGTCCTTCCAGAAGCTTCGGGGAGAATCTGTTTCCAGCCCTTTTCAACTTCTCAAAGCTGCCCTTTCCCCAGCTTGGGGCTCCTCCTGCCTCCCGAGCCAGCAGCGGTGGCCGAATCTCTCACCGGCGTCTGGGACTCCCCCTCCCTGTGCCTCCTTCCGTCGGCTTTGAGGACCCTGCGACTACATCAGTCACCACCCGGAAAGTCCACCACAGACGCTACATCAGGCACCCGCCCCGAACAGCCCACGACAGACGCTACGTCAGGCGCCGACCAGAAGAGCCCACCACAGACGCTACGCCAGGCGCCGCCCGAAAGAGCCCACCACAGACGCTACGTCAGGCGCCGACCGGAAGAGCCCACCACAGACGCTACGCCAGGCGCCGCCCGGAAGAGCCCACCACAGACGCTACGTCAGGCGCCGACCGGAAGAGCCCACCACAGACGCTATGCCAGGCGCCGCCCGGAAGAGCCCACCACAGACGCTACGCCAGGCGCCGCCCCGAACAGCCCACCACAGACTGTAAGCCAGGCGCCCGCGTGGAATAGCCCACCACAGATGCTACGTCAGACGCCCGCGTGGAACAGCCCACCCCAGACGCTACGCCAGGCGCCGCCCGGAAGAGCCCACCCCAGACGCTATGCCAGGCGCCGCCCAGAAGAGCCCACCACAGACGCTACGTCAGGCGCCCGCGTGGAACAGCCCACCCCAGACGCTACGCCAGGCGCCGCCCGGAAGAGCCCACCACAGACGCTACATCAGGCGCCCGCCCCGAACAGCCCACCACAGACGCTACGTCAGGCGCCCGCGTGGAACAGCCCACCACAGACGCTACGTCAGGCGCCCGCGTGGAACAGCCCACCACAGACGCTACGTCAGGCGCCCGCGTGGAACAGCCCACCACAGACGCTACGTCAGGCGCCGCCCGGAACAGCCCACCACAGACGCTACGCCAGGCGCCGCCCGGAACAGCCCACCACAGACGCTACGCCAGGCGCCGCCCGGAAGAGCCCACCACAGACGCTACGCCAGGCGCCGACCGGAAGAGCCCACCACAGACGCTACGTCAGGCGCCGCCCGGAAGAGCCCACCACAGACGCTACGCCAGGCGCCGCCCGGAAGAGCCCACCACAGACGCTACGTCAGGCGCCGCCCGGAAGAGCCCACCACAGACGCTACGCCAGGCGCCGCCCGGAAGAGCCCACCACAGACGCTACGTCAGGCGCCCGCGTGGAACAGCCCACCACAGACGCTACGTCAAGCGCCCGCGTGGAACAGCCCACCACAGGCGCTACGTCAGGCGCCGCCCGGAAGAGCCCACCCCAGGCGCTACGTCAGGCGCCGCCCAGAACAGCCTGCCACAGGTCCCTCTCTCAGGGTCGGCTGAGGAGCGGCCTCCATTCCCTCTTCCGTGAAACACGACTTGCTCTCAGGTTCTGGGGCTGAGACGTGATCGTCATCAGGGCCATTACTCTGCGGTCCACAGTGGAGGGTCTGGAGTCCACCGCCTCTAACCCCCGTGAGCCTGGCAGGCTCTTCTCTCTAAAGCCCAGATGTCTTCATCTATGCAACGAGCGTGGGGCATTTAGCGAGGCTGCTGAATATCACCCTGGCTTCCTCAGCCTTTGGAAGTGGAACTGTGTGCACAGCCTCGCAGCAGGCCTGCCTCCCGCCCGACAAGGCCTTTCTGCTCTGAGTTCCAATTTGTGGTGACCCCGTTTCTGGGCTCTGTGCGTGCCCAGAGTGGGAGCTCCAGTAGGCAGGGCCACCCACCTGTCCCGGGCACCTGAAACCCAGCCAGGTGCATGGGGAACTGTGTGCTTGGGGTTTTTTTATCTCTGTCCTGTAAATGGGACGTCTGAAGTTCAGCAGGTTAAGTCACCCTGCCCCCATCATCATGTTGTGCAAAGTGGAAGGTGGAACTGAAACCCAGGAGCCCCCCTCAGACCCTGCGGTCTTTCTGCGTCTTGCAGCCGGTGGGAGGGAGATGCTGCAGCCAGAAGAGATCACCGCGGGTCAAGAGATCAGGGTGGGGTGATGCCCCAGGGTCACCACCACACAGAAACACTGCTGCCTTTTTTCAGAAAATGGATCCTTCCTTTAACTTTCTGGCATTCGGTGTGACCTCGTGTTGGTCATAAACAGAGCAGAACCAAGAATCCCACCAGCACAGACTGTGCCATGTTCAGGAGCTGCTGACAGTCAAGCCACGGCTGTGCGGCCCAGGCAGGCTCTGGCTGGGGAAGACGGTCGCCAGCACTGGCGGCAGACCCTTCCATTACCTCCAGAGCCCGCAGTGGAGGACAGGCGGGCGCGCAGCTGACGCTGCGGGCTCTAGGACTGTCTGATCCGACGGTCACACCCCTCACATCTGACCTGGGCTTCACAGCAAATACAGTCATCTTATTGTAAATTATTCTCATGTCGCATTAATCGGTTATTCAGCGAGGAAAGTGACATTGAGGAAGAAATGACGTGGAACGTTTTTGGCCACAGAGAGAGATTTATTAAGAGGTTGATGCCAGAGAGGCCTCAGACCTTAGAGCCCCACTGAGGCTGACCAGTCATGACCTGGAGCCCAGGAGGGAGGGGACAGTGACAGAGATGCTGCCCTCCAACAACAGAGGTGCTCCCTGAAAGTGATGGTGATGAAGGTGCTCCTGGAGGTGATGATGAAAGAGGTGTTCCCTGGAGGTAATGGAGGTGCTCTCTGGAGGTGACGGTTAAGGAAGTGCTCCTGGAGGTGATGATGAAAGAGATGCTCCCTGGAGGTGATGGAGGTGCTCCCTAGAGGTGACGGTGATGGAGCTGCTCCCTGGAGGTGACAGCTAAGGAGGTACTCCTGGAGGTGATGGTGAAGGAGGTGCTCCTGGAGGTGACAGTGAAGGAGGTGCTCCCTGGAGGTGATGGTGACGGGGGTGCTTCTGGAGGTGATGGTGATTGAGGTGCTCCCTGGAGGTGATGGAGGTGCCCCTGGAGGTGATAGTGAAGGAGGTGCTCCCTGGAGGTGATGGAGGTGCTGCTGGAAGTGATGGTGAAGGAGATGCTCCCTGGAGGTGATGGTGAAGGAGGTGCTCCTAGAAGTGACGGTGAAGGAGGTGCTCCCTGGAGGTGATGGTGAGGGAGGTGCTCCTGGAAGTGACAGTGAAGGAGGTGCTCCCTGGAGGTGATGGTGAAGGAGGTGCTCCCTGGAGGTGAAGGTGATGGAGGTGCTCCCTGGAGGAGATGGAAGTGCTCCTGGAGGTGACAGTGAAGGAGGTGCTCCCTCAAGGTCATGGAGATGCTCCTGGAAGTGACGATGAAGGAGGTGCTCCCTGGAGGTGACAGTGATGGAGGCGCTCCCTGGAGGTGATGGTGAAGGAGGTGCTCCTGGATGTGATGGTGATGGAGGTGTGGAGGTGCTCCCTGGAGGTGATGGAAGTGCTCCTGGAGGCGACGGTGAAGGAGGTGCTCCCTGGAGGTGATGGAGGTGCTCCTGGAGGTGATGGAGGTGATGGTGAAGGAGGTGCTCTCTGGAGGTGATAGTGATGGAGGTGCTTCCTGGAGGTGGTGGTGAATACGGTGCTCCCTAGAGGTGACAGTGAAGGAGGTGCTCCCTGGAGAAGCCGAAGGCAGGCCTTGTCCCTCTAGCTACTTGGAGCCCCTAACACTGTCCTCAGTGCCGATGCTTTTGGTTGCTACCGGGCACTTTCTTTAGGACACAGGCTGAGGAGGGACAGGGATGGTGTCCCAGCAGCGTGAGCATCTCCCAGTAGCAAAGGTGACAAACCATTTCAGCTGGAGACGGAGATGAAGCTGCATATTTAAGGCCAAGGAGTCTGTGCTGTGTCGGGGGCACTCGCCCCTGCTGAGGAGCCACTGCTGAACCTGGGGCTTAGAGATGAGCCCTGAACCCAGCTCCAAAGTCTGCAGGCTCCACGTGCTGCTGGGCCCCCAACAATGACAGGGCAGGAGCTTGGCTATAGCCGCTCAACGAGTGTGCGTGGCCTGGGACCATTCTAACAAACCAGGGGCTTAAAACAACAGAGGGTGCATCTCATGGTTCTGGAAGCCGGCATCTGAGGTCAAGGCGTCCGTGAGGCCATGCCCCTCCAAGGTGTGGAAGGCTCTTGGGGACCTCTCCTCACCTCACGACCCTCCCTGCATGCCTCACCTGCAGACGCCTCACTCCACTCTCTGCCTCTGTCACATGGCCTCCATCCAAGGACCTGAAGCAGTGATTGGGGCCCCCAACTCCAGGATGACTTCATCTGAGCCCAAATCCATCTGCAAAGACCCTCCTCCCAAACAGGGCGGCCCTTGTGGGGCCTGGGTTGGACTCAACCCTTCTTTTTGGAGACAAAATTCAACCCCAAACACTAGACCGGTGGGATTCCTACAACAACCCCATCCGGGAAAGGCCATGCCCTGCCCAGGGCCGAGAGCCAGCTCAGACTGGCCTCCAGCAAGGGCTGGACACATGGCTCTCACATCACCTCTAGTCCAAAACACGTGCTCCTTTCCCTCCAGCCATTCCCTGGAATCACCCCCCACCGCCCCCCACAGCTGTGACTCAGCTGTGAAGCCAGCATGGCTCAGGAGGGGAGGGGAAAGATGAGGAGGGGAGGGGAAAGATGAGGAGGGGAGGGGAAAGATGAGGAGGGGAGGGGAGGAAAGGAGAGGGGAGAGGAGGGGAAGGATGGGGAGGGGAGAAGAGAGGAGAGGAGGGGAGGAAAGAGAGGGGAGAGGAGGGGAAGGATGGGGAGGGGAGAAGAGAGGAGAGGAGGGGAGGGGAAGGTGGGGCCAGACTGTGTGGTGGGCAAAGGAGGACTCGGGACACAATGAGAGAAAGGGCTCCATGGCCACCTTCCTAGACAGAGGCTTTCTCAGGAAACTGTAAAGTTAAATAAGACTCAGTCAGGCTGGACAACTGGGTGGGGGTAACGTGCTAGGGGCTGCCTGGGGCCAGAGTTGCTTCCTGATCCTGTCCCAGGAAGAGCCTGTGGTCCTGGACATGCATGCATGTGCACACAGCATATGCATGTCTGTGTGTGGGTGTGCACAGTGAGCTGTGGGGCCGTGACCATGAGGCACTGGCTTGGTTCACGTGCACACTCCGGACACCGTCCCCTCTTCTGTGCTAGTGCAGCCCCTCAGGCAGAAGCCACCACCCCATCGTCGTCCAGAACATTTTTGGAACTTCATGTTTTAGGCAACGTCTTAGAAAACCCAGCCTCATTGTTGATTAGATTAAAGATTTTCTGGGGGAGGAGGCAGCAGACTCTCACTGTGTTGCCCAGACTGGAGTGCAGTGGCATGATCTCAGCTCACTGCAGCCTCCACCTCCCGGGCTCAGGCAATTTTTTCACCTCAGCCTCCCAAGCAGCTGGGATTACAGGCATGCACCACCACCCCCGGCTAATTTTTGTATTTTTTGTAGCGACAAGATTTTGCCATGTTGCCCAAGCTAGACTTGAACTCCTGAACTCAAGTGATCCACCCACCTCGGTCTCCCAAAGGTTGGAATTACAGGCATGAGCCACTTCACCCAGTCAGGTTAAAGCTATTTAAGTTAACTCTCTTGTGCCATCAAACATGTGAGTGTTACTTGCTCGACTCTTCAAAATTAGATCCTTTTCTGGACACACATTCCTTTTGCCTTCTGTAGAAATTCCTTCCATGCTGAAAAAGATGTGTTTTCAACCATAAACAACTGAAAAACAAGGAAGAATTGCAAGTGCCCCACCAGGCTCTGTCACAGCCGCTTAACGTGAGCAGCATGAACTCGTGGAAACAGAAATCATTTCTGTGCCGTTAGAATCAACTGTAGGAAGGAGACAGGATTGAGTTTGGAAATTTCTGAAACTGTTGGTAACGGTTTCATCACCGGTCACCACTGATGGCCAGAGACCAAGGGAAGCGAGCCGTGGGGGGCCACTCAGTGCTAACCATCCCAGGCCACCTCCCACCAATTCTATCATTCCTTGCAAAGGTTCCTGTATTTTATAGCTTCAGTTTTCAATGTCTCTCCCATTATGTATCATACCAAATTCTGTGTAAGGACTTTTAAAATTCAAAGAACAACTGACTTGCATTAAATACACACAGACACACACACACACAGGCCCTTAGCAATGCTATATTTTAATTGACTATTCAATCACCCTTTAGGAATATTTTAGACATCAAATTCCATGCTGTATTGTGGCAGATAGAATTCATTGCCATTCATATCAAATTTAAAACTTAGATTGCTAATCTGTGTCCCTAAAAGTGGTAATAAAAGTATATATTTTAGAGCAATTACTTTTTCATCAAGGGATCTTATTTTATGAAATACTTGCTTGCCAAAAACCACAATTTACTTTTTACCATTTCATTTAACGATCTGACATTTGCGACATACCCTAATTAATTCTAACTCTGTCTAAACGGCTGTGATAAATATAACCTGTGCTGAAGAGATTGTAATGCCACTGGCAGATCTGTAGGGCCGACAGAGGAAACACATAGCAGGCAAGTGGCTGGCGTTGGGACGGGGCCTGCCATCTGGTCCGACCGTAGAAGTTACATACGAAAATACGTAAACTGTAGAGATTACATATGAAAACAAAATCCCAGGGACCTAAGGCAGCCGCTTAATCTGAAATGGAGTTGGTTGCCTTGTTCTTTTTTTTTTTGGTGTGTGTCTGTGTGTGTTTGTTTTTTTTTTTTTTGAGATGGAGTCTTGCTTTGCTGCCCAGGATGGAGCACAATGGTGCCATCTCCGCTCACTGCAACCTCCACCTCCCAGGTTCAAGCGATTTTCCTGCCTCAGCCTCCTGAGTAGCTGGGATTACAGGCACGTGCCACCATGCCTGGCTAATTTTTGTATTTTTAGTAGAGACAGGGTTTCACCATATTGGCCAGGTGGTCTCAAACTCCTGACCTCAGGTGATCCACCCGCCTCAGCCTCCCAAAGTGCTGGAATTACAGGCGTGAGCCACTGCGCCCAGCCTACAATCGCCTCATTCCTTATGAAATATATTTGACTGGCTGGATATTTATATTTATATTCTCCCATGATGCTTGGTACTTTAGCTAAGACTTTGTCAAGGCAGCTAATTTTTTTTTAATTTTTAATCTTTTTTTTTTTTTTTGAGACGGAGTCTCGCTTTGTCGCCCAGGCTGGAGTGCAGTGGCGCGATCTCCACTCACTGCAAGCTCCGCCTCCCGGGTTCACGCCATTCTCCTGCCTCAGCCTCCCGAGTAGCTGGGACTACAGGCGCCCGCCACCTCGCCCGGCTAATTTTTTGTATTTTTAGTAGAGACGGGGTTTCACCATGTTCGCCAGGATGGTCTTCATCTCCTGACCTCGTGATCCGCCCGCCTCGGCCTCCCAAAGTGCTGGGATTACAGGCGTGAGCTACCATGCCCGGCCCTTATTTTTAATTAAAATTAAAAGATTTTAAAACTGAGGAGCACGTAAAAGCGGGAACAATTAGTTTCTTTGTAGACTGTGCTCTTTTTACCTCAATCTAGATGCTCCTAAGTCCAACAGAATTCCTAAATCTAGACGCTCGGGCAAACTGTAATGGTCTGGCCACCTCCACGCCTCACCCTCAGATACCAACAGGTGGGCGTGGGAGGCCTGGCGGGGAGTAAGATGCTGGGGAGTCCTCCCCTCCCGGATGAAGCATCATTTTTACTACACGGAATGATGCTGGAGACCCTTTATCATCACCATACATTGCTATAACTCCAACAATAAACCCTCAGGTAAAAGGCTTAAAGCTAAGAAGAGTCACATGCATAAGTTCATTTGCATCCGCACTGAAACCCGTCTGTACCAGCATGATCTATCTTCCTGGATTGGCTGGCAACAGTGCAGGGTGCTCTGCGGTTTTCAGCTGCTGCTGTCTGGTTTGGGAGCATGGTTGTTGGGGATGAGGTGGAGACCTGGAGCTCACAGCAGCTTCTGCTGCTGCTCCTGCCCTTTAACGGGAATCGAGGGCACCACGGGAGGGGCTGAGGACTTCGCTCACAAGTATTATAAGGCTTGGGACAGTTTTGGCTTTGAGTTTTGTGTTTTCTCTCTTTATGTTATTTCTTCTTTACCTCGGTAATTTTTTACCTGATTTTGGTAACAAGTGGATAGGAAGCAAAGGGCCCTGGAATCGGGACGCCACACCCTTTGGCACTGCAGAGCGGTCATCGGTCTGGGTGAAAGCCACGTCTTCTGGTCTCTCCAAGCCAACTTTACTTATGAGGCCGTTCAACCACGCCTTGGAGAAACTGCTGATCACAAAAGTCTGGATTAAGGAAACGACTGCATGTTCTGACCAAAGCTTCAAAAAGCAACTCCAAGACAGGTGTTGTCAAGTGCTTCCCATTCGCTCCCCGGCCGCCAGGGTGGCTGACTTCAGCGGTTGTGCGATAGGTTTGGTGGCCCTGACCTTTCCTTGTACCACCACTTATGGGGGCGGTGCACGGTTCAGTGGGTTATGGGATTATTTTAGCCAGAAGGTGCTGAAAATATTAACAATAGATTTTATTGCTCTCTATTAGCCCAGAAGAACGCAAATTACCATTTGTCAAATGTTATTTGAGTAAAAACTATAGAAATGTTTTTGGCATGGGAGTGTAGGGGGAAAAAAGTGACCTTGAACTTTTGGTAGAGCCTGATTTTATCATTTAAAATTGTGTGCTTGCGAAGCTTTTGATATGTCATTTAGAAGGTTGTGAGACTGGATGTTAACTGTTCAACAAGAAAAACTCCCCACTCTGCCTTAAACTAATTATTTTATTCCACCGATGGGACCGTGTAAGCACTCAGGCCCCTCACCCTTCAACTCGATTTTAGCCTTGATTAACCTGAACATAATTAAAATAAGACTAACGCCACTAGGTGGCCATGGGGGTGTGGGGGTGCATGTGTGGGTGGGTGACTTCGTGTGTGTGTATGTCTATGTATGCGTGTGTGAGTGTGCACGTGTGGGTGGGTGACTGCATGTGTGCATGCGAGTGTGCATGTGAACGTGCATGTGTGTGTATATGTGGGTGGATGACCGTGTGTGCATGCATGAGTGTATGCGTGTGCAGGCATGTGTGAGTATGTGTGGGTGGGTGACTGCATGTGTGTGTGCATGCGTGTGTATGCATGTCAGTGTGCACATGTGGGTGGGTGACTGAGTGTGCATGTGAATGTGCATGTGTGTGTATATATGGGTGGATGACCGTGTGTGTGTGCATGCATGCATGAGTGTGCGTGTGTGCAGGCATGTGTGTGTGCATGTGTGGGTGGGGGACTGCATGTGTGCATGGGTGTGTGCACATGTGGGTGGGTGACTGCAGGTGCGGGTGCGTGTGAGTGCATGTGATTGTGTGCATGTGCGCACATGTGGATGGATGACTGCATGTGGGTGTGCATGCATGAGCATGCATGTGTGCATGCATGTGTGTGCATGTGTGAGTGTGCATGTATGTGTGTGTGCAGGCATGTGTGAGGGTACATGTGTGGGTGGGTGACTTCGTGTCTGTGCATGTGTGTGCCTATGTGGGTGGATGACTGCGTGTGTGTGTGTGTGCATGTGAGTGTGCATGTGTGTGCATGCGTGTGTGCGTGCCTCGGGTGGGAGTGGAGTGGGTCACTCGCGCACAGTCCTGTTTTCTTTTATAGACGCGCCCTCCTGTGGCCGCTGAAAATATTGCCCTGTAAAATGCCATCTCTGCCCTGCATCCTGTGTTTCTGTCGCTGTTTTTCTGCGTGAAGCATTTGGAGTCTCACATGAATAAATAAACGTTCCCACAAAGCTACACAGACATATGCAATTTTTTCATAAAATACTTGATTTGGGGTTTTATAAGTTGGGATGCCTCGGTACTGATGCACAGGTGCACCTTCTAAACTGAATTTCTAAAGCGGGGCGCCCGCGTGCCTGGGGGCTCCTCACACCGGCAGGAGGACAGAGCCAAAGTGGAGGAAGGTGTGGGCGGGGCCGGCTCCCTCACGAGGCTCAGGATGGACACTCCTTCCTGCCTCTCCCAGCTTCCGGCACACAAGCTGCTGCTTCTCCCAGCTTGTGGCCACACCCCTCCCATCTCTGCCTCCGTCTCCACGTGGCCTCCCTCCCCGTCCCGGTCTCAAGTCTCCCTCCCCCTTCTCCTCTAAGGACGGCTGTTGTTGGGTTTGCTGGCATTCTCAGTCCAGGATGATCTCCTCTCCAGGCCTTAACTTGTTACATCTGCAAAGACGGCCTCTCGGGCAGGCATGCTCACGGGTTCCAGGGGTCAGCAGGTGGACGTGTCTTCAGAGACCACCATTCCCCTGCACAGGACTTGGGGATCTCAGGGGGACTGGAAGGTGTGGGTGTCCGTGTTGCTGGAGTGTACAGGAGAATGAGACAGGCAGGCCGGGCCAGGCCATTCGCACTCTCCGTGTGGGTGATGGGCTGCGGGACGCCTCTGTGGCTGACTGAAAGTGAGGTCCTCGGCCCAAGGACCTGTCCCTGCAAACTGGGACAACGCTGACATCAGAGCTTCCCTGCAGAGCACCCGTCCCTCCAGCAGCCTCTGGGAGGACTCAGGGCTGTGGGGTCCGGTTTTCTTTCCTCACCTCACACCTGCCGTGGGCGTCTGCTGTGCCTGACAGGTGACGACGAAGTCAGCCTGCCCTGGAGAGGACGGAGCAGCCAGTAGCAGGAACTACCGAGACGCAGGGAGCGCTGGGAGCTGAGCGGATGGTGGTCTGTCCTTTGGAGATTTGTGGGCTGCTCTCTCCCCACTTCGCACTGACTCACAGCTCTGGGGGTTCACAGCTGTCTGCTCCCCAAGGCCTGGTCCCAGGGGGATGAGGGACAAGAAGCGATGGACACAGCTATGTCCCCAACCACAACAAAACCACTCCAGGGCAGATGCACACCTGAGGTCCCACGACCTCTTGAAGCCAAAGAGGGCTGAAAGGGAACAGGTGATCCCATCAGGTGACAGGTGACCTCAGGTGACAAGTGGCCCATCAGTGACAGGTAATCTTGTCAGGTGACAGGTGACCTTCCGTGTGGCAAGAAAGACAGACGTTGGCAGTCCCACAGCAGCTGCCTCGTCCTTGTGGGAAGGCCTCTGTCCCGCGGTGGGCAGGTCTATGCAGACTCACCCCAAAGGCCAAGGGAGCTGAGAGGTGGAAGAGAAAGGCTGACAGACCCAGCTCCTCAGACAAACACTTCACAGGGACTTGGGAAAGGAATCAGTGTCTCCGGTGGCCACAAGACGGTGGCGCCCGCACCCACTCCAGGAAGTGTCTTTTGTGCACATGTGTTTAAGGTGGGACGCATGCAGCTGGCCACATCTGACTCTCTTGGGAAACTCGTGACCGCTGGGGAGTGTGACAGGCATTCTTCCCAGGGTGTCTGTGCTACAGAAACACCTCAGTATGTGGGCGCCCGGCGCCAGTCATGGTAACGGTCTCGCTTCAAGACAGAGTCCCGTGGGCCGTGCAGCAGCCTCGCTGCCCCCAGGCTGGAGCTCTGTCACACTCAGCCGAGCTCCAGGGACCGGCTCTCTCTGTCCATTGGCTGCGTTTCCACCACAGCAGGAGGGGGTGCTCCCGGGGCGCGGCTGCCACCACTCGGCATGGACAGTGGTCCTAGGGCAAGCCCATCACTGGCCACCGTGGCTCACTCCACAGGCAGCACAAGGGGTGAAGTGTGGGGAAGAAGCCGCCCATTCACGTCCAGGCTTGCTTCACCTCTTCCTGCTGCATGCAAAATTCTCCCTCCCACAAATTCACCTCCAACCCACAAGCCCACCCCGGGCTCTGGCCACTCTCGTCCAGAGAGCCTGCCCACATCCACTCACCGACACCCACTCAGGAAGCTCTCTGACCCTTCTCTCCATCCTGGGAAGGTCCAAGCTGAGCGTGTTCAGCATGTAGTCCTCCCCTCCACTGGCCTGTGGGGGGTTGACAAGGGTGGGTTGGAAGTGATTGATTCTGCCTTTCCCCTCTGCAGGGCAGGATGACAATGTATAAAGCTCTCTGTCCCCAGCGTGCCAGCAATGGACACACAGATGAATGAATGGGAGGGACAGGCAGATGGGCAGACAGATGGACAGATGGAAGGATGGACGAATGGATGAACAAATGGATAGACAGATGGACAGACAGATGGACAGATGGAAGGATGGACGAATGGATGAACAAACGGATAGACAGATGGACAGATGGATGGGTAGGTGGATGGATGGGTGGATGGGTGGGAGGGTGGATGGATGAGTGGATGGATGGATGGGTGGGTGGGTGGGTGGATGGATGGATGGGTGGATGGGTGGGTCGGTGGATGGATGGGTGGATGGATGGGTGGGTGGATGGATAGATGAGTGGATGGATGGATGAATGGATGGATGGGTGGACAGGTGGGTGGGTGGATGGATGAGTGGGTGGGTGGGTGGATGGATGGGTGGGTGGATGGATGGATGGATGGATGGATGGATGGATGGGTGGGTGGGTGGGTGGGTGGATGGATGGATGGGTGGGTGGGTGGATGGATGGGTGGATGGATGTGTGGATGGGTGGATGGATGGATGGGTGCGTGGGTGGGTGGATGGATGGGTGGATGGGTGGGTCAGCGGATAGATGGGTGGGTGGATGGATAGATGAATGGATGGATGGATGGATGGATGGATGGATGGGTGGACAAGTGGGTGGGTGGATGAAAGGGTGGATGGATGGACAGATGGATGAACAGACAGATGGACAGGCAGATGGATGGATTAACTGATGGGCAGACAGAGGGACAGATGGATGGATGGGTGGATGGATGGATGGATGGATGGATGGATGGATGGATGGACAGGTGAATGAACAAATAACCAAACATTGTATTTACACACCGCCCTTAGGCCAGGTCTGTTTGTGTGTAACCAGGCCAAACAGGAATATGATTTTCTGGGGGAGTCCCATGAGGGGTTCATGACAACATGAGCATGTTGAGTCAGCCTCCTCTACCCAGTACAAGCTCCCCCAGCTACCCAGCAGGTCCACCGTCCCCTGTGTGGGACAGGGGTTGCCCCCACTCCCAAAACTTGGACCCTAAGGGTCGGTCCTCCCCGAGGGGAGGTCCTGGGAGCTGGAGAAGCCTGGCCCACTGCCCATGGTGCCTCTGCCCAGCCATGCACCCCCAGGAAGCTGGCAGCAGGCCAGCCACATCCATCCTGGGAAGGTCCAAGCTGAGCATCTCTAGCATGTGGTCCTCCCCTTGCCCTGTCTAATTCACTGTAATAATCACATAAGCAGCCTGTTGAGCTGGCAGCTGCGTGAAGTTTTAACTAAGCTGAGAACGGGGCTCAGTCAGCCACAATTTAAGCTCCAGCCACAGCGTGCCAAATAGCCTGGGCTGCAGGATCCATGAGCGCAGACGCTCAGAAGCTCACCCTGCTCAGTGTCCTCAAATGAACCACTGGCCCTTCCTTTATGTGGCCAATGGCAGCGAACCCAGAAAAAGCCCAAGGAAGGGCAGCTTATGTTGGTCATCTGGAAACTGGGCCTGTGGTTCCGTGAGCCTGAGGCGACCCTGGGAGCTGTGAGCCCTTCCCAAAGGGTTTGGACGTCTCTGGGCCCTGACAGCAAACAGAACTCCCTGTCCCAACACCAACAGCCATACTTCCGCTGTTGTTATGGGGTGCGCCGTGCCCCTCCTTGTGGCCCCCGGCTCTCACACAAGCTAGACCTTGATCAGCACCCCAGAATTACTCCATGAGCTCTGGAAGACTCTGCGAGATACCCGCATGCCTCACAATCAGGGTATTGTCATCCCTGTGGGCAGATTTCCCAGTGAGACTGGGGGATGTCCTGGGATGTCCCTCCCAGGTGCAGAGAGCACCCAGGGAAACTGGCCCCCCGCCCCAGCTGTGGCCACTTCAGGCCCCGGCAATCCAGGTCCCTCCAGAGGGGTCCCCGGGGGCACAGCCTCGCCCGCAGGGTCCAAGGTGTTTCCCTCTGTGGACTGGAGGTAAGATCGCCCACAGGCTCTCTTGATGAGACATGAACCAGGCCCACGTTGGGACTTGGGGGAGCCTGAAACGCAGGCTGGGCTCCCCGGGTGGACCCCATGGGCAGAGAGGGAAGCGTCCCCACATTGCGTCCTGCCCTGAGGCCCAGGACAGTAGAAATAGTTCAGGTCTCCCCAGCAGACTCTGGCCCAAGGGACTTGGAGAAGACCTGGCCACCAGGCCCCAGCGAGATGTCCCAGCCTCACCTTTGAGGGCCTAGCAGGTGCAGCCCTGCCTCACACGCCTGGTGACAGCTGCCTTCACCAAGGAGAAGGCTATGGGCTTTGGTAGAGCCGACACCTCACACAGACAGCAGAGGTGCAGAGAGGGAGCCCTTCCAGCCCCTCCCTCACTCCCAGCCACAGCCACTGACGCTGTCCTCCCGGGATAGCCCACCCCAGCACCGTAGCCCCGCTGGGCGCCCACTCCCCAGGGGTGCAGGAGCCTGGCCCTGACTCCATGCGGGTCACAGCCGCCACATCCCAGCTCCCACGAGGCTCCCACGCGGCTCCCAGGCCATCCTGTGCCATGGAGGCTGCTGGGCACCTGGACCCTGTCCTGCCCTGGGTGGCACCATGCTTTGCCCCTCCTCCCTCCTCAACTGCAGGTCAGTCCCCAGCAAAGCCGCTGGCCCCTCACAGTTCCCCTCACAGGGTCCCTCCAGCCCCATGCCCCCTGTGGTGAGCCCAGGGTTCTGGGATGGCCCCTTCGTCCCTCCTCCCTCTGCTGGGGACGCCCCTCCCACAGCCCCTGATGTGAACACCCACACTTCTGTGCCCGCGCTGGACCCTGACCACTCACTCTGCTCAGCCGGGTCCTGGGCCCCCCTCACCTCAGCAGCCCCCGGGGGTCCCCCCAGGCCTCCTCCCCTGGCAAGGAGCCAGTCAGGGGCACCCCAGGCCTCGGCAGAGATGCCAGGTACTCCACAGGCAGACCCGGACGGAGATCCGGGACAGGTCCACCCAGGCGGGTCCCCAAAGCAAACTGCACCACACATGGTAGCTTCTCTGGAGGGAAAGGATGACTCAGTTTTTTGAAGGTGTGTTTTCCGGCCGGGCGCGGTGGCTCACACCTGTAATCCCAGCACTTTAGGAGGCCAAGGCAGGTGGATCTCTTGAGGTCAGGAATTCAAGACCAGCCTGGCCAACATGGCGAAACCCTGTCCTACTAAAAATACAAAAATTAGTCGGGCATGGTGATGCATGCCTGTAGTCCAAGCTACTCAGGAGGCTGAGACATGAGAATAGCTTGAACCTGGGAGGCGGAGTTTGCAGTGAGCTGAGATCACGCAACTGCACTCCAGCCTGGGCGACAGAGAGAGACTGTCTAAAAAAAAAACATGTGTTTTCCACTGCAGGTTTGAATCTGGGTCAAAACACCTCTTAAAATCCTCCATTATCACAGTTATTTACTCAAATAAAAGCCGCACAAGGCAAGATTTGCCCTTTTGCAGGGAGGAGGCAGGCCAGGGGAAGTGGTGTGTTCCCCGGAGACCCCCATCAGCAAGCTGGGCACAGTGAGGCGGCCCAGCGCCTGCGAGCCACAGGGAGCCCTGGAGTGCGCTAGCCAGCTCTGCACCCTCATCCTGTGTGAACCCCCGACGACTGCCTGCATGACTGTGGGAGCCCCGGGGAGATATGTCCCTGCCGGGCCCGGGAACGAGGGTGGCGGGGGCCCAGGGACCTCACGGCCACCCCAGCCCCCCGTCTGCCACTGTGCGACCTGGTTGCCAGGCACCAGTCGTGGAAGCCAGCGCAAGGCAAGAGGACCCCTGGGAGCTCGTCCAGTCACAGGAGGGAAGGGGTGGCCTCGGAGCCAGGCAGAGGGGGAACCCACACAGTCGCTTCCAAGACTGTGCCCCAGCTCGGCTTCTGGCGGGGGCTGCCCAGCTCAGTACCAGACTCCTGGGACCTGTGCTGCCCCTACGGGGTCCAGGCCATGCCACCATCCTTCCCACGACATCCAGGAAGCTCCGCCCTTGATGGACCCTGAGGGACGAAGGCTGGTCCCCACTGCCAGCCAGGTGCCCCACCTCGCTCTCCCTCCTTCCCCAGCCGCGTCCTTGGGCCGTGTCCGTCTGCTCCAGGTGACCGGCCTGGCCTCCCTGTCCCTGCTCGCCACCAGCTGGGAGGGGGCTGCCGAGTCTCAAGACAGCTCCTGGGCCCCTTCCCTACAGAGAGGTTCGTCCCCACCACCCACCGCCTCCTCTCGGGCCAACCTTGACCGCTGCCTGGTCCTCAACGTTCTCGGTCAGGAGAACCCAGAGGTGAAGGAACCCAGAGGCGGCGGAGGTCCTGCCCAGGGGAGCAGCATGGAGGGGCGGGCCGTGGGCAGCCAGACGGGCACCAGGCTCCCACCCGCAGAGGAGGCGACGGGAGCCTGTCCCTGCACTCTCAGTTCTGTTGTCCATTGCTCTGTCTGGGGGCTGTTACACAACTCTCGGCTAAGCCTCATCTTTTTATTTTTTAATAATTTTGTATTGTGCTAAAATACATGTAACAGGAAATGTACCATTTTCCCCATTCCTAAGTGCACAGTTAGTTCCACGGCATGAAGAGCTGCTTGGTGTCCATCACCATCATCCATCTCCAGAACTTCCCATTCCCTAAACTGAAACTCTGTCCCCAGTAAACCAACTCCCCAGCCCCTCCCCAACCCCTGGCACCCCCACCATTCGACTTTCTGCCTCTAGGAATCGGACGGCCGTGGGACTCCCTGTGAGTGCAAGGACACAGCGCTCATCCTTTCCTGACTGTCGGGTCTCACCGTGTCCACAGGGCGGGTCTCACCGTGTCCACAGGGCGGGTCCACGGGCAGCACATCAGAGCCCGTCCTCTGGAGGGCTGAACGCAGCCCCACTGCGCAGGGAGCACATCCATCTCTGCACCCGCACACGGGATCCACTCCCTCCCCAGCTGCCATGGCCAGTGCCGCTGTGAGCACGTGAGCACAAACATCCGGCTGAATTGAGCCTCATCATAGCCTATATATTCCCCAAAATAAGAAGGAAAAAAAGTATTATTACAGAAAAGAAAGGGGAAAGTGAGCCGGCACTCACCCAGCCCAACCTACCCTCACCTGGGCTCCACCCATGCCCCCACCTCTGTCAACCAGACAGGAGCAGCCCTGGGAAGCCCCGGCCCCGCAGCGTCTGTGGATAGGCCCTGGGACACTGCACCCAGGCAGGGTCCAGACGGGGGAGCCCTCTGCCCTGGACACTGCACCCAGGCGGGGCCTGAGAGCAGGGAGCCCTCTGCCCTCTGCCTCTGCTTCCTGCCTGATCCACGTGAGCGCAGGGAGAAGCACAGTGGCTTGGAACAGGGAGAGGGCAGAGGCAGGAGAGTGGCAGACGCCACGTGCTGCTCCCAAGCAAGCGGGTGGGGGGGCCGAGGCTCTGCAGGTCTGGGTGTCCGGAAGTCACCTGCCAGCCGGGCTCTCCCTGCAGCACCCTTGAGGGAGGCCTAGGGGCAAAGCAGGCTGGACCCCACAGCAGAGGCGGGCACAATACTAACTGGGCTGCCTGGGACCCACGTGCCAGTCAGCCAGGGCCCTCTGGGCTCACAGGGGGCTCCGTGCTCCTGAGTCTACTTCACAGGCAACAGCGGTGGCCTTCACCCCTCTTCTCTGCAAAGCCCACTGCCCTTCACTGCCTCCCCCTGCCCTGGGCCAGCAGGTGCTTGGGCCAGTCTAGGGGAGAGAGGCTCCCGGGGTGTCTGGGTGAGCGCTGCCCCTGTATGGGTGGGGCCTGAGCTCAGGGCGCTCAGGTAAGGGTGGAACCCAGGTGCACCCTCCCCCAGCTCAAGGCAGGGTCTCAGGACAGACTGCTGACCTGGGGTCCCACTGTGCGTGCGTCTACCTCAGGCTCTTCCCTCCACCCTCCAGGATGAAAGGCCTCGGGGTTGCTGACACTCCCCTTGGCCTCTAGCCTCGGGGTTCCGGGGTGGACCCAGATACCCGCCTCATTAGGAGGCAGCGTTGTGGAGAGAAGTGGAGAACAGGCATCAGTGTGCATCTTTGTTTGTTTGTTTTAGAGACAAGGCTCACGGTGTCTCCCACGCTGGAGTGCAGTGGCACGGGTGAGACTCACTGCAGCCTCGAACTCCTGGTCTCAGGGGATCCTCCCGCAGTGCTGGGATGACAGGCACGAGCCACTTCTCCCGGCCTAGGCGTGGATCTGAAGCTGCAGGTCAGGTCTCTCTTCTCCCTGAATTTGGGTTTTGTAAACCAGGCACCACCTGCCCGGCTCTGAGAGGCAGCCCTGGTCCCTGCCTGCTTCCTGTCCAGGTGAACGGTAGGCTGGGCTGCACCTCCCCTGGCTAGGGGGTTCTGGCCCTGGGCTTTGCACCTACACAGCACAGCAGTGACAGTGGCAGCCCGCTCTGTCCTCTCCTGAGAAGAAACGAAGTCAGCACGGGGAGAAACCCAGGACCGCCCAGGGATGGCGAGGGCCTGCCCTTGAGGAGTCCCCAGGGCATCACCGCCCCCTGGTCTGGGCTCAGAACAGCAGCGCCTCGCCAGGAACACTCAAACCCCAGCGACGAGGGGCCCAAGGCACCCAAACGCGGGAAGTCCATCTTTCCCGGGGTGCTCCCATCCCCAAATAACCTCCGGGAATCCCACGGGTGCTCACCCAGCCCAACTCTCCCCACGCCTGCCTGCCAGGACAGCGTCTAGAGCCCAGCCCCTTGGCGCCCTCGCCCTCTGAGATGCCCAACAGCCCTGCAGCCGCGTGGGTGGCCTCGTCAGGACACACAGGGCCCCCACACGGCTGAGGCCTCCCACCAGCGCCAGCCATGTCCACGCCTCGCTTGCCAAGAACCACGATTGTGGCCCTTCCTCAGTGCAACCGAAGGGCTCGCCTGGGAGGGTTCCAGATGCAGGAGAAAACTGTTTTGCCAAATAAAAAAAACTGTCAGAAACCTCTAAAATATGAATCTAGGGACGCCTTCCAGGCACCCTGCTCTGTCCACAGCCAGTGTGGGCTGCAGGGGAGCTGCCCTGACCAACCTGATGGAGGGCAGGACCCCTCTTAAGGACCAGGGCAGGCAGGGGGAGGAGTGCGGGTGCGTAGAAGCTCGCAGGGATGAGCGCTCATCTGACCTTTGACCTGGCCATCCCACTTCTGGGAATCCGCCCCAAAGACAACAGACAAGTCCAGGAAGGGACCCTGTGGGACCCTGTAGGAACAAGAACCTCCCCAGAAGTGGCAAAAAAATAAAACAGGATTTCCGCCTGCAGGAAGTCAGCCCGCAGGAGTAAGAACGGCACTGGGCTGTGATGAAGTCATCTCGGTACAAAGGAATTCTGTGCCACGAAAATATTCATGGAAATATTTCCTGATGCGATGTCTTTCCCAGCATATCGTTGGGTAAAGCACAGACTGCTGTGTGTCCACCAAGACAAGGTCTCCAGGTGGCAGGGATCATTTCTTTGTTTTCATATCTGCATTTCTGGTTTTTCTACCAATGATCAGGTATTCCCTGTATGTTGATTTTACTTCCAAAATTTAGGAATAAAATATTTAAAGTTAATAAAGTGAGTGCCTCTTCTCCAAGCAGACGGTGACCTCCTCCTTCGAATGCTCCCTGGTGACGCAGCTTTCTCTTGGGGCTTGGCCCTCAATGTACTCCAGTTAATTAATACTTTTCATCTGGGGTAGAAGGTACATTTCAGTACAAGCAAATGCCCAGTCAATAAGGGAAGACTTTTTTTTTTAGATAGGGTGGTCTCACTCTGTTGCCCAGGCTGGAGCACAGTGTCATGATCACAGCTGGGTGTACGCGATCCTCCCACCTCAGCCTCCGAGTAGCTGGAGCTACAGGTGTGTGCCACCACACCCGGCTAACTTTTTTATGTTTTTTGTAGAGACAGGGTCTCACTCAGTTGCCCAGGCTGGTCTGGAACTCCTGGGCTCAAGGGATCCTCCTGCCTCAGCCTCCCGAAGTGCTGGGATGACAGGCATGAGCCACCGTGCTCAACTCGGGAAGGCTTCTTTTCGGAAGACATCAAGCTGATAAAGGCAGGATGAGTAACAGGATGAGGAGGCCGGCGTTCTGCAGCCACTCACGAATGGTAGTCCAGACCCCAGATGCCGCTGCATAGCAAGGCAGCGGGAGATGAACGAGCTACCAGTCTCTGAGAGTGGAAGGGCCAGCACAGAGGTGAGAGACCCTCCACACCCTGGAGGAGCATGGCCCCAGCACCCCTACGGTGACTGCACTCAGCGTCTCCAGCAGGACCGCCAGGTGCGCACGGGGCTCCGCCACACAGGAGGAGGTGCCCGCGTCTCCTGCCCCACGCACGGGTTGTGCTGGGCCCAGATGTGTGACTGCAGGTCCTACGGCCCCCAGGACCTGCACAGGGGGCAGAGGATCCAGGTGAGCAACTCGGGGCGGGGGCAGGGGCAGGTCCGGAATGCGGCAGGTCTGCCGGTGAGGCGCACGGCCCTCCAGACGCCCAGGAAGGAAAAGCAAAGGCGGGAGTGAAGGATCGCCTCATGTTTATTTAAATATTATGTAATTAAGTTATAAATAAAAGTAACTTTTGTTTATGTTTAATGTATTGAAATGGAAGGAAATAAAAACAAATGGAAATGAAAGCCCATTGGGGCAGGTGCGGAAGCCGGACTCCCCTGAGGGCGCCTTGTTTGTGAATTCTGCTTTGGAACCATGCACATATTTACAGCAAACATTTCTTAAATCCTAGACGTTGAAAGTAAAAGAAAATAAATGAAGCTAAGGGTCTACGGAGTTGTTGGCTTAGCCACACCAAGAGGGATTATCTCAAGATTTATGCATCCCAGTGTCACAGCCTGAGAACAACCATGGGGCCGGGCGCGGGGGCTCACCCCTGTCATCCCAGCACTGGGAGGCCGAGGCGGGTGGATCACCTGAGGTCAGGAGTTCGAGACCAGCCTGGCCAACGTGGCAAAACTCCGTCTCTACTAAAAATACAAAAATTAGCTGGGCGTGGTGGTGCATGCCTGTAATCCCAGCTACTCGGGAGGCTGAGGCAGGAGAATCGCTTGAACTGGGAGGCGGAGGTTGCAGTGAGCCGAGATCGCACCACTGCACTTTAGCCTGGGCGACAGAGCGAGACTCCGTCTCAAAAAAAAAAAAAAAAAAAAGAAAGAAAGAAAGAGAAAAAGGATCGAAGAGCTCTCTCTGAATTTTAAAAATTTTTTTAAATTTTTAAATTATTATATTTTCTATATATCAAATTTTCTATATGTCAAATAAGTAACTATGTTATGTATTAAGAACTAAAAATCTGGCTGGACGTGGTGGGCTCACACCTGTAATTCCAGCACTGTGGGAGGCCGAGGCGGGTGGATCACCTAAGACCAGGAGTTTGAGACCAGCCTGGCTGATATGGTAGAATCCCATCTGTACTAAAAATACAAAGTGAGCCGGGCGTGGTGGTGGGCACTTGTAATCCCAGCTACTCGGGAGGCTGAGGCAGGAGAATCACTAGAACCCGAGAGTTGGAGGTTGCAGTGAGCCGAGATCACACCACTGCACTCCGGCCTGGGTGACACAGCGAGACCATCTGAAAAAAAAAAAAAAAATTCAAATTCTCAGAGTAAAAGAAAAAAATCTGATATAAAATCTAAATAGTGAAAACCCTGTAATCCTAAATTTGAACTGGAAATATTAATATAAATTCTTTATATTATATATCCTAATATGAATTTTCTCTTTAAAAAATACTCTCTCCCTCCGTCCACAGAGGCAGCCTTGGGGTCTCCAGGCAGGACCCAGAGCAGCCGAGGCCCTGAGGCCAGCACGAACTGCAGGCACCGAGGAGTCTGTCGCCCCAGGATGCGGCCATCCGAGCTTCCAAGGGCAATGGCCTCAACCGTGAAACACCACAAGTGCGATCACAGCTTGTGGGCTCACGATGGAACTAACAGAGCCGCTGGTCACCTCGGGGTCCTCGGAGGAGCCAGGGAGCCAGCCAGTGGCTCTAGACACTGGGACTCGGGAAAAACAAGAATGTGCGGGGCCTTTTGAAGCAGAAACTGTACCTCTGGGACCCAAGCAGTGGATAAGGGAAAATCCGTCTTTACAGAATTCCAGCTAAGAAATTTGGAGGAAAGGCAGGTCAGATATTGACAGATGAAGTCATGCATAGCCCAGGACTTACTTCAAAACATGATGGCGGGTGCGGTGGCTCACGCCTATAATCCCGGCACTTTGGGAGGCCGAGGCAGGTGGATCACTTGAGGTCAGGAGTTCGAGACCAGCCTGGCCAATATGGTGAAACCCCCGTCTCTACTAAAGATACAAAAATTAGCCGGGCACGGTGGCGGGCGCCTGTAGTCCCCACTACTCCGGAGGCTGAGGCAGGAGAATCGCTTGAACCCAGGAGGCAGAAGTTGCAGTCAGCCGAATCACACCACTGCACTCCAGCCTGGGCCACAGAGCAAGACTCTGTCTCAAAACAAAAACAAAAACAAAAAAACATGATGGGGAGGGGGTGCAGATACACAAGAGGGGCGGGCGCTGTGCACCTCTGGGCCAGGGAGAGGGATTCATTTCTACAGTTACCTGTTCCAAGCACACAATTTGGACATTAAGATTTTTCATAATAAAAGGTAAAAGCGTACAGAGACCTAATACACGTGACGACTAAATGCAATGTGTAGTCTTGACTGAAGTCTAGTTTAAAAACATCACAGCCCGGGGAGACTGATTTGAGTAACAATAAAACTCCAGTCTCCTGCAAAAAAAAAAAAAAAAAAAACAAACAAAAAAATTACGGGCCAGGCACAGTGGCTCACGCCTGTAATCTCAATACTTTGGGAGGCTGAGGCAGGCAGATTGCTTGAGCCCAGGAGTTTGAGACCAGCCTGGATGATATGGTGAAATCCTGTCTCTATAAAAAATTTAAAAATTAGCCAGGCATGGTGGTACAGCTGTAGCCCCAGCATGTTGGGAGGCTGAGGTGGGAGGATCGCTTGAGCCCAGGAGATCAAGGTACAGTGTGCTATGATTGAACCACTGCACTCCAGCCTGGGTGCCAAAGTGAGACTCTGCCTCAAAAAAGAAAAGAATAAAAGTAAATAGTTTCTGAAAATGGACTGAGAAGTAGCTGGCATGGGGGAATTACTAATTTTCTGAGGTGTGATAACGGTGCCACGGCTCTCCCGCCTAGGTGACGGAGTGAGACTCCATTGCAAAAAAACAAACAAACAAAAACAAAACAAAATGTGTTAAACACAGGTGTGGTTATTCACGTCATGGTCCCACTTTTCCAGGCCTATGAACAAAAGAGCAGAGAGCTCTCCCTGGTGACGGCGCCACGTCCTGGTTCTGTCTCCAGCTGTGCAACCCACATGAGGGAAGGCACGTGGGACCCCCAGGTTAGGGTTAGGGTGTGAACGTTTCAGGATGTTTAAATGTATTTACTTACAGAAAGTGGGTTCTGCAGCCCTTTATGCCCCTGACAAAAGTGAATGGCGTACAGGGTGGCCCTGGGATTGGCAGTGGGGTGGCCAGGAAGCCCCACTGTGGTCCTGACACCCCCAGGACTCCCCACCCCAGTCCCACAACTGCAGTCCCTGCCACACCGTCCACAGCCCCCCTGCCTCCCACCCACCAGCACCTCACTGCCTTCCCCACCCCCCGCAGGGCCCCCCAGTGCTTGGGACGTCACAAAGGTGACGACGACAGGTGCCGCGCTCCCCCTTGCCATCATCTCAGCAGCTGCCGAGCACACCCAGGGGCCGGGCTCCCTCTCCACCCCCTCAGCAGACGCTGGCATAAGCAGCCGCGGGCTCTATCTGCAGCATCCACCCCCTCAGCAGACGCTGGCATAAGCAGCCGCGGGCTCTATCTGCAGCACAGAGCTCCTGGACCCGCCCTAGGGGGATGGGGCGCTGGGCGCAGGGGTCGGGTAGACCCCAATACCCCTCCTCACCTGAGAAGCAGATGCCTACCTGCTGGCCATGCACCTGCCGGGCCCCATGGACACCAGCTCCCTTCTCCTCCTGGGGTCGGGGTCTCTCCCTCTCAGCGAAGGGAGGACCCACCTGTGACATGAGCTGACTCGGTAGCCAGGCCGTGTGAAGACGGGGCTCTGGCCCCTTTGCCAAGAGCCTGTCTTGTGTGTGGCCTGGCTTGTCTGGAAGGCGCTCGCGGCTCTGTCCACGCTCCCTAGCTGTGCCCCTGCTGAGGCAGCCCGGCCACGCTCCTGGGACGGCCTGAGGGTCAAGTGGGCAGGGTTGAGGGCACAACAGTCACCTCTAAACCTGTCGAACCACCTGCCTCCCTCGCCACAATCTCAGCAGCAGATTCTGGGATCTGAGCAGTTGAGAAGGACTAATCTTGTTTTAAAAACACCCCCGACCCCGGCCCGCAAGGCGACTTACTGCACCGCCTTCCCCTGTCACCAGGAAGGCCGGACGCCAGGATGTCAGCACTGAGCGCGTGTCTGGCCCAGTCTTGGTCGCCAGCAGAGCCAGGGTGAGTCGACGAGGTTTTCCTCTCGGGACCCTCAATGCCTCCTGTGAAGGCTGCGGGAGTTTCCACCTCATCTGTGCGTTGGGGTGTTACTTTTTTGTTGTTGTTGTTGTTTTGAGATAGAGTCTCGCTCTCTCTAGAGTGCCGTGACGCAATCTGGACTCATTGAAAGCTCTGCCTCCCGGGTTCACGCCATTCTCCTGCCTCAGCCTCCCAAGGAGCTGGGACTACAGGCACCCGCCACCACGCCCGGCTAATTTTTTGTATTTTTTAGTAGAGACGGGGTTTCACCGTGTTAGCCAGGATGGTCTGGATCTCCTGACCTCGTGATCCACCCGCCTCGGCCTCCCAAAGTGCTGGGATTACAGGCGTGAGCCACCGTGCCCGGCCTTTTTTTTTTGAGACGGAGTCTCGTTCTGTCTCCCGGCTAGAGTGCAGTGGTGCGATCTTGGCTCACTGCAAGCTCCGCCTCCCTCGTTCAAGAAATTCTCGTGCCTCAGCCTCCCGAATAGCTGGGATTGTAGGCGTGTGCCACCACACCCGGCTAATTTTTTGTATTTTTAGTAGAGATGGGGTTTCACCATGTTGGCCAGGCTAGTCTTGAACTCCTGATCTCAGGTGATCTGCCCACCTTGGCCTCCCACAGTGCTGGGATTACAGGCGTGAGCCACTTTGCCCAGCCGGGGGTGTTAGCTTTAAAGTCATGTTTTCGCCTTACAGTGACGCATTTCGGAAGCAAGGCTTCTGCCTGCAAAACACCACTTTCATCCTTTGTAATCGTAATGTTGAAGAATTGCTTTTATTTCTAGTCAGTCTTAACGGTGCAACTTACTGGCGCTTACAAAGGACAGCAGGCGAGCTGTATTCAATATGCTTATGTTTTATTTATGTAGGTGGCATTTAAAATACATGATGTGTTTAGGGTTACATTGTCCACAGAAAGCATCAAATACCACTCCTCTCCCCGCCAAAACCAAATAAACAAAGCCAACTCTTTGGCAACAGTTGTGTTAAATAAAATCCCAGGTCACACTTGTTTCTGGCTCCCAAGCCTGGGTCACTGCTACATGGATTGCGCCAAAAAATTCCCAGCTTCAACACTGCTAGATTAAAATTGCTGGCATTTTTAAATCACAGCAAAGCTTTTCACAATGCCCTCAAGTCCAAGAGGACAAAGGAGAAAGCAACATGAACGGCAGATCCTCATGTGAAAGGGAAGGAAAGTCACTGGGAGGGAGCATGCAGGGAAGAAGTCAAGGCAGCCCTGGAATTCTACTCCGTGCTCAATAAAAACAAAACGTGAAGAAGCAATACATCATGCAAACGAAATAATGACCGGAAGTGGGCGCATCTAGTTAGAATGAAGTGACTTTCGTAAGGAGTCAATGTTCGCGAACTGAAACATGAGTTCAACCTCCTTGTGCCGTCTCTGGGTGTTTTGCGCGTGTGTAAATACCGGCCCGTTTTCCCCAGCATGGCCCTAACCCATGGACACTAGGGAGAGTGCCACTGAGCAAAAATTTTTTGCTAAAAATAATTAGCAAAAATCCAAGAAAAAAATATGGAATCTAGCAAAACCTACACCATATTTGAAGTTGAATTTGCACTACCTGCAAAGGATGAAAATTAAAAGAGTAAACAGAAGGAATGATTTTACATCTGATGTGATTCACGACAGCCTTCTATTCGTGTGGCCGGATTGCTCTGAGGAAAAGGTGCCCTGACGGGCAGGATTCAATGTGTCACTTGCAATATTCTCTAAGTTACACTCTACTGAATTACCTTCTAATTCCAAACACTACGCCGCCACAGAAAGCCTCATTTCATGAATGTTACTCAGTTAGCCATCTGCGCCCTCCTGTACTTCTAAAGCCAGAAATATTCCAGCAGCATGCGGAGTGGTTGAGTAGCCGAAAAGAATGAAGAGGATCCGGAAGCACTAGAGGAAAATGCAGCAGATTGAGAGCTGGAGAGAAGCAGAGAGTCGCGGCCAAGTCCCAAACGTCTGTCCCCGCCACCCGTGCCGTCAGCCCCGTCTCCTGACCCTGCTCTGACTGATCCGTGATCGCATAATCCTGCCGAGCGAGTGTGGCCTCGAGACAGTCCTGACCGACGCTGCTACCTAGCGCGTGTGCACGACCGCATGCCGAGCACGGTGGAGCGCCAGCGTCTGGGGGTGCACCGCGTGCCTCAAGTCCGGTCTAGTGATTGCCTTTGGTCGACTTCTTCTTCTTCGACTCCTCTCTCTGCTTCTGCTTCTTCCTCTTGCCACCTTCTTTCAATCCTAAGGAAACACGGCTTGTAAAACACTGTACGGAACAGCACTGCTTCCCCAGCAAGAGCCAAACATGTTTTCTAAATATCTCCCCATGTTAAGAACAAAAAGCAACAAAATGAAGTCATCTATCTTGGCCACAGCTAAACCTCAAAACGGGCGCTTTCCAAGGTGCACGTTGAGAACTGCTCACACTACCCAGAGAGCTTCACCACCCTGCAGAGAAGTGAGGACTCCCACCTACCCGAGTTCCGCCCAGCGGCAGAGCTAAAAGCCCACCCTGGGACTACCCCAGTTCTGCCCAGCGGCAGAGCTAGAAGCCCACCCTGGGCACGGCTGCACCTCAGTCCTGGAACCCCACCCTGGGACCTACCCCAGTTCCGCCCAGCGGCAGAGCTAGAAGCCCACCCTGGACACGGCTGCACCTCAGTCCCGGAACCCCACCCTGGGCTCTCCTTCAGAACGCACACTGGGCCTGCGCAAAGGTGTGCCCACCTGTGGGGAGGGTGTCCACAGGTGTCTCCTCCGCTTCCCCCGCTGGCCACAGTGCAGCCTTTCTGCAGGCAAAGCCTTGGTGTGGACTGGCCTCATGTTTGCCAGCTCTGTGCCATCCAGCGTGAGAAAGTCCCATTTCTTATTGAGGAAAGTCTTTCATTTCCCTGTTGCTAAAGTCAATGGCTGACACTGACTGATCCAGCTGAAGTGCATGGAGAAAGACGCCCACCCTCTGAACGTCTGATCCAACGTGCCAGAAATAAACACCTCTGGATTCATTTCTGCAGAAACTGTCTTGAACTCAGTGTGTGCCAACGTGGGTGCAGGAAACAGGCCCGATGTTGAATTTGGCCACAATTGTCAACATGACTGGGCAGAGGGAACATGGCCGGCAGCAGGCAGGGCAGGCCTGGGTCCCACACGCACAGGCCCTCAACCTGCCAGAACTCTCCAAAGACCCACACAACTTCACATGGTGGCATCGTGCCTCACAGGAAGGTGCCTGCTCACAGCCCTCTTGGGGGCCTGAGGCCCTGCCCACACTCAGGACTCGCCCCAGAGAATCACAATCATGGTAGGCCGGGTGCCAGGCTCCAATCAGATGCATTCCACACCCAGCTGACGGCCGCCACGCTGACCAACATGTCACAGGTGCAAGTCCACTGAGTGTGGCTCACACATGTCCTGGACCACAGTGGGGCAAACACATGTGGACTTTCAAATGTGCTGTGGCTCTCACCACTGAGCACTGCCTGGACCCCGACAGCTCTCCACGAGAGAGGGACAAGCCTGCAGATCCAGTCCACACCCCACCCACAACCACACCACACCACACTCGCCTGTGACCCGTGCACAGTGGAGGCTGCCACCTTCCTCGCCAGAGGAGCGCGTCCTAACCGCCCTACAGGAGCAGCACGAGATGCGCGTTCAGAACCGCCAAGCGTTCCATGCTGCATATTTAGGAAATGTGCCTCAAGCTACGGTTACGGAAAGAAAGAACGAACAGAGAGAGGCCTGTGTGCCGTTGGCGGCTGCAGAGGCCGCTGAGTACCTGCTTCCAAAGCAGGGAGGCGGCTCTGCGGAAAACGCAGAGGAAAGGAAGCGGGAGGAAGCCAGGAGATCTCCGTCCCGAGGAGCATGCGGGGAGCCGCCGTGACTGTGGAGGGCGGCCAGGGCAGAGCCAGCTCTTGGAGGCCGTGTCCCTCAGAGGAGCCTCGTGCCCCGGGACCCAAGGGACCCCGTGGGATGGGGGCGGGGTGGGGGGGTCAGCACCGCCTGCGGTTCCTCCGCTTCAGCAAAGCAAACTTTACCAAGACCCCAGAACAAAGGGAGTAACGGAGCTCCTTTAAAGCAACTGCTGCCACTGGGCCTTTATGAGCTAGGGACGGAAAGCCTGAGGTGACCACACTGCAGTCGCCCTCACCCGCCCTGGGGCTGCCGGGATGGTGGGGGAGGGGCGGGTCCGGTACAAGGAAACCACTTTCCGGTGTTCTTCAAGCCTCCACTATTGCCGGGCGCGGTGGCTCCCGCCTGTAATCCCAGCACTTTGGGAGGCTGAAGCGGGGGGATCACCTGAGGTCAGGAGTTCGAGAGCAGCCAGTCCAACATGGAGAAACCACATCTCTACTAAAAATACAAAAATGAGCCAGAAGTGGTGGCAAGCACCTGTAGTTCCGGCCACTGGGGAGGTGAGGCAGGAAAATCGCTGGAACCCTTGAGGCAGAGGTTGCAGTGAGCCGAGATCACGCCACTGCACTCCAGCCTGGGCGACAGAGCGAGACTGTCTCAAAAAAAAAAAAAAAAAAAAAAAAGTCCAAAATTGAAGTGAGAAAAACAGAGCAGGCCTTCCTGTCACCTGAACCTCCTGCAAATCACAGACATGGCCTTGGGCACCGGCTCGCGGGCTCTGGGACTTCGTGGGACCGCCAGCCTTGGGCACAGTCCACAGAGGCACGCTCTCCCACCAGTGACTACTTAAAAACTTGTCCTGATAGAAAACGACTTAAGTTTTCTTATCAAGTTTAAGGACTTGAAAACCCTTAAGTATAAATACACAAATTAGTTTCATTAAAAAGACAAACTTCGAGCTGTTGAAAGCTGAGGGCAGGGTTAGATTCCCATCTTCAGTTCCGAGAGCTCCATGCTGTGCTTCACAAAAAGGGAGACATTCTACAGCGTTCCAGGGCAGGCTGCTTTCCTCAGCCAAAAAAACAAAGGACCTGCTTTATTCTTTCTTTCCTGTTCAGTAATTTTACTTTTCCTTTTTTAACAGTTACGTGTTCTTGATACTCCTACAGTATGTGTGGAATTCACAAACACAAAACATCACTCGGCCTTTCCAAAGCCTGAGTGAGGATCCGGTGGGTTCCCGGTGGTGCCTCTGTCCTCTGAACGCAGGCAGGGCGAGCGCTGGGTTTGAGGACTCCACACAGCAGCAAATGCCAGCCACGGGAACCCCACACCACGCAGCAGGGACAGGCGCTCCCCGCTGACTGTGACAGGGCACCCCCTGCACCCCGCGCTCCCCGACATTCCTGCTTCCACTGGCTGCACCCGTTGTCAATCACACCAGACACAAGGAGGGGAAATTCTCACAGAAGCAGTACGTTCAGTATTTTGAGGGGTGCATCTCAAGTGAGAGCTCATTTCCAGCCTAAAAAAAATCATGCCCTAGAACCGCCCAGGCCTGGGGGCTGCACACCTGGCTGTGACCCTGTGAGTGGAAGCTCGCTCACTCCTGGGAGCTCCGACAGGACCTGCTCGATTCAGGGACGGGTCAGACGGCTGGAGGCCAAAGTGGGGGCCATCAATACTGTCGGGTGGCCGGTCTCCTCACTGTATTCCTTTTACAGGAACCTTGACCAGGACATGCAAATCCCACAAAAAGATGATAGTGGGATCTTCCAGGCACCCAGAGGCCTGGCCAAGAGTCATGGGTTTTCTGTGACAAGGGGCTTCGGGGAAAGCGAGACCTTCAGTGACGCAGAAATGCAGCAAACCAGTATCCTGACTCAGGAGCCTGTGTTATCGCTACAAAGTCCATTCGTCAGAACACCCAGCAGGCTGGAGCTAAGGGGTCTGCACCCGTGTGACTTTGTCACTCCCACACTAGCACGTGCCCTTCTCTGTAAGCATGTACAGTTGTTCGGATTTGGTGGTGCAGGTGCTCATTGTATAATGAGCGAGCCTGCAGGGGCGGAGGCTTGCTCAACCTCTTCCCTGTCACCCACCAGCACCCTGACACCGGAGTTGGTGAGTGAGTCGCAAATGGCCTCTGCAGAGACCAAAACCACCCTGCTTTGCAATTTCACTCCAGTTCTGTCTCCAACTCTGCAGCGGTTTCTTGACTCATCCTTTGAGTCAGCTTTGTCATCTCTCAGTAAGAACTTAAGTAAAAGTCTCTGACGTGTTCGTTATATATTTGTATAAAAATCACGTCTTTAAATCTTTGATGGTTACTTTGGTATCTTCAAGATCTCATGAAGCGATTAAAAAAAGGAAACAAATGAGAGGAAAAGCCGCAAAACGGAAGATCCACAAAGAGGATCCGGGCAGAAACAAAAGCCATCACTGGCCTCTTTGCTCTAAGGATTTGTGTTGGGATTCAGCAGTCAACCAGTTCTCCCCACTCAGAAACGGTGTATGGCGGGGAAGCCGAGAATACGTGGGGAGAACAGCGCCTGCCTGCCCGTATCAGTCCCGCCCACAGCCATAGCCACAGGCGCTGAAGGCCTGGGAGGAGAAGACCCGCCCAGTTCTGACATACAGGTGTGGCCTCGGGCCTGCGGTGGGTGCCGTTCCAGGAGCCTCACCGCACTTTAAACATGGCTCCCCCAGGCGGCCCGCACCTGCACACCACGTTCTCGGGGCCTGCGAAATCACAAGGCCCCTAGCAGGCCAGGCTTCCGGTGGCCTCCTAACCCCAGTGGTTCAGGGACACTACAGCTACAACCCTGCTCTATCCTGCACCTTGCAAAGACCCATCGACAAACAGTGCACCCTCCCTACGGCCATCAGACCCTCCAGTACCAGGAGCGCACAACAGACCCTGGGGAGCCTCCCCAACGCCCGCTCAGTGCAGGGATCCTGGGGAGCCTCCCCTACGCCCGCTCAGTGCAGGGATCCTGGGAACCTTCCCCACGCCCGCTCAGTGCAGGGATCCTGGGAACCTTCCCCACGCCCGCTCAGTGCAGGGAACCGTGGGGAGTCTCCCCCACCCCGCTCAGTGCAGGGATCCTGGGAACCTTCCCCACGCCCGCTCAGTGCAGGGAACCGTGGGGAGTCTCCCCCACCCCGCTCAGTGCAGGGAACCGTGGGGAGCCTCCCCCACCCCGCTCAGTGCAGGGACCCTGGGGAGCCTCCCCCATGCCCGCTTAGTGCAGGGGGAGTTCTTTCTGGGTGCATGCAGCCTGCAACTGCCTCTGTCTGTCACTCAGTGACACAGCACAGACTCACACAGCAAAGGTGAGCGCAGCACGGCAGGTGGGCGGCCGGCTGGAGGGGCTGCCGTGCCCACCCACAGGCGGCACATCCTGAGGCTCTCACGGCTGGGGGTGCACCTTCCGTCCTCCTCGGAAGCGTAACCGGCAACTGTGCTTCATCCGAGAAGGACTGGAAGGGGCTAATTTTTCAATGGAAAGTTCCATGAAGGGAAAAGGAGAGACGCTTCCCCCTTCTTTTCATGTCCTGCTTAGACAGTGCTGTTCGGCCCAAGTCCACAGAAGTAACCTCACGACATCCGCTTCGGTCCCCCAAACCCAGGGATCAACCATCCATGTCTTCCTGCACGACATGAGCGGCTGGGGTCACCTCACCGCGTGCGGTGATAAGAACCAGAAGAGGCACAAATACTTCCAACTGACGCACGATTCACACTACATGGACCCTGGGCTTTAGGACGCAGTCAGGGCCAAGCCTACATGCACAGCACGTCCTCAGGGTGACCCAGAACTTCTCCGGGGCACTCACTTCAGAGACTATCCGGCTCCCTAACAGGTGGGAGGAGGGCAGGGCGGCCAAGAACCCCACGGGGGGTGGGCGGGCAGACTACGCTTCACAAGGAGGCTTGACTTGAGGGGGTCTTTTGTTCTGCACCCAGCGCAGAAGAAGGCACGAGAAGGTGAAGCTGACGGAGGGGCAGGGGCAAACGCAGACCCCACCAGCACGAGACCACCCGGCCTAAGCCACAGGCCTCAAGCTCTACGCTGAAAGCTACGAAAAGGCACGTCTACGGTAAAAGCAGCACCTCGCACTGCCGTGGCAGCTCTGTCATCCTTTGCGGAGCAACACGCTGCGTACAGGACACGCGGACCCCGTTTTAACGGTGGGGGGCCCGGAGCCACCGTGGCGTGGGGCGCCGCGAGCGGGAGAGGAGCAGAGCGAGGCTACCTCCTCCCGCCCCGCCCGACCGCCCACGCCCGCTCAGGTCAGAACACAGCAGCCCAGGCGCGGTTTGTGTCCTCGCTGTCCTCTGGCACCCAGAGAAGTCTCACTCTGCGCCTGCTCCACGGCTGCCTCCCTTTGCACACCTGCTGCGGACGCGAGGGGGTCCCAGGGCCCGGGTGCCCGAGGTCGGTCCTGCTCGCCCTCCTCCTCAGAGAGACAGTGAGGCGCGTGTCTCAGCAGCGAGGCAGGCCGGGGCGGCTTCGGCGGGCGGAGGCCGGCAGGCTGGGCTGGCAGGGCGTTCTGGCCTCTCCGCATGCGCTCCTCAGCGAGGGCATCGTCGTCGGCCACACCTGCAGGCACAGCGGGAGAGAGAGAGCCGTGAGTGAGCGGCGGCGGCCGGCCCCCATCCAGAGCAGAGGGAGGGAAGCTGGCCGCACGATCTCCCTGAATCCAGACGCGCCATCTCCGGGCAGGAGAAAGAGGTTATCTCCTTTCTTCAGTGGCGCCACTGGGGCCAGAACTTAATCCTCCAAGAGTGGGAAAAAAGTGAGTCATCAGAAAATCACCCCTCTCTCTCTCCTGGAAGAAGCGGCTCCCCGCCCCACCAGCTTTGGCACAGTCAACACGCCTCTTCCGAGAGTGAGTGTGCCCCACTGAAATCACGGTCAGGGCTGACAAGTTCGCTGTCAAAACCAGCCAGCTGAGCCACCCTGGGGAAGAAAGGTTCTGGGTCCAGTTGGCGATTTCCTCCTGAGTCCATACACGGAAGACATCCCCTCTCCGCCTCGTGCTGGAATAAATCTGTGGCAGCAGCGGCGGCGCCCACGGGAGCCACAGCCCCGCCCAAGGCAGGGCCATCCCGGCCACTCCAGTGCAGCTCCAGCTCTGGCCCCGCACAACACACACACCCAAGACGGGCCGGCTTCTCAACGCTCTGAAAAGTTGTGCTTTTATTAATCTTTGAAATACAGAAAAAGTCATTGGAAGGCCATGCATTAAAAAAAAGAAATATGGAAAAAATGTTTTGAACGCTGAGGAATAAAAACAAGAAAACAATATTCACAGAATGTTCTCCACTGTGATTCTCAAAGTTTGAGTGGCAATCACTGCGTGGATGTGAGGGAGGCAGCTGCGTCAGAGCTCCAGGAGCAAGTGTGCGAGGCCGCAGGTGGTGGGATTCCTCGTCCCTCCGCAAACTCTAAAATGTGCCTAAAACGACTGTCGCACCCAGCACTTCGGGCCCCGAGCCCTGCGCAGATGTAAAGCAAGGCAGACCCCTCCCGTGGCACAGCAGAGAGTTTACGCCAGGGGCGGCCCCATCCTCCTCGCTTCCCCGCAAGCACTGAGGAGCACTCAGCCATTGAAATGCATCTGAAACCCAACGGACTGACAGACCGACAGACATTCAGGAGCTTCTCCAATTAAACTGGCCTATACACCACTTCCAGTGCTGAGTGCCAGGCCCAGGGCCTGCCCCCAGGAGCTCAAATGTGGCTCAACCACAACAGAGAGAACGGGCTCCGAGGTCAGGAAGGAACCTGCTCTCAGGCTGTCCCCTCAGGCCAGGCTCTGGTCTTTGGAGACCACGATGGTGATGCTGGCCTAAGGAAGACCCCCACACAAGTGCAGAAATTCATCTCCAATGAACACCAAGACCTGGGCAACTCGCAGCCTGGAGCCTGTGTGTCCCCAGAGGGGAGGGCAAGCCTCACAAAATCCTAAAGCCACAGCACGGCGCCCACAGGGCTCCATCGTTTCTGGAATTCAGCAAACCCAAGAGGAGGCGCAGGCCTCAGATGTCACCTTCTACCCCAATCCTATTTCCCCACACTTTGAACACAGAAACGTGATTTTGGGGACCATTTAACCAAGCACCGTAAACGCAGGCTGTGAGGCTTGACCTATGACACCCCATTGTCAACACCCGGCCCGCGCGTCCTGCCAGGGGACCCCAGGACCCCTGCTGAGATGGCTGCACCAGGAGAATGCACGCACATCTCTCAGCATCACATGGAACTGTTGAGCTGAGAGGGGTCACCTAGCCCGGGGCCAGTTCTCCCCTTGGGAACTCCACGTGCTCACCTGCAGAACAAACAGGTGGCAGGGCTGCTGTCTGCGATTCTATGACGTGAGTGAAGTAAAACAGCACCCAGCACACAGGCCATGCCCGCGGGCGCCATGCACACACAGCACTTCCTGAGCACGCCTGCAGCAGGAGGAAACATGCCAGGGCGCCCGACCAGGCCCCAGTTGCAGGCTGGGAGCGAGGAGGGCTCTGGGACAGGGACACCCAGGACGTGGCTTCTCAGCAAACCAAGCTGTTTCCCAGCTGCCTGGACCCTGGCAAGAGAGCGGGACACATGGCGACAGTGCTGCGAAGTCGCTGTTGTGTGGCAACGTGGCTTCCAGATCTGACCTTCGAACTCAAAGGGGCCGTGTCGTCGAGAAGCATCTGCAGGCTGCCCGGGGACACCTGTGCACCCTGGGCCATCCCAGCCCCTTGGACACCAAGGAGAGACTCAGCACAGGTGCTCCCAGGGTACCACATCCCACCTTGGAGGGAGAGAGGAGAGACGAAGGGACCCACGCACACAGCAGCAAAGGGCCAACCAGAACCTGCCGGTGCTAAGCCCGTTCCTGCCTCCAGGAGGATTGCACCCAATACTCCGCCATGACTTTTAAGAATTATACTTTGCCAACTAAAGTAGAACATTTGAGAAAAAAATTTAAAGTTTCTGGTGTGTGACACACTGAACTGGACCCTAAATATCCATAGCTGTGAAGTCTTCCCCGGGGCACAGCGATGCAGCGTGAGCTCTGTCACTGCCGCCAGAAGAGCCGCCCCTGCCTGGCCCAGTCACAGCCCCCCGTGCCCAGGGAGCTTCAGAGCCAAGCGTGAGCCGCTCACTCGCCCCACTCCACGCGGAGGGAAAATGGGGGCAGGGTAACCCCACACATCCTGGCTCATCCTGGCTCTGGGAAGCCCAGTCTCGCTGCCAGTTGAAATTCTGCACTTCCAGCTCAGCTGCGGTTGGGACCCCCCCCACCTCCCAGCTGTTCCCCGCACCCCTGCTCCGCAGGTGAAAACGCGCCCCTGGGCGGGTGTCCGAGGACCTGTCTTCAGAGCGCTGTGGGTCAGCCGGGGCTGCCATCGCCTGGGGAGGGCCAGGCTGCGGGTCCAGCCTCGACCAGGGCTTCCCGCCCTCAAAGCCCAGCCTCCTCCCACCACGGAGGAAGAGAAACGCGCTGCCTTCAGAGCTGCTCTGGGGGAGGTTTTGCATTTACCGTCTGTTTAGAAAAAGGCCCCGCTGAGACTTAAGACTGATATTTTGAAAATGAATATTGAAGACACCTGCAGCGTCCAAAGCTCCCTGTGTCGTCTCCTCAGAGGCTGAGACCGCCAGGCAGGCATGGATGTTGCGTTCCTTCCAACCCCGGGCCGCTGAGCTGGCCGGCTGCGGGCTCAGAGAAGCCCTGGAGTGACTGGGGGAGAAAGGTGCAGGCTCCACGGCCACATCCACAGGGCAGCCTGGCTCCTGTGGATGCCTGCGCCCCATCCTCTCCTGCACAGCTCAGCCACTCCGCCCCCGGCCAGGTCCCGGCAACACCCAGAAGCCTCCCTCCCCCACTCACTTGGGAGGAAGGCTGGGGCTGGCACACGTGGCAGGTGGACAGCAGCTGCTTGGGTCTGGTCTCTAGAAAAACCCTTCTGGCCCCAGCAGTCCGACACAGTCCTGTGTCCCCAGGCCAAGCACACAAGGGACTCCCCAAGGTTCCTGTGAAACCTCATGGTTAGTGAGGTGCCAGGAAAAGTGACTTGAGGAAAGAAGATGAAGGTGGAGATGTGGACCTCCTTATCCAGATCTCCCTGGCATCACCTGGGGAGTCACGCAGCGTGCTGCTGCTCCAAACCCCCACACCGAGCTTCCCGTGGGCACGGTGCACTGCCGGCATGGACAGGGAGCGGCCGCCTCACGGCTGGGACACAGATGTGCCAGCAGGGGTCACCAGCTGTCTCACAAAAGGGACACACAGTTGGTCTGAACAGGAGGACTGCCCGATTCGGCCTCGATGGTTCTATCTGTTCAGAGCCAAGGCTCTGGGCGTCCTCCTGCTGCAGCTGCCCTGGCTACACGCCCGGCACTGCTGGAGGCTCTGTTCACCTCACTGCCAGGCGAAGCCATCACCTCCAAGGTTCTAACCTGCACTGTGGATGGAGCGTTCCCACCCCACTGCCTTCTACAGCTTTCCAGCAAGAAAAATGAAAAAGAGAAAGTGGCTGGAGAACAGTCACAGCAGGCAGGATGGACAGACCGGCTGCAGGAGAACCGGAACAAGCACCACCCCATGGCTCTCGCCTCGGACTCGGCCTCCCGGTCCCTCCCAGGCCCAGCATTATCCATTCTTCCTCCTGGCCACAACGGGATCAGCCCTGAGGTTCGGGTTTAATTGGCGCAGGATGTGGCCTGGTGCGGTCTGTCAAGGTCCCAGGAGACTGTACGGTGAGCTCCACGCCATGACAGGCTCTCCAGACATGCCCCCAAGGCCTCACATGCAGTGGCTCTCCATGTTCAGGGCTGACAGGGCCACTGCGTGAACTCTCTGTGGATCCCCACAGAGAGCAAGGCAGGTGTTCTTGGAAACCCAGCACCCTGGCCCATTCGCCTCCCAGTCACCACGAGGAGGAAGGAGCTGGGGCTGCTGATGCTGAGAACATGCCTCACAAGATATGGGAATGCACAGACCCACACTCCTGCCAGCATCCCAGGACGGAACAAGCCAGCCTCACGCACAGCCTGGAAGCAGGCGCCACACAGAGGGCCGAGGAACACACAACTCAGCACACTTCCCACAGCAACACCCTCTCCCATGGCAAAGAGCCCCCAGGACATTCTCTCGAACATCCTGCTAGAGCTCACGCAGCTATTGCACAACACGTCCTTGTATGATTCAGAATTTTCCTGCCACATCACCTTCTTATCTCTGCCATCGCCGCGTCCCACATGTGGGAGGACCTGGAGGTAGTGTTCTGCAGCACGTGTTCACCAAGGCCGGCCTGTCAGTGACCCAAGGACCCTGCTTCTGGCGCTCAACATGCCTGCAGTTCTGAGGATTCCATCAGTCCTTTCATGCGGGGAAGGGCCCAGACCACATCAATGTGTTCACACAAGTTACTGTTACACCAATCCTTTTAAAAACACTGCACAGGCTGGCACAGTGGCTCACACCTGTCATCCCAGCACTTTGGGAGGCTGAGGCAGGAGGATCACTTAAGCCCAGGAGTTTGAGACCAGCTTAGCTTTGAGATCAGCTTGGGTAACACAGAAAGACCCCATCTGGGCCAGGCACGGTGGCTCACGCCTATAATCCCAGCACTTTGAGAGGCTGAGGCAGGCGGATCACTTGAGGTCAGGAGTTTGAGACCAGCCTGGGCAACATGACCCCGTCTCTACTAAAAATACAAAAATTAGTCGGGTGTGGTGGCGTGTGCCTGTAGTCCCAGTTACTCGGGAGGCTCAAGCATAAGAATCGCTTGAGCCTGGGAGGCAGAGGTTGCAGTGAGCCAAGATTGCACCACTGCACTCCAGGCTGGGCAACAGAGCGAGACTCCTTACCAAAAAAAAAAAAGAAAAGAAAAAAGACAGACCCCATCTCTATCAAAAAAAAAAAAAAAAAAAGACAAAAATTAGCCCAGTGCGCTGTTGCACGCCTACAGTCCCAGCCGCTCTGGAGGCTGAGGTGGGAGAATTACTTGAGCCGAGGGGGTTCAAGGCTGCAGTGAGCTGTGATCGCACCACTGCACTCCAGCCTAACTGACAGATTAAGACTTTGTCTCAAAAAAAGAAAAAGAAAAAAAAAACTGCACAGTAGGGCTGAAAGTGGCAGCTCACACCTGTCATCCCAGCACTTTGGGAGGCTAAAGTGGAGGCTAAAGATCACTTGGGCCCAAGAGTTTGAGACCAGCCTGGGCAACATAGTGAGACCCCATCTCTACAAAAAAAAAGAAAAAATTAGCCAGGCCTAGTGGTGCATGCCTGTAGTCTAAGCTACTCAGGGGGCTGAGCTGGGAGGACGGCTTGAGCCTAGGAGTTCGAGGCTGCAGTGAGCTGTGATCGCACCACTGCACTCCTGCCTGGGTAACAGAAATCCTGCCTTAAAAAAAAACCCTGCACAGTAGGCTGAAAAGGTGTTCCTTCCCACCCTCAAGAAACAGCCAGTGCCCCTCACTCAACACTGAGGCTCCTGGGTCAGGGTGGACAGGAAGGCACCGCAGTCTCTGGAGCAGCCTCTGCTTCCGCTGCGAGTCCACACAGGGTGGGCTGCGCTTCCCCCTAAAGCCCCAGGGCAAGTATAACCGCTCTCTTTGGTTGCTAATTTGGGAAACAAGGTATTGTGAAACGACAATGAATCTCAGGACCCCAAAATCACTCAGCTAAAGGGAGAGAGCAAGCTGGGAACTGCATCGGGCACACCTGCCTCCCATTTTATTCCTAAAGAAGGTGGCTACAGCAGGGCACAGGGGTGCACACCTGTGGTCCCAGCTACTCAGGAGGCTGAGCTGGGAGGATCGCTTTACGTGAGCTCAGGAGGCAAAGGTTGCTGCGAGCTGAGACTGCACCACTGGACTCCAGCTTGGGCAGCAGGAATGAGACAATGTCTCAAAAAAAACAAACAAAAAAGCCACACACCTCCCTCACAATTTGTGCACAAGGAAATTCCCCGTGGGGCTCAAGATCTTTACCCTAGAGCAGTTGTTGGGTTTTCACCCTGGCAATGTCAGTGGACAGCTTATCTTCACAGGTGCAGACAAAGGACAGAACTCAAAGTCATCCCTCTGCTCCCCCGAAACAAACGCATATCTGACTGCTTCCTCTGCCCTGTTGTCTCACTGAGCCAGACTAAGGCACACGTGGCCCTTCCCCTACCCCCTCTCATATGTGGATTGTGTATTCAGTGAAAGGCTGATCAGAGACTCATAGAATGCAATGATTCGTCTTATCCACCTATGACCCGGAAGCCCCCGACCCCACGTCCAGCTGTCCCACCTTTCCGGAACGTACATCTTGCGTGTAGGGACGCCTCATGTCTCCCTGAGATGCATAAAACCAAGCCGCGCCCCGACCACCTCGGGCACCTGTCGTCAGGGCCTCCTGAGGCTGTGTCACGGGCGTGTCCTCAACCTCGGCAAAATAAACTTTCTACACTGACTGAGACGGTCTCAGATACTCCTGGTTCACAGTACGAAGGCAGACCAGAAGGCTGATGGAGAAAGTGGGGTTCCGTGGACTTTCTCCGTGGCCCACGGTGATGACTGTTCCCAATTCTAACAACGTTCCGGTTTACCCTGCCCTGGAAAAGTGCAGGGGCCAAAGAGTGGCTTACTTTAAATAAGAAACCACAGGCCCCATATTCCTTATTTGTTTTAAATTGGGACCACCCATGCACCGTAGGCCCCTGGGATGACTGGGGCCTACGTCCCCAAGACACATCGCTACTTCTCCTGCCACTCCCACAGCCCTCCCCTGGGACCCGGCTCCCTCAGGCCTACGGAGGTGGAAGTGGTGTGAGTGGTCTGGCCAGCCTGGGAGGTGTTTGTCTCTGAATGGAGATGGACACCATGCATAGCATGACGGCGCCAGACTCAAAGCACACATGGCCCTGTGGCCACCACAGGCAACCCTGTCACCCCACGCCCGCCCCACGGCCAGCAAGAGAGCATGGCAGGTGGGAGGGGGCCTCGCTGCAGGCCAAGCCGCTCAGCAGTGGGACTGTGCTGCACCCGCCACTGCACGGGCAGCATGGGTGCCTGTGGAAGGGGTGCAGCTCAGGGAAGAAGAGGCGCCTTCCCTGTGCTTCCACAGTCCCCTCGTCTTTAAAATGAGGACAAGGCCAGGGTGGACCCCGCCTGGGATCCCCACACTCTGGGAGGCCAAGCAGGGAGGATCACGTGGGCCCAGGAGTTCGAGACCAGCCTGGGCAACATAGGGAGACCCCATCTCTATAAAAAATAAGAAAATACAACGAGGATGAAACCCAGTTATCAATGCGGAGTGCGGCAGAAGCCACTCTCAACACAACAGCAGCCTGAAGAACCGAAGCCACAGAGAGCAGACACGCTCCCTCCGTCACAGCGACCGCAGGGGAAGGAGCCCTCAAGGCCTTCTGCTAAGATAAGCAGCCTGTGGGCTCCAGGCTTGCAACCATCCTGAGAGGGCCCACATCCAGGAAGAGCCGGCCTCTGCAACAGAGAGAAGGCAGGCGCCAGCCCGCTGCTGGGAAACTGAACAGGTCTGGGAAGGGCGCGTGGAGACGGCGGCAGGAGGGCCGCTGCTGCAGAGGTCAGGGCACACTCACACCGCCTCGGTCCTGTTCCCACCTCTGTTTCTATCTAATAGGCGGGAACCTCTTTATTGCGTAATGCTTCACGTCACAGCTCTCTCCCCTTAGTTCCACCCACCTTGACACATTTTTACACCTGATTTACTTCCCCTGTTACAAGCTGAACCATGTCCCCAAAAACTCACACACAGATGTCATGACTTCAAATCTACATTCGCTTTTAAAAACTGCTACATCCACCATATGAACAGGTCTCTGTGCTCTTTCCATTCCTTAAGAAGTATAAATTAGGTTGGTCAAGCACGGTGGCTCATGCCTGTAATGCCAGCACTTTGGGAGGCCGAGGCAGGCAGATCACCTGAGGTCAGGAGTTCAAGACCAGCCTAACATGGAGAAACCCCGTCTCTACTAAAAATACAAAATTAGCGGGGTGTGGTGGCGCGTGCCTGTAATCCCAGCTACTCGGGAGGCTGAGGCAGAGTTGCTTGAACCCAGGAGGTGGAGGTAGCGGTGAACCAAGATGGCGCCATCGCACTCCAGGCTAGGCAACAGAGTGAGACTCCTTCTCAAAAAAAAAGAAAAAAGAAATATAAATTATATAAATCATGTACACGACTGAAGAGCTCTGACTGCCAGCAATCCTTTGATACAGGAGGAGGAGCCCAGGTCACAGTAAGCCCTGCAGGAGGTGAGGGGCTCGTGGTGGGCCAGAGAAATCAGAGGCGAGGAGGCCGACAGCTGCCGGCACCATCAAAACCCGGGGCTTCGGCAAAGCAGGGACCACAGCGGGTAAGTCCCTCTCAGGAGTGGTTTTACCTCACCTCCCCTTTTAAGACAGAAAGAGGTCATCAAACCTTTTCAGCTTCCTAGAAATCCAGAGTCCGGGGTCACAGCCACACACAGAAACAAGCCAAGGGCTGGCCAGGGTGGGGACTCCAGCACACCTGCCTTCCACACCTTTGTGCCAGGCCCCTCTGCAGGATTCAGCGACCAACTCACTTCCAGAAAGATCCTTCCATGACCCACTCACGTCTCGCCCACCCACAGTTCCTGCCCCGCCTCATGACCTGTGTGCCTCATCAACACCCTCGACTTCCACCCGGGCTTCATCCCGGACCCACAGCTGACACGTGCCAGGCGGACGCAAGAGCCCCGGCGGTGAGCCTGGTGATGAGACATAGACCACCAGCGGCGGAGACCGCAAGACAAAGGTAATTCCAGAGCCAAGAACGTAAACACAGCCCACCCGAGGATCAAGTGCCCCTTCTCATTAGAAGCTCCTGCCAGGTTTAGGACCCAGCTTTAGAGTAACACCTACCAGGGAAGGATGACCAGGATGGAGCCGACGGCCACACCAAGGAGAAGAGCTCGGTGCCAGCGAAAGCTCTCCACCAGCCGGCCTGCTGCACAGCAAGCATCACGGCACACCACACACGAGCGTGTCCATGAAGGCGCGGGGACCCAGGCATCCCCCATGCTCAGACCTCCCTACGTACAAGTGCGTACACGAAGGCGCGGGGACCCGGGCATCCCCCATGTTCAGAACTCCCTAGACGCGAGCACATACACAAAGGCGCGGGGACCCAGGCATCCCAGCACCTCATGCTCACACTTCCCTAGAACTTGCTTTCCCGTTACTGCAGCTCACAAAGAAACCGAAAAAAGGCAAAACCAACTGTATTAAACCTTATTAGTGATCAATATCTACTTCATGTTTTGGCTTTACAAAGGCTTTACTGGGTGGTACAAAATACTGCACTTTCCCCAACTAAACAAAAACTTTGAACACCTGCATCATAAACTTAACTCATGCTGATATTCTCCTGACAAAATACAGGCCGGGTGCGGCGGCTCACGTCTGTCATCCAAGCACTTTGGGAGGCTGAGGCAGGCAGATCACCTGAGGTCAGGATTTTGAGATCAGCCTGGCCAACGTGGTGAAACCCCGTCTCTACTAAAAATACAAAAGTTAGCCAGGGGTGGTGGCGCGCACCTGTAATCCCAGCTACTCCAGAGGCTAAGGCAGGAGAATTGCTTGAACCCAGGAGGCGGACGTTGCAGTGAGCCACAACTGTGCCATTGCTCTCCAGCTTGGGCGACAGGGCGAGACTCCATCTCCAAAAAAAAAATACAGATAGAGAGAGAGATATATAGATATATAGTCACATGCAGCTTAGCAACAGGGGTATGTTAGGTGATGTCACCGCACTCAGGCCTAGAGGGCACGGCCCACTCCACACCCAGGCTGCAGGGCCCGGCCGACTGCTGCTAGGCCGCAAACCTGTGCCGCCATCCCAGCACTGAGCGCTGCAAGCAGCTGTAGGTCAACGGCAAGGATACAAACCTGGATCACATGCAGTGAAAATGCCGTCCTAACCTTACGCAACCCCTGCGGTCTACGTGGACCACCACTGGCCAAAATGTCCTGATGCGGTCAGGGCTGTTCTTTAGCACCAAGCAGGGGCAGGGCCACTTTCCTGGCACCTACTCATCAGGAGGCGAAAGACCTCCCTTCTAGGCATGAGCATCACCAGACAAGGCAGGGGATGGCGGGGGGCCACAGGGACCCGACCTGCAAAAGCTGCTGAGAACCTTCCAGTCAAGCAGCCTGACTCGTGCAAGATCTCACACGAAGAGCCCCCAACAAACTTGTCAGCGGAACTTCTACAAACATCCTTAAGAAAACAACTCAACTTCTCACAAATTAACCTAAAATTCCCCAAATTAAAACCAAAAAAGGGCATTCACTGCCGTTCAGCCTCACCCTCTGAGAGCCAACACCACTTTCTGAAAGCCAACCATTTTCTAAAATCTTTCTATATAGCCTTTTAAAACTTTCCATGTAATACCATTAATTACTCTTCTTTGGAAATTTACCACTAATTGTTTAAACAATTTTAGTTTAGCAATTTGTACGGAAAAGGCAATACACATTAGTTGTAGAAAAAACAAGTCACTTCTAATTCTACAGCCCATAGATAATTTACTGTTTGGGTATAATTTCTGCTTCTTCCTGTGTGTGAATTAAATATTAAACCTTATAAATTACTAAAATGTAGGCTGGTTACAACAGATCAAGTTTCTTTTTATTGGGGGAACTAAATATACCAGAAAACATCCTGTTTTGTAACCACAGTTAAATAAAATTTAAAAACAGAAACAAGATCTGCCAGCATCCCCCCCCTCAAGCCAAAAACACACTGAAATCATCGAGAAGCTATTAGAGGAATGTTCCGCAGCTGCCGCGCGGGCATGGCCATCTTATCAGAGGCTCCAGTTTCTTCCCCAAATGGAGTCTGAATGGAGTGCAGGAGCCTGGCTGATAACACGCAGATGAAAACAAACTCCTGCAGATAAAAACACGCTTTTCCCAAATACACACAATCCACGAGGCCCCTGGGGAGACTGCTCCTTTCTTTGACTTTTTTTGGGGAGAGAGGGGGGTTAGTCGCTACTTACACAAATTAGGAATACCACTCACACACTGCAGATTATTCAAACAACCAAAAATGCATGCCTGGCCCATCAGAAGATGGGCTCATTCAAACATTTAATGTGTGCCAGGCACTGGGGACACCCAGCAAGACCCTGCCCTCACTCCTAGGGAGCTCAAGGGTGGACAGACTCCAAACAATGTGGCAAGGCAGTGCTGTCTGTCTGCACTCTGCAGATACAAAGGCACATCGAACAGCCCTGGAATGGCAGACGCCATCTGCTGGGGAAACGCTAGGAACCCGGCTTCAAACACAGGGCAGAGCAGGTACGAAGGCTGAACAAGTTTTTGTTTGTTTTGAGACAAGAGTCTCGCTCTGCTGCCCAGACTGGAGTGCAGTGGCGCCATCTCAGCTCACTGCAAACTCTGCCTCCCGGTTCAAGTAATTCTGCCTCAGCCTTCCGAGTAGCTGGGATTACAGGCGTGGGCCACCACGCCCAGACTCCTGAACAGTTTTAAACAGGACAGTGACTTGCTTTTGCCAGCCACGTGATGGGCTCGTGACATAGAAGCTGAATTGAGAAGGATGAAGGGCAGAGGTCGAGAGGGAGAACAGGTGCCACAATTAACTCTTCATGGCTACTTATGAAGAGGTGGCTCCAGGGAATGAAGACGTGAAGGTCGGTTTGGAAATAACTGCTCCAAGAGCGCACTGGCTGACGGCACGGGGACGTGCCCAGGGCCCAGCTGGGAGAGGGATGGTGGCACTGGAGCACACATGGGGACACAGGAGGAAATCGGAGCACGGGCGAAGGCTGAGGACAATGAGGAGGAAAGTCTCCTGTTGGATTCCTCCCAGCATAAGAGGCTCACGAAACCCCGCCAACAAAAGGCCAAAAGATTCCCAGAAGCCCTGCTGGGGTTGGCATCCCCACTCATGTCAGAGCTGAACACACCACCGCAGCGACACAGAGGTTCCGGCCCAGCACCTGCAGGACACCATTCACCCGCACCCCCTCTCCCTGGCTGGGCGGCCGTGACTGGGTCTGGCTCTTCAGTGTCTCCTAGGTGCTGGTGCACAACAGAGGTTCAAGGAGACACCAAATGCTTACGTGAGGTGGAGGCCACATGCTGTTGTTACCACCTCAGCGCAGCTTAGCAACTTCCCAGGAAGCACGCCGCTCGGGTTACTCCTCAAGGGGTAGCTACAGACGCACGGGGCTGGCTTCACACGGGCCTCGCAGGGGCAGCCACGGCACAGCATCCTGATAGCCTGGATTCTGCACACACACCGCGTGCACACGTCCACATCGGTGAGAGGGGTGTGGACAGCATCCCTCAGCCGAGTGGTGAGGATAATTCCAGGAGGACCTGGAGTGAGGCACATTCAGCTACCACTGGCATCACGTCCCGTGGCAGGTTCAGGACCCCTTTCAGATGGAAACCAACTAAAGCACACTGTGGCGTCGGCCTTCCCATGTAGAAAAGGAGGCGGGCGGTGGATGTTTATGCCTGAAAAACCCCTTAGACTTGAACTGTCTGAAGTTCCTCAGTCTCGGGGGATACGCTGTGGCCTCCCTGCCCCGAACTGGGTCCCTTTGATTTGTGCCCATTTCCCAGGAACTCACAATATACGATACCCTGACAAAGGGCTATGAAAGCCGGAAATTACAGCCTTTGGTCATGTTTTAGTATGGACACAGCTGCGGTCCACAGAGTACCCCAGAGGGCAGCAGAGAGAGTGGACTCTCACACTGAGAGCAGAGGAGGGGGCCCAGGGCGCACTGCAGCCTCAACCCACAGGGCCAGGCCTCCTGGGGCCCTCTCCCTGCAGCCTTGGGCTGCCTGTCCCCACGGCTGACAGCATGGTGCTGGGTGGGGTGCCTGGGCTTTGCTGGAGGCAGAGAAAGGAAAAGTCTTTAGTTCCCTGTTTCTAACTGCCCACTACATAAAGTCTAAGTGTGATTTTTATTGAAGGAACTCTTTATAAACGGAACCCTAGGCATCTAAGCGTCCTCAAGAAACACGTCGCCCTGAGACTGCCCCGCTCCCTGGTTAGGCTGAGGCGCTGGAGGGATTTAACTGTTGCCCACTTAATCATTAAATCTTGAAAAGGAACATGGGGCCAGGCACAGTGGCTCACGCATGTAATCCCAGCACTTTGGGAGGCTGAAGCGGGCAGATTGCCTGAGGTCAGGGTTTTGAGACCAGCCTGGGCAACATAGTGAAACTCTGTCTCTCCTAAAAATGCAAAATATTAGCTGGGCGTGGTGGCACACACCAGTAGTCCTAGCTATTCAGGAGGCTGAGGCATGAGAATCGCTTGAACCCAGGAGACGGAGGTTGCAGTGAGCCGAGTTCACTTCACTGCACTCCAGCCTGGGTGACAGAGTAAGACTACGTCTCCAAAAAAAAAAAAAAAAATTACAGGCTCAAGCCTGTAATCCCAGCACTTTGGGAGGCCAAGGCAGGTGGATCACTTGAGGTCAGGAGTTCAAGACCAGCCTGGCCAACAGAGTGAAACTCTGTCTCTACTGAAAATATAAAAAGAATTAGCCGGGTGTGGTGGCACAGGCCTGTAATCCCAGCTACTAGGGAGGCAGAGGTTGCAGTGAGCCGAGATCGCCCCACTGTACTCCAGCCTGGGCGACAGAGCATGACTCCGTCTCAAAAAAAAAAAAAAAAAAGAAAAGAAAAAACGTAGAATGAATGTTGTAACTTTTGCAGACTCGCATATTCACAAAATTTTATTTTTCTAAAGACATCTGAATCTTATTCCACATAAAAATGTAATGACAAGTCATTCTAGTTTCTTCTCAGAGCTCCTCTGTCTTCCCATCAGGGACTTCCATAAGAAGGCATACACCACCCAGATTCAACCTCCAACTGCCTCTCCTGAAGCTCATCAGAGCTGAGAAGGCCTGAGCTCAGGAGCCCAAAGCTAAGCTCCTGCATACGCAGGAAAAACAGAGAAGCTGCCCATGCAATTCTCTTTAAAAGACAGACAAAAGCAGAACTAGATATGTTAATGTTAAAAGTCAGATAACAGATGAAACGATGAATTCATGTTAGAGCTTTTCATTCAGTTGCTATTGCTTTAACTACATTAAGTGGCCAGATGTGCCCAGCACCAACCCCCCCCCAGCCCCCTCCCAAAATGCTGCCCATTAAACGTAGTGCTCTCAAGTATGCTTCCAGCCCTGGTAATACCGGATGGGGAAGACAAACAGCTAACTCTCTGCTTTCTGGGGTTTTTTGGGAGGTGGGGGGGCGCGGCGGGCACAGGGTCTTGCTCTGTTGCCCAGGCTGGAGTGCCGAGTGGTGCAATCCTGGCTCACTGCAGCCTTGACCTCCACCAGCTCAAGCAATCCTCGCACCTTAGCCTCCTGAGTAGCTGGGACTAGAGGCGTGCACCCCCAAGCCAGGCTAATATTTTCTATTCTTTGTGGAGACAGAGTCTCACCACGTTGCCCAGGCTGGGCTCAAGCAATCCACCCGCCACGCAGCTCAGCCTCCCAAAGTGCTGGAATTACAGGCGTAAGCCACCACGTCTGGCCCACTTTCTGTATGGTTCTAAGCTCCGCTGAGAGGCGGGGACAAAATCTGCTCTTGTGATGTGTTGCTTCTTCACAAGAGGGAAATCGCACCCATCCTTAACAAATGTACTCATGATGGGCAAATCCCAATAAAGTTCCTCCCAAAAAAGCTGCAGACAAGCAAATCATTAAAAATTAAATCACAATTCATCATGGAGGAAGGACAAATTGTCCATAGAGGAGGAAAAAGTGAGGCCACTTCACACAAATGTTCTAGATGGATTCATATTTTCAACTTTTTTTTTTCTGAGACAGGGTCTCACTCCATCACCAGACTGGAGTGCAGTGGTGTCATCACGACTCACTGTAGCCTCGACCTCCAGGGCTCAAGCGATCCACCCACTTAGCCACTCAAAGTGCTGGAATACAGGCGTGAGCCACCACGCCTGGACTTAAACATTTTTTAAGGTAGATACACAGGGGCAGCATTTCTTAAGCAAGATAGAAAAAAATCCAGTAGAATACAAGCTCACAGAATTGACAAGGCAACATCTGCTGTTTCTTAACCCTTCCTTCCAAAAAATAGATGTCATATGGGTTATTTTTGAATGAAAATAGAAATTTAAAAGAACGACTTAGAAGTCAACAAAAATGTTTTACAAGTCGAACTTAAAAACAATTCTTAACATTCCTATTTATGAACAAAAGTACTGCAAATAAATATTCTGCAGAAGCACAACTAACCAAAATAGGAAGAAAAACTCAGGATAATAATAAGATATGAGAAAGGTATTCTTTTGAGAGAAACTAAACCAACAGGAAAACACTTGGAAACCTTCAGACACGGACAAATGTAAAGAATGAGAAAGGCGCATGATCACAGGCCTCAGAACACCGTGGATGCTTCCAGTGAACACATAAATTAGCAAACTGATATGAAAGAAAACCCCTCAACAAACCAGCTTAGGAAATAAAGTTTTCTGAGAGGCTCTGAATGTTCCCAACACAAAACAGTAACTGTGAGGTGGCTCTGCCATTAACCCCAATCTGATCATCACCCACTGCACACATGCACCCCGATCTGATCATCACCCACTGCACACATGCACCCTACAAATACGTACAATTACTATCAATAATTTAAAAACATTTTTAATGATTAAAAAATACCAGTAACTAGGAAATGTGCACGAAACAAATGACTTCACAGGCAGCTGAACCTGGTGTTGGGGTAGGCAGGGCATGGACGGCTCCCAACTCACCCTCCTCAAGATCACAGGGCCGGGAGCTTCACCCTCTCTACAGAATCTAAAACCCAAAGTAAAATCAAGGTACAAGAGAACCCAACAGTGCCATGTAGAGGAATTTTGGGACATAAACACAGTAACTAATCTTTCTCAGAAACATAATCACACAGTAAAATACTAAAATCAGCCTGCTGGAAAACAAGACAAAAATACTTATATCAATAAGAAAAATAAGGGTAAAAATTAGAAAATTTATAGAGTTTTCCAATTGTAAAAAATATGATATTCCAATTCTTTTTTAAAATCAGAATAGGCGAGGCGCAGTGGCTCACACCTGTAATCCCAGCACTTTGGGAGGCCAAGGAGGGCGGGATAACTCGAGGTCAGGAGTTTGGGATCAGCCTGACCAAAATAGTGAAACTCCGTCTCTACTAAAAATACAAAAAAATTAGCCAGGGGTGGTGGCAGGCGCCTGTAATTCCAGCTACTCGGGAGGCTGAGGCAGGAGAATCGCTTGAACCCAGGAGGCAGGGGTTGCAGTCAGCCGTGATCACACCACTGCACTCCATCCAGCCTGGGCGACACAGCAAGACACTGCCTCAAAAAAATAAATATAATAAAATCAGAATACCAAGACTAAAGTGATGAGATAAAAAGCAATGTAAGGCGTACCGACTTCCTGGTTTTCCATAAGTTAGAACAGAAAACACACACAGACGGCATTCCCAGCTTCATGTAGTGATACAATGAGGAAATGTGCACACCTACATATTAAGACAGCACTTTACAGCTGTCCGTAAAACAGGATGTTAAAAAAATTAGTCTGCCACATGGCTCTCGGGTGTCAAAGGCTCTCCCAAATCTACATGGGGTGTTCCTCGCACTGACTGCACCTTTCATTTGAAAGCACGACGAAGACTGGCCTAGAAACGAGCTGGAAAGGAGCTGCGCTTCCGGATGCACACACTGCCATCCATACAGGGTGCAAGAAACCAGACAGGACGAGAGTCCGGCAGAAACGCGGGCAAGAAATCTGGGACAAAGCTGGCTGTTTCCCACACAACAACCTTTCCAAATAAATAAAAGTAAACACACACAGGATTACAAAATAAAAATATGGGGCAGCTCTGTAACAGGCACACGCACGCACACACACATCTGTGTAAATAATTAAGACTACCACACAGTAAGTCACGTGAACAAAAGAAAAACCAAAAAAAAAAAAAAAACCCACTTTCAACACAGCAGGCTAAAGACTAATCAACTAGCATGTAAAGGGCTCCTATAAAATCAAGAGAGTAAGTCCACAGAAAAAGAGGCACACGCAGGTGACACAAGATGCTTGCCCTGGATAGCCAAGACGCAAATTTTAGAAACTGTTGACAGACAGTACTAGCAAGCGTGAGGACACAGACCCCAATCCGTTGTTGATAGGAGAAGACTCCTTCTAAGAAATCATTTATGACTATCCTTTTTTTTTTTTTTTTTTGAGACAGGGTCTCCTTGTTGCCCAGGTTGGAGTGCAGTGGCTCGATCACGGCTCACTGCAGCCTCATATCCCTGACTCAAGTGATCCTTCCACCTCAGCCTCCTGAGTATCTGGGACTACAAGCGCACGCCACCAAGCCCAGCTAATTTTCATATTTTTTGTAGAGACGTGGTTTGACCATGTTGCCCAGGCTGGTCTTGAACTCCTGGGCTCAAAGCAATCAACCCACCTCAGCCTCCCAGAGCACTGGGATTACAGGCATGAGCCACTGCGCCTGGTAACTTACCGATTTTCAATGCACACGTTTCTCAAGCCAATTACTCAACTTCTAGGTACCTAATTTAACCAACTGCTCCTGCAAGTACATAAGACTCTACACAAATACCTTAAATATTATGTGGAAAAGGACATCAATATTTTGCCAGGATCCACGGAAGACTTGGGCTGAGACCCAGTGGGTGCTGCCACCAGGCATCCGCCATGGATGGGGACAACTGTGCCCAGCCACTCACTAGATAGACCACTCATGCTGGGCACAGACCCCAACTGAGGGAAACTTGTCTTTCCTGCTTGGCAGGGACTGGCAGGGAAGGCTCAGCCCCCAGCAGCCACCGCAGGAGGCCGTGTCCAGTGCCAATTCATCTGTGCAGGGACCACTGACCCATGGACACGGAAAGATACGGCTGAAAAGACTCGTGGAAAACAGCACTTTCTCGTTCAAGTTCTGCAGCTGACTTTCTCAGAGGCCTGGCATTATGTAAAGCATCCCTGGAAGTTTTGGGTAAGAGGTTACTTGGCTTAGAGCTGACGAGCAGCAAAGTTCTCAATTTGGCAGAAATGTGTGTACGAAACGTGTCTCACGCAGGCTGCAAACTCCACAGTTCCCTGATGACCACACCCCGAGCTTCTGCTCCAACTGCTGTTCCTACCAGCAATGTCCTGACATCTGGTGTAAAATGCTCTGGGCTGGGAGTGGGGGCTCATGTCTGTGATCCCAGCACTCTGGGAGGCCAAAGTGAGTGATGCGCTCGAGCCCAAGAGTTCAAGACCAGCCTGGGCAACACGGCAAAACCCTGTCTCCACTAAAAATACAAAAAGTTAGCCAGGCGTTGTGTCGCACACCTGTAGTCCCAACTGCTTAGGGGCTGAGGTGGGAGGAATGCTTGAGCCCAGGAGTTGAAGGCTACAGAGAGCTGTGACTGCACCACTGTACTCCAGCCTGGGTTAGAGAGAGAGAACTGGTCCAAAAGTTAAGTAAAATATAAAATAATATAAAGGAATGAATGAATGCATGCTCCAGGCCTCAGGAGCCACATCTCCCCCACACGCCATTATCAATTAGACCCTGTCCTTGGGCAAAGCACTTTTTGCCAACTCAGGGCAGCTGTGGGAAGGCAGAGGAAAAGGTCACCTCTCAGAGCTCGCAGCACAGCGCTGACCACACGGGAAGCAAACCACATCCCCTGGGTGAGACGGGCAGGAAGGAGGCTCCACCCCACATTTCTGCAACAATGTTTCAGCAGCAATGTTTCAGCACCAAAGCCTCCTTCAGAAAACCTCCGGTCTCTATGGTTTTGCAAGTTCTGGAAGTGATTTCCCATCAGTGCCTGAATGGCAGTCAGTTCAGTAACCAGCTAGGGGGAAGAGGAAGGACCAGGCGGGGGAATGGGATGACAGCGCTGCCCTGTTTAAGAGAGAAACCAACCTAACAGGGCAGAAAAGGACGCGATGTTAACAACTGCAGTGTGGCATCAACACTACACAGACGTTTGCTAGTCAGGGCTCCCAGGAGTGGAGAATCTTTGTAAAGCCAAGACGCAGGTCCTTCGGATCCACATGGCAAGCCTCCAACAGCAGGCTGGGCCGCAGGTCGCACAGCAGGAGGGGTGTGGGGAGTAAGCCTCTGCTCTACACTCCAGGCAGCTGTGGTCCAGGGCATCTCTGAATCAAGGGCTGTGGGACAGCAACCACCATCTGGGTTTCCGCAGCCAGCACTCACGGGATGCTTCCAGGGCACACCTGCCAGGACACAGCAGCAGCCAGACAGACGAGAATTACTGCCTTCACAGGACCTGCATTCCTGTTGGGGTTGCACTCCGAGGCAGGAATCTTCTCCCAATCAGGGTACAGGGAAAAGGGCAAAGCGCAGTCAGGGGTCTGCCCTGAGTGTGCAACTTGCCCAGGCCACAAAGCTCAGAGTCGAGTCCTTAGTGAACAGTTAGGTAAGACCGACTGATACCCTGCACAAAAGGCAGCAAATACTGACCAAAGCACAGAAGCCAGGACAGGCCTTCTAACGCCCAATCATAAACTCTGCTGTCTCTGGAAATCAGTGACGTCTAGATTTCTAACACAGGAATAGCTGCTGTGACATTCCCTCTTTTCACCTTTTTAAACAGGAAGACGAAATAACGTAGCCAAATGACAGACTTCGGTCTACCCCATTTCAACCATTGGTCACACTTTAGTACCAAGGCCTACATCTAGCTCCCCCCACGTCCCTAGAACAGCTAGGAATACCATATCCAAAGGCTTTGAAATCAAGACCCCAAAGGGTAAGATCTCATGCCTTCGTTTTTAAAAATACAAACAGCAGTGGGTTATGTAATTCAGTCCCCTCCAGACCCCACGAAACCAAGTATTCAAATCAACTAAACATAATTTTGTGCTTGAAAACCTCCGAAATAACAACATCTGCCTCCATTCTGTCACTGAACATGCTAATGGCTAAATTTCAACACTGCTGCCAATCAATAACAGAGATAATATGCCAATTATTTATTACCGTTGAATCCTCTGCAAATAAAAATGTTTCTAATTCATTCTATAGTGCTTAAAACAAGATCAGTATTCCCGGAAAGAAATGATATCTAGAAGGTAATCAAGACAGGATAAGCAGGCATTTTTCAAGCTCTAATTAATAAACAGAAATTAAAATTGATTGGAAAGACAATCACCCCACAGTGTTCCTCAAGCGTTTCCACATTGTAAGGAACATTTACTTCAGCACACTAGGTGCACAGGTAAGTTTAGCAAATGGTGACACTAACTCTACCCACTTCTAAAATCTACTCATTGAAGGACTTCCAAGAGGAAGAATGACAAGTCGCCCATGATGCCACTATTGATTGACATCTTTCAGATTATTTAAAACCCCGAGTTTCCAAAATCAAGCCTGGAATCTTTGGAATCTAAAAAGCTTAAATTTTATAAAGGATAGAAATATAAGGAATAATCCATCACTCAAATCAAACCAACGGGGTGGGGAGCTACAAGGAATAGGAAAACAGGAGATGACAAAAATACAGATTATTGAGCCCTCCAGACAAAAGGATGCCAAACAGGGATTAAAAAACTACACTTTGGGTACAACATACACTGCTTGGGTGACAGCAGCACTAACATCTCAGAATTCACTATATAATGCATCTACGTCACCAAAAACCACTTACCCCCCCCCCAAAAGCTATTGAAGTATTTTTAAAAATTAAAGACTTTAAAAATAAAACTTAAAAAAGAATCTCAAACAGGGAAGTTGAGCACAAACCAAACACAGCAGACAGCACACCCCAGAATGGATGGGACCACATGGGGCTGTGCACAACCAGATACGTGCCGTTAAGGAGCGTTCAGCTTCCTATTTTCAGAGGCGCTCAACACTACAGCAAGTAAAGAGACTGTTGAATTTACCAAAAACTGTAATTTAAATCAAATGCTATTATTCTTCCAAGCCATCACTTACTTGAGTGATGGTATCAATGCTCACAGCCATTTCCTAACTTTTCAAAGGTACTCTCATGCACCCTTAGACTGAATTCTCTAGGAATAAACTTAACGGGGTTTAAAAATGAAAGGTGTAAGATTTGACAGCAACAAATAGGCTTTCTATTCTATTAGTAACTTAATAAAATTACACTTCTATCAATGGAAGAACAGAATAAAAGTAATTTTCTCAGCCAGGCGCAGTGGCTCACGCCTGTAATCCCAGCACTTTGGGAGGCCAAGGTGGATGGATCACTTGAAGTCAAGAGTTCCAGACCAGCCCTGACAACATGGTGAAATCCCATCTCTACTAAAAATACAAAAATTAGCTGAGTGTGGTGGTGGGTGCCTGTAATCCCAGCTACTCAGGAGGCTGAGGCAGGAGAACTGCTTGAACCCGGGAGGCAGAGGTTACAATGAGCCAAGATCACACCACTGCACTCCAGCCTGGATGACAGAGCAAGACTCCGTCTCAAAAAAACAAACAAACAAACAAACAAACAAAACAGTAGTTTTCCCAAGTACAAATGAATGCTCCCTCCTCCTCAAAAAAAAATTTTCACAAGAAAGATTCCTTAGGAGTCAAACATATTTTACCTGTAACACCATGTTGAGTAAACTGTTCACAGCTAGAGTTGCATGAAACACTCCACAAAGTCTAGAACAACCAAATGTGTTCTAAAATTGTGTAGTACCAACGCTATAGCAAAATGCTTCCTAGTTTAAGAATTACAGGTAAAGACTTTTCATTTTCCTGGTATTTCTGGACATCCCTGGATGTCTCAAGGCTGCTGCACTGACTCATCCCACCCACTAATGAAAAATATAAAACGCCTTAGTCCAAGTATCTACTTGAATTTATTTAGTAACAAAAAACCACCCGTCCTGATGGCATAAACAAAAGCGCGCTCTATGATCGCACAATGCTAGTTGTGAGTGGGATTTCCAACACTAGAGGGCGCTGTCCCGCTTTCCCGCACGTGCCATGGCTGCATACCTACCTTATCCAGAGACAGGAAGTGCCGCGTGCTGGGTTATTTCCGACACAACAGACAAGCACATCACTCGTTGTTCTTCTTGTACTTCAACTGTCCCCAATTACTTAACTGTTGCTATGCTTTTTTGAGCTCCTATGAAATTCCTTAAAATATTTTTTACTTATTTTCAGTAACAGCACGTGAGGTTGCTTAAGGGCTCTGGCGTATCCCGAGCAATCTCTATGCCCTCCTGCAAAGCCAGCACGGATGGAACACGCTACGCTGTTTGTCAGGGAACCGCCTGTCCTTCTAGCGGTTTTCACGCTGTTTAGTTCCAAAACAGTTTCAAATTCAGTCAAAGTCTAGTTCAATATTCACTACAGCTAGGATTCTAGTTACCAATGGTAATCATGAAAGATATTACAAACTGAGAAACAAAAGACCTTGACTGTCCCAAAGTGATTTTTTTTTTTTTTTGAGATGAAGGCTTGCTCTGTCTCCCAGGCTGGAGTGCAATGGCACGATCTCAGCTCACTGCAACGTCCACCTCCCGGGTTCAAGCAATTCTTCTGCCTCAGCCTCCAGAGTAGCTGGGATTACAGGCGCCTGCCACCACACCCAGCTAATTTTTCTATTTTTAGTAGAGACAGGGGTTTCACCATCTTGGTCAGGCTGGTCTCAAACTCCTGACCTCAGGTGATCCACCCGCCTCAGCCTCCCAAAGTGCTGGGATTACAGGCGTTGAGCTACCGCGCCCGGATCCGTAAGTGATCTTACATCAAACTAGAACATACTTTAAGAGTGAAAAATTATACAATGGTTTCTTCCCTCTCCTGTAGAAATGTTACCATAATTAAATGTTTGATCAATTGCTAAATCACAACTTACAATATGAAAATCTTCATATACTTCAAATATACTGAAGAAAATGTCTACATGTAACTGAGGTGCGGCATCCACCTGAATGAACAGCACGAAACGCTATTAAAGTGACACTAGAAGCCCAGGCACAAATCATACACAGACACAAAAAAGCTCCAGATCCCACTCAGGAAGAATGCACCAACACATTCGCATTTATTTTCTTTTTTTTTTTTTTTAAAGCAAATGACAAAGACCCAGTTTACCAGCTTTACTTTTTTAAACCTAAGCTTAACATTACATATTTAAACAATTGTCAAAACTTACTAAGTTGCCAGCATTCATGCACAACTAGAAAACATCCTTAATTTATATTAAACCAGAAATGTATTACCATTAATGTATTAATATCTTTCACTACTAAATACTGAAAAAAATTGAAATTATTTCTGTAGAAGAATCGTCCTGGCAATGTTAACTTCACAGCAGGCCGACACTACGTGGCTCACATTTCAGACACAATGAAAAGCAGGTCCATGCTGGTGTTAGTGTACAATCTTGTCCTACACTAAAGAGTCAAGACTCACCTTGGAGTACGTTTAATAAAAAAGCAAAGTGCATACAGAGATTTACAACAATTTTAAAGACAAAAAAAAAATGGTCCTATTATGTGGTCCCAACAATCAACTCAAAAGTCTATGACAAATAGAGGCTCCGATGAGCTGTTTATAAATACTTTAGGTACAATTATACTGAAAGTCGAGTTCGTTTGAAATCTTCAAAAAAATGTTCCTGTTAATCCTCAAATGGTGCTTGTTATAGTTTAACATTTCTGTTAAGTGCGTGCGTTGAATTACTTGTTATCCAAGCGCAGCAGCTGCTCCTTACCATTTATTGTTAAGGACTTTAACTGGCCATCTTCTTCAACTTCTACTCTTTCTTGACCGTTCTCGACAATTCTGTAGGAAAAAAATTCATTTAAAAACCTTTCTGGTAAAGAAAATGCATGTGTGAGGGTAACTAAGTTGTTTAAGGACATTACTGAAATACACCATGAATATAAGTAATTTTCAGGCTGTAAAAACATGGCTGAAGCCAACCTGTCAACAACACATCTTCCTTTCCTAAAATAGAATTAACCTGACAAAATAAATTGTGTCTCAAATACCGTACAGGCGGATGCTAAATACATGCAGAGGCTATAAAACAGTAAAGGCTTTACTATTAATGATTTTCCATTTTACCATTTTAACAATGCTGCAGAAACTTATTACACTGTATTACATTAAAGATTCCCTCTAATAATTCAACAGTTAAGTAAAATTTAAGAGAAAAGGCTTTAATTAATGAATTTGGAGAGCAAAAGATTTTCATGGCGCCAGATTTAGCATACAACAACCTCTACTTCACACTCTGGGAGACGTGCAACATGGCACCAGTGAAACGTTACGCCTGCTTACTAAAAATATAAAATGCAGAATACCACAGTACCTCTTTGTAGTGATTTTTCTGCCATTAACCATTTTAGTTGAAGTTGATATCGATTTGAAGTTGCCCATGCCACTACCACCAAATGACGTGGAAGAGAATGAAGTGAGGCCCCCGTGACCTAGTGACCCAAATGAAGTAAATCCTACAGGAAAACAGAAAAGAAAAATGCTTAAAGAAATATGTCAACTAGTAATGCAAAGACAAGAGTTTGAAAGTTCAGTAGCAGAATATTTAATGTTAAGGCATAGAACCGAGGAGTAATAAACGACGCAACTATCAAGGCCTCAGCTGAAGTGCTGGGGTGCCCAGGGGGAAAGACTGTCTCTCAGATCCCTGAGTGGGGACTCTAGGGCAACGCGAGAGTGCAGCCTCTCCCCTCCCCCTCTCCTCATGCAGAGCTTCGCGGGACCCAAGCAGCTTTTCTGACATGCCAAAGACAGCCCCTGCTTGTGGGTGGTCTGCTTGGCACCATGAAGCACGTGTTGTGTTAATGTGAACATTCTGGAACCGAGACCAGTATTAAGCTCCAACCAGCAGAGCAGCCTCGGTATCAAGCTCTGTTTGCTTTGGCGTGGCTTGTAAACTCCACAGACTGTGATGGACACTCTTACCCCACAGGAACAGAGTGACCTCACCACCACAGAACAGCAAACCTAATCGGCTTCCCTCCTCTTTGCCACAGGACCACAGGGGATAAGAATCTAAATTATTAAAAAACTAAAATAATTGCAGAAAGAATACAAGTATTCGTCTCAAAAAACTATGGTTCTACAGTTCATGAACACCATTCTCAATTATACATTATGGATATTATCGCAGTGTGGACACTAAAAACTTTCACAAGTCACACTAAAGCAAACCTATTTTTCGATATTAAAGCTGGTCTACTGGTTAGAGCTTTTGTCCTGTTTCCAAAATGCTCCCATTAACACAAATGACGCATACCTCTGAACATGATTCAATCATCTAAGCGCAGATACTGTCTAGGGCTGGTGGTGTCCTGAAGAAATATGTGAACCAGGTATGTTAAGTTTACCTTTTCTAATGATTTCACTAAAAAGCAGAAACTAGTGACATTAATTTTAGTATTTTATTTAATACAGTATATCCAAAATATTTCAATTGGAAATACAAAAAATCAAAATCATTTGCGGTATTTTACACTGCTTCCCATGTTCCATCTTTGAAACCCAATGACTATTTCACACTCCTGCTGATCTCCGTTAGGAGTAGCCAGGCCTCCAGGGCTCAGGAGCTACACGTGGCTGGTGGCTACTGCACTGGTCTCAATTAAGCCTCGCTAAGTATTTATTCTTGTGATACTTTGTAAGGCACCTCAGAAGTGGAGAAGGCTTACACCCCCACCACACACACACACACACACACACACACACACAAACACACATACAGGAGCCACTGATTACTTTTAAAAAGGACAATTTACGTGGTATTTTTAACTAGCTTTCTTAACCTGTGGTCAGCATATTCCATGGTATCAAATGAGAGGATCTGTTGAGGGAAAGCACATCAAAACTGAGGTCCAATCGAGCAGAATTCACTACTTACCTAGATGGCATGAGCGCAATGTTCAAAGAAAATAAAATTCTGACCATGATGAAGAAGGAACCCTATATAACAAGCTCTCCCAATTCTTATCGTGGAGGCTTAAAAATAAAAATGAGAGAATCAAAACAGCAGCTCCAGGCCAGGAGTGGTGGCTCATGCCTGTAATCCTAGCACTTTGGGAGGCCAAGACGGGTGGATCCACCCGAGGTCAGTTCAACACCAGCCTGGCCAACACGACAAAAACCCTGTCTCCATTAAAAATACAAAAATTAGCTGGGCCTGCTGGTGCACACCTGTGATCCCAGCTACTCAGGAGGCTGAGGCACAAGAATCACTTCAACCCAGGAGGCGGGAGGCTGCAGTGAGCTGAGACCGTGCCACTACACTAAGAGTGGCACTCACTAAAGTGAGACTCTTTTTAAATTTAAAAACAAAACACAACAAAAAAAAAAGCTCCTTTGTGAAGAGAAACTGGATGAGCTTCAGAGAAAAGTGGGATTCTTCAGGCTAAACACACAGGCATATCATGATATATGCATATTCATGTTACTCCAGTCTACAAGCTTGTTTCCATCGGTGAACTATGAAGAGCTACGTGCGTGAGGCTGACACTTCACTAGTGAGTGAGCCTGGCCTGGGCTAGTGGTAAGGCCCAGCCTTCGATTCCATCCAGTGGGATGCTCCTAGGATGCTATTTGTGCACTTTTGTTTTAACTACAAAGGAGGTTAGACAGCATGAAGGTTAGTGAGATTTTCCAACTGCGTTACTTTCCACCTACTGATGCAGAACATATGTTGCCCCTTTTTAACTAAGAATTTCATTACATTCTGGCCTTGATTATTATATTAAGAGGAGAAGATTTCCAAGCACGACATTCTTAGGAAGATTAGGAGAAAATGTAGGTTAAGCGCAGACCTGTATACCAAAAAAAGCTGGCAAATCCACAATGCTATTCTACGAAAGGTATACACATATTTTAAAGCACTCTAACTAAAAGAGTATTATGATTTTATAAGTACTAACTGCTGTTAAGATAACAGAGATTAAACCTAGGGATTTAATACCTGTATCAAAAGAAGAAAATCCACTTCCAAAAGACGGAAATCCACTGAACGCAGAGAAAAACGACCCCGTCCCTCGGCTTCTGCTTCCTCGGGGACCCCTTCGATTCCCAAAGAAGTCCTCAAAAGGGTCTTCTAAAATCAAACATAAACACACACTATGAAGTCTTTTTTTCAAGTTTTTTTCCTCATGTGATAGCTACAGTAAGAGAAAATAGATGTTTGTAACATATTCAGGAACAAAAAACTTAAGAGGTTTTAACAAAAGAGCTTATCTACAGAGTAACTGAAACACTACCTCACCAACAGTTTTACTAACTAGTTTAATTCAACTAAAACTACAATACATTGTATCAAATAAATTACCAGACTTAATTAAAAAAACAGCACATACACACATTCTTTATGGAGGACCAATATGCACTTCAAACTCAGCTCTTTTCACGTCACTGATGTGAGGTCAAGACGCTGTTCCTGCTACGACCACTGGAAAAGTGAGAAAAGCTTCACACGGCAGCTGTTGTATTCCTTGGAGTCTGAGTTGCCTTCTCCAAAGCAATTCAGAAACAAACAGAAAAATGGATTACCCTAACATGCGCGCGCCCACACACACACACACACACACACACACACACGAGGAATGGTGTGGCCATGTAAGCTAAGTGTAAATACCTGATGAATCTCGGCAAAGGAAATTCCTTTTATTCTAAGTTTGATGTCTCAAAAAACTTTTAAGGATTAGCTGAAATCAAATCTGAACAAATGTTAACAAGCAGACGTAAGATGATGCTTGAAGATGTCTCAACAGAAAATCACCGACATGAGGAAGCATCACGCTGCCAAGTGGAAACACAAAGTGCTCCTGGAAATCAAGATCGGAACTGACCGTTTTGTTTTCCTCTGTTGCTGTTATCAATCAATGAGTACTTACTAAAAATTCATAAAGCATACAAACCTTTTTAATTTACCTGGGTTCTGCGTTAATAATTACTGTAATTTTTTCAGAAAAATGGGAAACCTGTGATAAAAGCAAGGAATCCTAATAGGTGCATTAAGACATAAACGCATGCAAGGTAAAGACAAAGGCAAGCTAGGACCAACTACAGAATTAGTACGGCCTACTTGCAGGCCAGAGCAACCAAAGCAGGGAGTGGATACATTTGAGTCACAAATGTTAACAATAAATACTGCAGCACACAAGGATACAACAGCAAGCACTGAAATCAAGCAGAAATCGAGATTCATGAAGCAACTGAGGTTATGAACAAGAGTGACTTGATCCAGCTACTCTGGAGGCTGAGTGGGAGGATTCCTTGAGCTCAGGAGTTTGAATCCAGGCTGGACAACACAGCAAGACTTTGTCTCTACTAAAAAAAAAAAATGCAGTGACTAGAGAAAAGCAGCACCTGAGGTTGACTCTGACCACAGTTTGAAAGGACCGACGTACAGGTGGGCAGCCAAAACCCTGAGACGCTGGGTACCCCCAGGACCCGCAAATAGTAAATAGTGAGAAGCAAAGGCTGAGGAAGCTTCCGCAGAGCAGGGAGGGCAGAGGTCCACACCGGACTACTATAGAGCTCGTCAGAATGAAACTGGCCAGTTGGCTTTACCCAATGCCAAGCCCAAGGCATTGAGTCCCAAAGAAACACTGGGAGAATTGGTCACTGGTGACTTTTTGGAAAAGGTGGCCAAGAGACAGAAGAGGAAGAAGGCATGCACAGCCAGTGCCCGGACACCCCACGCACCAACCTGCCCCTCCGCCCACAAACCAGCGTGTGAGGTGGAGACCTAGAGGAGGAGTGCCAGAATGGGGATGCCAACAAGAAGTTACTCAAACGGTTACTGACTGTGCAAGTTACTGCCCACATTCCACAGTCAATGCCCCCCACCCATAAAAATAATGTAAGATGGTCATAGGTACTTTGCAAACAGACCTTACCGTCCCCCACTGTTCTATTCAAAGACAAGAAAGAACAAAAGCAAAGATGTTAAATCATAACCTTTTATCTGAAACTAGGAACATTTTGTGAATTTCTCTAGGACACAAAAACTTCATCCAATTCAAATAAAAATCCAAGCATGCTATTTAGAAACTTTCTACTTTGCAGCCATAGCCTGCACACCATTGTGTCACTTAGGTATTCTATCTCACGTATCTACAACATATCCTCCCAGGTAAAGAAACAAACATTACAAATACAGTTAAAACTGATTATGCGGTAACTCTCTTCATCTCCCCTAGGAGGTGACCGTTAAAAAGCATTTCCGGGAGGGTGCAGTGGCTCACAGCTATAATCCCAGTACTTTGGGAGGCCGAGGCGGGCAGATCACTTGAGGTCAGGAGTTTGAGACCAGCCTGGCCAACATGGTAAAACCCTGTCTCTACTAAAAATACAAAAAAGTTAGCCAGGAGTGGTGGTGGGCATCTGTAGTCTCAGCCACCCAGGAGGCTGAGGCACGAAAATTGCTTGAACCCCGGAGGTGGAGGATACAGTGAGCTAAGATCACACCACAGCACTCCAGCCTGGGCAGCAGAACATGAGTCCATCTCAAAAAAAAAAAAAAAAAAAAAAAAGGCATTTCTGCATTTCCATAAATTGAAGACATTAGCATATATCTGTAGTTCCAGCTCCTGAGGAGGCCAAGGCAGGAGAGATCCCTGGAGGTCAGGGGTTCAAGACCAACCTGGGCAACATAGCAAGACCCCTTCTCTACAATAAATTTAAAAATTAGCCAGGTGTGGTGGCACACCATCTTTAGTCCCACCTCCTTGGGAGGCTGAGGCAGGACTGCTTGAGCCCAGGAATTCAAGGCTGCAGGGAGCTATGATCACACCTGTCGACAGCCACTGCACTCCAACCTGGGTAAGAGTGTGACAGTGAGAAAGGCACTCATGTGGCCAGTCTCACTGTCCATATCTGAGTCCCTAAACCAAGTTATTCTCACTGTCCATACCTGAGTCCCTAAGCCAAGTTGTAGAGTTAAACTCTACGTTTACATCCTTCCGCAATTTCCCATTTATCAATGCTAAAACATTGGTTTAGTCACAATTTCTTTAAATCCATGGCAACTAAACCCTTAGAAGTTGTCCACAAGGCACTGAGCTTTTACATGCATCTTGAACCCGTGTCTCAGTGGTAACAGTACTAACCAAGTGATTTTAACTGGTTTGCATTCTAAGCTAAATTAAGACAATGACATTCATAATTATATCATCATCTACAGAAGCTACCTCAAAAGCTGGCTGAGTACTATGTTATGAGAAGGCCAATGCTTTTCCGTTCCATTTTCTTGTATGAAAAAAATCTTTATCTTGTTTATTTCTCTACTGACATTTTGTAGCTTAAATATAATTTTTCACAATTCAGGTATTCACTGAATTTTAACTCGTATAATTTCAAATATTAAAATCACAAATTACCCTAAAAATGAAGTCTCATTTGTAACAGAAACAGTGCTAAGAAACATTAAAATAATTTCAAAATTTATAATATTTAAAGACCAGTTAAAAGTTGCCACTTGAGATCAGACAAGTCCTTATTTCAAGTAAGAGCTACTTATCATGTGCTGGTTTCTGTCGTTTTGAAAAGCAATCTAGAAGTATGTATTAAGCTTTTAAAACCTTCAGCCCCCAAAATAAAACCAATATTTTTATTATAAAAAACCCTCAACCCAGCAATTCTACGTCAGGGAACTCAACTCATCCCAAAACGTGGAACTAAGTTGCTGAGCGTGCGTAACCATGCACAGGCAAGCAAGCATGTGAAGTGCAGACTTGAAGTGTTCGTGGCTAGCAGAGCTGGAGAGAAATGCAAGGAAGCCTGTGGGCATCACAACTATACAGCGCACGCTACAACGCACAACCATACAGCGCGTGCTACAATGCTCCCGTGGGGCTCCGACCGCGGGCATCACAACTATACAGCACGTGCTACAACGTTCCTGTGGGGCTCCAACTGGGGTGGAGGGGCAAGACCTCCTCCTCCTCTCACCTCATTCCCATTTTCAAATCTTAAACCCAGCATGTATTATTACTTTTGGATTTATAAACAACTGATCATACTTTTATACCTTAGAAATAAATCTTAAGACACGTGTTAATCAAATGTGCTACCAACTTCTTTTTTACTTTACCTCACCAGAAAGAACCACAACCAGTGAGGTGCCTGCTGAAGGCCACAAGACCACAGAATGGGCAGTGGAAGAAAGTGGCTGTGTCCACAGGACCAGTTACAGGAACGAGGACCATCAATGCCTGGAGTATTTCCTCCTTATTTTGTGACCAATACTTGTCATATATAATCTATGCATGTTATATTTAGGCACATAGCAGTTTTCTTCCCTCTCTTATCCTCTTATGTAATACACACATATTGCCTATTAAGTTACCCCGTATCAAGGAGAACCGTAAACATCACAGGAGAACGTGACCTGCGCTGGGCAAGGGGCTAGTGCACTGTTGGTTGTCTGTGGGATAGTGGATCGTGTTAGGTGGCTATGACCTTGTTCTTGCCCTCACTTGACGATTAAGCCCTGGGTTAAGGAAATGCATATGGGTGCCAAGTTGACAACAGATGGACATGTGGTTGATTTCATGTTCAGGTTAACTGGGCCATGCACAGAGTTCCCAAATATTGAGCCGAACATCCTTCTGGGTGATTCTGGATGAGATTAGCATTTGGATCAGGAGACTGGTAAAGCAGCTTGCCTCCCTAATGTGGATGGGCCTCGACCAATCACCTGGGGGCCTGTGATCCCCACCCCACACCATCCCACCCCGGGGGAGGAGACTGCTCCAGTCCTGACAGATTTTACTGGCTAGCTTCCACAGTGGTGAGGGTTAGAGTCGTGAGCACCTTCCTTGTAATACACGTTTCTCCCCCAGTGGCAGTTTCTCTAGACTCATGCAGATTCTGCAAAGCAAAACATGTATGCTCATCTCTTCAGAAGCATCTTTAAATGGGTCTTCAAACCTTAACTTTGTATCCTGAGGTACAAACATTACTTGAAACAGCATTAGGATTTAACTCTTGAGGACTGAGTTCTGATTTTTTATCTTGCCCAAATTCCTACCTAAGGGGTCTGGGGAGTCATGCCCTACAAACCATTTGAAATTGTCCTGCAAAGCCATCCTTTGTGGGGGAAATGTGCATCTGTGAACAGTCTTATTAACATGGCTAGATCTTTTTCTTCCAGACCCTCCCAATCCTGAAGAGATTAACTGAAAGTCTAGCACATGTTAAAGGTCTGAAAAGGAAACATTTGTCATCTATTGTCTCTAAGGGCAGCCACTATGAGACTTCAAAGGAACCTTCATCTCCACGATCTTTTATCTTAACCTGAACATTTTTTTTCTATGATCCCAGGTCTTTAGACAAACTCAACCAATTGTCAACCAGAAAATGTTTTCATTCACCAACAGTCTGGAAGCCCCCCTGCTTTGAGCTGTCCTGCCTTTCTGGGCCAAAACAATGTATTTCTTTTTGTTTGTTTGTTTTCCCAAGACGGAGTCTTGCTCTGTCGCCCAGGCTGGAGTGTAGTGGCGCGATCTTGGCTCACTGCAACCTCTGCCTCCCAGGTCAAGCAGTTCTCCTGCCTCAGCCTCCCAAGTAGCTGGGATTACAGGTGCCTGCCACCCCGCCTGGCTAATTTTTTTATTTTTAGTAGAGGTAGTGTTTCACCATGTTGGCCAGGCTGGTCTGGAACTCCTGACCTCAAGCGATCCATCCGCCTCAGCCTCCCAAAGTGCAGGGATTACAGGTTATGATCTGATTGATGTCTCATGCCTCCCTATAATGTATAAACCAAGCTGCACCCTGACCACTTGGACACATGTTCTTGGGACTCCTGAGGCTGTGTCACCAGCATGGTCACTTATATTTGGCTCAGAATACATCTCTTCAAATATTTTACAGTTTGACTCTTTTCAGTGACACTTCTTCCATTTCAACATTCTGGGCATCGTATAGCAAGAGCTTCTTTAAAATTTTGCAATATCATGCTATTCCCTGAGGAATACTAAGACCAATGCATTAAGGGGCCCATAACATTAACAAGATACTAAACTGACTATCTAAAGAACAGTCACAAATTTATGACCAAAAAATATATATATACAATGAACAGTGTGAGAAAACTGACCACAAAACACATGTAACAAACATTTACCCACATACAAACTTGAAGAACACTGAGGAAGTGGAGAACATGTTTTAAACCCACACATTTTCTCTGAGCTTTACCAAGCATGAGAACCTGATGGAACAGGAACAGCTTCACAACGAAGCGAAGGGATTCCCACCAACCACGTTCATCTCAGGGCAGCACTAAGCTCGCCCTTCCTCAGCACACTCCCAGCCGCGGCCCAGGAGAGGCCTGCTGTCATGATTTCAGGACCCACTGTCAATTCCCCAAGTGCACAGAAAAGCTGGAACAAAAAAATGACAGCAAAACAAAACTGAAAAAGCACCATGGCTATTTCAAACAAAGGAAAATATGTCACTCTCTCCTCAAGTTCCAAAGCTAAAACCTAGACAGCCGCCCTCAAAAGGGAGAAACGCTTGAGATTCAAAAGGCAAGCATGAAAGACAGACTTCCTCTGCTCTCCCAACTCCTCTCAAAACCAGGCACTCATTTATTACAACTCACATTTTCAGAAGTAGCAAATAACCTAACTGTTAGGAATCTGGAATACAACACGCAATGGGAGCCAATGAAGAACACGGCCGGAGCTCCGCCCTGAAGTGCACGCCCTGAGAACAGGGCTTCAGTGTTTCTCTCCACTGCCAAACCAGCACCTAGAATAGTGCCTGGCACTAAACAGCAGGCACGCCATATTTGTTAAATGAACACCACCATTTTCAGCTTCCCATATAATTGTTTTTTATTACAAGTATAATTTCTAGCTACTTCCCAGGTCTGGTTAGAGTAATCTGTTTCCCAAAAGTTACAAAAATCTATCGAAGTCAAAGAATCCACAATACACTGCAATCAAATTATTCTATTTCAAATACAAAAGAGCCAACATGAGATGAGGAACTCTGGCGTCAGGAGGAATGGGCCTCTTCCCAACCACAGTCCTCATTGCTCAGGGAAGAAACCACCAGAACAGCAGCAGGCTCCAGGCTCTTTTCTGAGCCCTACTCGCAGATGGCCGATTCATCTTTCCTCCACCATCACACCTTCCACCTCACTGTCCCCCTACACTATCATACTGCCTATAAATACTGGTATTCCCTAAACCTGTCAAAGCCCAACACAGTATCAGGTCTGCCTGCAGCCTCAAGTTTAAATCACTCTTCCTACATCTTGCACCTACAGTCCCAGAACATCTCCCCCTGGGAGCACTAAGGATACGGCAACTATCTCAATCTCTGGAGTTGTCCACAAGTTGACCAGGGACCAAAATCCCACTGGAAACAGATGATGCGAAAACCCAAACTGACAAAGGACTCAGGCAACGTCTTGCTCAGGTGACTGTCATGCCAACAATGTGAACCAAACACTATACAAAGACCTGTTAGGGGGACCAACACCACAAAATACAAGGGAGGAAACACCACAGAAACACTGCCCACAAACTCTTACAGCATGGCTCAAGCCTTTTAGAGGGGTAGCCAGAGCCTCAGTTCTCACAGCACAGAAAATTCTCAAAATGACCGTTTCCAGGAACCATTTCCTCTCCCTATTTAAGGGAGGACGTCAGAGGAAACAAAGGTCCTGAAACGACCAAGTATGTACTGAAAAACAGCACAAAAGAATCGCAGATCACTAACATGGCACCCATCCTCACTAGCCAGGATAATTTTCAGTAGAAATGAACGGCCTGGCACGGTGGCTCATGCCTGTAATCCCAGCACTCTGGGTGGCCGAGGTGGGTGGATCGCCTGAGCTCAGGAGTTCGAGACCAACCTGACCAACATGAAGAAACCCTGTCTCTCATAAAAATACAAAATTAGCCGGGCGCGGTGGCACATGTCTGTAATCCCCGCTACTTGGGAGGCTAAGGCAGGAGAATCACTTGAACCCGGGAGGTACAGGTTGCAGTGAGCCGAGATCACGCCACTGCACTCCAGCTGGGCGACAGAGTGAGACTCCATCTCAAAAAAAATGAGATACTTCCAAAAAACAGCTCCATCTCAACACGAGGAGTTCTCAAATACGCACACAACCATACATGAGTTTGGCATGTTCTCCAAGAAACTCTCACCAGATGAGAGGAAGAGCGCGTGGGGATGCCGGGCGGGACTGCCCACTGCTTCACGACCATGTGAAATTACACACAAGGATGGTTCCAACAACTTTAGCTGGAAACCAGTCTCGTACATCACGGTTTCATTTTTTAACCTTTTTTTCTTAAATTTTTAGAGATGGCATCTCATTATTTTTCCCAAGCTGGACTCGAACTCCTGGGCTCAAGGAATCTCCTACCTCAGCCTCCCCAGTAGCTGGCATTACAGGGGTACACCACCATGCCTGGCTTAGTATGTGATGTTTTTATGTGTATTTAAAAAGACTCCTTAACTTCTTCTAAGTGACCTGTGTGTAGGTGTGCCTGTGTATGAACTCTGTCCAAAGTAATCAAAGAACACTCATTACAAACAAACTGCTGTAGCGCCGTGTAATGATAGTGGGTCCAGGTCACCAGCACACACCGATCCAATCTGCTGTGCCACTCCCATGCCTGTACTTGACCCCTAACTTCTAGCTCTCATTAACACATCTAACTTTGGCCAGGCATGGTGGCTCACGCATGTAATCCCAGCACTTCGGGAGGCCAAGGCAGGCAGATGACCTGAGGTCAGAAGTTCGAGACTAGCCTGGCCAACATGGTGAAACTCCGTCTCTACTAAAAACACAAACATTAGCCAGGTGTGGTGGTGGGTACCTGAAATCCCAGCTACTTGGGAGGCTGAGGCAAGAGAATCACTTGAACCTGGGAGGCGGAAGTTGCAGTAAGCTGAGACTGTGCCACTGCACTCCAGCCTGGGTGACAGAGCAAAACTCTGTCTCAGAGCGAGGGGTGAGGGCACATGTCTAACTTTAAAGGTTCCTCCTCCTTTCACCTTTCAAAATTTGCTGCTTGGCTGTGAATTTCAAAGACTAGCACAAAAATCTACCCGTTAGAAATATGATGTTAAAGTGGTTGAATCATGGTCCCCAAAAAAGATTAAATTAGAGTCCTAATCCCCAGTACCTGTGAATGTGACCTTACTGGGAACAGGCTCTTTATAGATTATCAAGTTAAGATGAAATCATTACAGTGGGCACTAAGCCAATATAAATGATGTCCTTATAAAAAGGGGGAACTTGTGGCTGGGCACAGTGGCTCATGCCTGTGATCAGTTACTTGGGAGGCTGAGGAAGGAAGACTGCTTGAGCCTAGCGGTTGGAGGCCAGCCTAAGCAACACAGTGAAATCTGTCTCTAAAACATTAAATCCAATGGACACAGAGACAGACACAAAGGAGATGATGTCAACATCGGATGGGCCATCCGTCTGCAAATGTAGGGAGAAGAACAGCTGGGGAAGGGCCTGGAGCAAGACGGGACACATCTCAGCCTCAGAAGCAACCAGCCCTGCAATACCTGGGTCTCACATGGCCAGCCTCCAGGACTGGGAGATGGTACATTTTGGTAGTTTAAGCCCCCGGTTTGTGGTACGGATCAAACTCAAGGCTGTCTTCAGGGTCTGTGCTCTGGCTTCTAGGGAAAGAGCCTACGAGACGCCCGGCCTGTGCTTCAGGGCTGCCACCTCCCTCTCTTGCTTCTTCAGTTCTATCTCCAAGGCAGCTGAGGTCGTCTGACCAAGGACAGTATCAAGGCACTAGAGGAAACCATTTTATTCTAGATACACTGTTTTAAGTCAGTCCCACTCGGGCAGCTCCTTGACACTTTATGGTGGTGCCGGCAGCGCCCCAGCTCTGGCCCGCTGTGCTCCTCCTCACTCAGCGGCTCCTCGCACTCCTCGCCGAGCTCCTCTACGTCCCCAGGGCTGGCCCCGTCCTCGCTGGATATGAGCCCCAGCTCCTCGCTGAAGGGCTCGCCCAGGCCCCAGTTACATCCTGTGCAGGCCTCGTCCTCACTAGACAGTGCCAGGTCCTTGCTGGATATCAACACATCCAAGGCCTCACTGTTCTCTTCACCAGGGCTGTCCTCTGTGGCCTCCTCCACCCTGGGCAGCTCTACTAACTCCTCACTAGGCTCCAAGTCCTCACCGGCCACTTCCTCAAACCCTGGGAGAGTAAAATGACTGACTACTATCATAATTTAATCACAGGTCAGAAAGTCAGGTTACTATCCTCAATGCACTCATTTTTCCTGCAAGAAGTCTGCTTTCCTTGGTTCTACATACCACAGGACTCCTCCTCTATTGCTACAGAGCATCATTCGTACCACAGTGATGCTTTACAAAGGAAAAACTTGCTGCACTGCTAAAATAAAAGGCCTCTCTGGAAACCTTAAAGGTTCGCTTTGGTTTTCCAAGAATATAAATAAAATGTGAAGTTAAACCCACAGGCTTTTCCCAGATGTAATGCCTGCTGTGACTAATGGGATCAAAAGGCACTATTATCAGGTACCCTTTCTTTCCTATCTCAGAACATCATTTCACTGAGCAATAGGGTCCTCTAATAATAAAATAAAGAGAGCATCCTAATTCAAATAAGTCCACTGCCTATTAATATTTTCCAATTAACATTTCGACAAGAGCTCATTTGCATGTGCTCCACATTCTGGAAATTTCGACAGTCACCTAGCCTCAGCAGTTTTGATTGTACCCCTCCAATTCAGAGGCAGCATTCCTTCCAGGCTGGTGTTAGAATCCGCCTCCGCGACCTCTCCTGGGAGGGCTTCTTCTGTAAAGGACGGGTTCCACACCGCAGGCCCCAGGCCCAAGTCTCCTTGGCCACAGTGTGACAGTGAGCACTGCCTGGTGCTCAGGCACAGACCTGCATACCATGTGTCCAACATCCGGCACCCCTTCACCCTTCCCCACCTATCATGAGGGAGGTCTGAAGTACAGCAGGGGTTCTGCATTCTGATAAATGTAAAGTGCAGCTCGGAAATATCTTACAGCACATTTTAAACTACTTTTTCGTCACGTGGAAAGTACACCAGGTCTAGTAAATATGATTTGTCAACAGCGGTCCCCAACCTTTTTGCCACCAGGGACTGGTTTCATGGAAGACAATTCTTCCACACAGTGGGTGATGGGTTGGGGTAGGGGGATGGTTTCAGATACTGGATTCTGATGAGGAATGCGCAACCTAGGTCCCTCGCGTGTGCAGTTCACAATAGGGTTTGTGCCCTTATGAGACTCCAATGCTGCCACTGAGCTGATAGGAGGTGGGGCTCAGGCAGTAATGCTTGCCTGCCTGCGCGCCGCTCACCTCCTGTTCCCAACAGGCCAGTTCGTAACAGGCCACAGACCAGGGTGTTGACCCCTGAACTACATCATGAATAAGCGGAAATCCCTCTGGCTCTGCATCCACACCCATCTACATTAAACATACCGTCAGCAGGCTGCTCAGTGACTACATACATATAGCAGCCATGGAGCAGCAGCTTCCCCAGTGTGTAAATCCTGAGAGCCTGAAAATGGAAGTCATCTAGAACACCTATAAGAACGGAATGAACAAGTATCACTGCCACACTAATCATGGGAAACACAGGGTACCTGGTCTTAAAATAGGTCTGCATGTAAAATGGAGCATTTAACAGTAAAGCGCTTCAGTAAGACTAGCACCTCTCTCCTTGGACTAGGGGTAAAAACTCACTTATTCACTCACATCTAATTAGATCTCTATACCTTCTTTACAAGTAATTGCTCTATGGCTTGGTGTATCAGATTATTTTCCCCAAGGAAAACAAAAATTAGCTACAATTCAGTCACTAAGGGACCCTTCCCCTTTGAATTAAAATAATAATCATAATGTTAAGAAAGGACCTGTTTAATCATAATGTTAAGAAAGGGCCCATTTAATAATAATGTTAAGAAGGTCCTGTTTAATAATCATGTTGAGAAACGGCCTGTTTAATAATAATGTTAAGAAGGGGCCCGTTTAATAATAATGTTAAGAAGGGGCCCATTTAATAATAACGTTAATGAAAGGCCGGTTTAATAATAATGTTAAGAAAGGGCCTGTTTAATAATAATGTGAAGAAAGGGCCTCTTTAATAATAATGTTAAGAAGGGGCCTGTTTAATAATAATGTTAAGAAGGGGCCCGTTTAATAATCTTAAGAAGGGTCCCATTTAATAATAATGTTAAGAAGGGGCCTGTTTAATAATAATGTTAAGAAGGGGCCCGTTTAATAATAACGTTATGAAAGACCTGTTTAATAATAATGTTAAGAAAGGGCCTCTTTAATAATAATGTTAAGAAGGGGCCTGTTTAATAATAATGTTAAGAAAGGGCCCGTTTAATAATCTTAAGAAGGGTCCCGTTTAATAATAATGTTAAGAAGGGGCCTGTTTAATAATAATGTTGAGAAGGGGCCTGTTTAATAATAATGTGAAGAAGGGGCCCGTTTAATAATAACGTTATGAAAGGCCTGTTTAATAATGATGTTAAGAAGGGGCTCGTTTAATAATAATGTTATGAAAGGCCTGTTTAATAATAATGTTAAGAAGGGGCCTGTTTAATAATAATGTGAAGAAGGGGCCCGTTTAATAATAACGTTATGAAAGGCCTGTTTAATAATAATGTTAAGAAGGGGCCTGTTTAATAATAATGTGAAGAAAGGGCCTCTTTAATAACAATGTTAAGAAGGGGCCTATTTAATAATAATGTTGAGAAACGGCCTGTTTAATAATAATGGTAAGAAAGCCCTGTTTAATCATAATGTTAAGCAGGGCCTGTTGAAGACGCCCGGTCTCAGACATCACGAGGACAGCCCGTTTCACCTCGTGTGCCCCAGAAGAGAAGCCATGGTGTTGGAAGAGCGGGCCTTCTTCCTCGCTTGGTCACCATGAGAATCACCGATCAGAACACAGGACTTCAACCCAAACACTGCCCTGTCCTGCAAAGCAACAAATGCAGTTTGCTGAAGGCTACAGCAAGATGCAAAGGTCATTTTTAAGACAGAGATCAATCCGTAAATTATTTTTCTTAGAGAAATATTTCTTGCCTGTGAGGGTTGATGAAGGACGGATGTAAACATGGTTCTTTCTTGAGCTCTGTTTCTGCTGATGGCAGCAGTGATTACAGCAAATGCACTTAAACGATGAGCACGCCAGTCTCCCGGTCCCCTAATCGGAAATCGCCTGCTCAGCTTCAGTTTCCCTGAAAATGCTTGAGGCCACTGACTGTCCTTCCTCCCTCAGAAAGGGGCTCTCTTCAAGCCAGCCAGCCCATAATAAGGTGTAAGAACAACCTCTTTGAATCCCCATTTGAGACACACTGAAGAACTGCACCATGCAAAAGGCCCAAGACCTACCAGATATGAGAGTGATTATGCTTCTTCGTGCCTGCGGCAGGCAGGAGCTCCACGTTTCTCCCCTGTATTATCTGTAGACACAACTACTCTTCTCTTTCCCTCCTCGAGTTGCAGGTGGTGTTCAGTTTCTTCACCCAAGCTCCAGGCAATGAAGGAGGTAAACATACAATGTGTTTCCCTTTCAATAAGTCAAAAGACAAAAACAACTACAGGAGTACATGTTTAATCCTGACCTCTCAGGTCACCCAGTGCACCACTCAGGAAGTCCCAGTGGTTGAGAAGACTCTAACAGGAGACAGCTAACAAAAGTGCCTGACCCAAACTGTGCCCAAGACATACACCAACGCCTAGGACCAGGCATCAGGACTGAGATGCCACTGATGAGAAATCCATTTTCCTACAATCAAACAGCAGCTATAACAGCACTGTCTCCCTTAACAAAACCATTCTCTCCTCAGCAAAGGCCTCCGCAGTCTTGCTCTAGAGGTGCCTTTCCGCAAACTCTCAACAACAGTCCTCACACACAATGTTTACGGATGAAAGGTCTTGCCAACAGTACTATGGTGCTTAATGATTTTACCAGGAATATGATGTGGCAAATTCACACACCAATTGGTTGTTCAATGGGAAACAACGTTTCCAAGACACTCGCACCCATGCCCTTACCACTGTCTCTTCTGAGGGCAAAAGCAAGTTAATTAAGGCCATACATAACAAAGAAAAAAATACATTAAACCCTTTATTATTTTAATTTTTCAAGCTGTAACTTAAATTTTCAAAGAGGAAGAAGAGAAAAGATTTTACAGCTACTGTGCTGTTTTATTTTTTTGAGACAGGGCCTTGCTCTGTCACCCAAGCTGGAGTGCAGTGGCCCAATCTCAACCTCCCAGGCTCAAGGAAATCCTCCCACCTCAGCCTCCCAAGTAGCTGGGACCACAGGCACACGCCACCACACTCAGCTAATTTTTAGTATTTTTTTTGTTGTTGTTGAGACAGGGTTTCACCATGTTGTTCAGGCTAGTCCAATGCTGCTTTAAACACAAAGTTTCGTGACAAAATACAATGTTAACTTTTTTTTTTTTGAGACAGGAGTTTCACTCTTGTTGCCCAGACAACAATGCAATGGCATGATCTCAGTTCACCGCAACCTCTGCCTCCCGGGTTCAAGTGATTCTCCTGCCTCAGCCTCCCAAGTAGCTGGGATTACAGGCATGCGCCACCATGCCCGGCTAATTTTGTATTTTAATAGAGACGTGGCTTCTCCATGTTGGTCAGGCTGGTCTTGAACTCCCAACCTCAGGTGATCTGCCCGCCTCAGGCTCCCAAAGTGCTGGGATTACAGGCATGAGCCACCGCGCCCAGCCTAAAATACAATGTTAATTCAACAGAAAGGCCATACTAAGTAAGCCCTCATTTGGGTCATGGACACACACCAAGTCAACCCACGTGATTAACTTACCAAAGAAGTCAAATGAAAATGGGTCCCTTCCACCAAAAAATTCCCTGAAGACATCATCTGGGTTACGGAATGTGAAGCCAAATTCAAATGGACTGTCAAAATGACTTCCACCTGCACAAATACAACACAGCTTTTAGTTTATGAATTTTGGTGCTTTGTAGGCAAAGAATTCTTTGTTGACAAAACATTATACAAATCATGAACTAATAAAAACAAAAATATTTCATAAACCTGAAGTTCTCTATAATTCAAAACATGAGCCCTGTACTGACAGAGAGTGAGTGTGCCCAGCGCTGATGGCATATGAGTGCAGCAGTGGCCCCTTCGACACTACTTTTCACCATCTCTAAATCCGTGATCGGCATATAACATGTAACATTACACACCATTTTTATGATTTGTTATGAAGGTTTATGAAGACCAAGAGTATCTGCATCCACTTCGACGACTGGCCTCCTGGAGCCACAGAAGCTGCCGCGTGGCCCCAGTGGGTTTGGAGCAATAATTTCCCAACACCCCTGGGGAGGCTGGTCACAGCCCAGTGACCGTGGGAACTTTTGGGGACAAAGTCCACGCCCTTCAAAGTCATTATTTTAGCTTTTCAGGAAAATCTGCTCTTTAAACCCTTAGGATATTTTGACATAACGTCAAGTGCTGATCTAAGGGTATATGTTCACAATATATTGCAGTATGGTTACAAATTGTTTCTATCTATAAAAAATACATCAACATATACTTCTAGTCTCGTAAAAGACTTTTAAATGCCATCAATTTCTCTGTCCTCTCCCCAATTTAGTTCGCTTTCTACGTTGCATCTCTATTTACTGATACAAAATCGACTCTGACCAAGAGACTCGTGATTTACAAACTCAACTTACTTGCCAAGACCTTTTGTCTTCAAAGAAAAAACTCACGTACTTACCTCCTCCTCCACCATTTAATCCTTCTTTGCCATATTTGTCATAGATGTCCCGTTTCTTAGCTAAAAATTGAAAGAAAAGTCGGTAAGGCCAAGTTCCTTTTAAACCCTTAATTCAATAGATAAGGTATTTCCCCAGTTGTAAATCAGTTTTCGATGTTTTACAACTGAATTTCAAGGAGTATGGCCACCTTTTCTTTAAAACAAAACAAAGCAACAGGGAAAACTTTCTGTACCTCTCTCCTGAAAAACAATTCAAAAAAAATTCAGTATGTTGAATTTTTACAAGTTATTAGAAATATTTAAGTATTTACGGCCAGGCATGGTGGCTCACACCTGTAATCCCACCACTTTGGGAGGCCAAGGTGGGCAGATCACCTGAGGTCAGGAGTTTGAGACCAGCCTGGCCAATATGGTGAAACCTCATCTCTTGTAAAAATACAATAATTAGCCAGGCGTGGTGGCAGGCACTTGTAATCCCAGCTACTCAGGAGGCTGAGGCAAGAGAATAGCTGGAACCCGGGAGGCGGAGTTTGTGGTGAGCCAAGATCGTGCCATTGCACTCCAGCCTGGGCAACAAGAGTAGGCGCGGGGGGGACTTAGCCACGCGAGGTAGCTCATACCTGTAATCCCAGCACTTTCAGAGGCCGAGAAGGGCCGATCACCTGAGGTCAGGAGTTCGAGAGCAGCCTGGCCAACACGGAGAAACCCAGTCTCTACTAAAAATACAAAATTAGCCAGGCATGGTGGCGCATGCCTGTGATCCCAGCTACTCAGGGGACTGAAGCAGGAGAATCGCTTGAACCCAGGAGGCAGAAGTTGCAGTGAGCCCAGATTGCACCATTGCACTCAAGCCTGGGCAACGAGCAAAACTCCATCTCAAAAGCAAAAAAAAATTTTTTTCTTTATTCCATTAGATCGTTTCTTTCACTCTACTGCACAGAGCCCAGACATGCTACATTAAAATCACACGACCAAGTACAAGATTATTGCAACCACAGAAGTGCACCATCTTACTACAAAAACCCAATTAGAGGACCATATCTGCAGCACGAAAACAAACATGCCAGGGCCTAGGCAAGTGGGAGAAAGCAGATGTGCCAGAAAGGCGCCAACCTAACACCCTACAGGCTCATTCACCCTCGAAGTGGACCACCCGGATGCAAGGCCTGGGGCTAGTGTGCCCCTCTCCACTGACAGTCTTCACACTTACATTCCAAATGCTACTTATATCCCAGAACAAAAACAATGACATTAGAAGCACTGGTACTTCTGACATGACACCATCTGCGTTCCTCAAAAAATCTCATAGGCTGGATGCAGTGGCTAACGCCTATAATCCCAACACTTTGCGTGGGCAAGGAAGGTGGATCACTTAAGCCCAGGAGTTCAAGACCAGCCTGGGCAACACGGCAAAATCCCACCTTTAAACACAATACAAAAAAGTTAGCTGGGCACAGTGGCACCCACCCGTGGTCCCAGTTACTCAGGAAGCCGAGATGGGAGAATCGCTTGAGCCTGGGAGGTCAAGACTGCAGCGAACTGTGATCATGCCACTACATTCCAGCCTGGGCAACAGAGTGAGACCCCTTCTCAATTTTTAAAAAGTAGAAGAAAATCTCACATTCCACAAAATGGGAAAACGAGCTTAGAAACAAACCACTTGCAAGCAGTTTCAGGTAGCCAGTGCCATGGCAAGAACAATGACCATGTTTTGAAGACAACTCCAGCTGGCACTGAAGGCTGCCTAAAAGGACATGAAAAACACACCTCATACACCTCCCAAAAGAACCAAGCGACTTTTCAGTGTGGTAGTTTAAAGCTGCTCTATCAAATATGAAGCTTCATTTTGGCCCTCACTTTTCCTAATGTTACTAGTCCCTAAAATCCTGAATCTGGCAATACTGAATTAGCACACAAACAACAAGGACCGAAGACCAAGATGGTAACACTGAGGCCTGTGCCCTCCTCTGTCACTCCCAGCGCACAAATCTAAGGGAACAAGCCTGGCGCAATGGTGCTTGGAACTTGAGGAGAGAGGACGATCACCTCAACCCAGGAGTTCAAGGCCTCCCTAGGAAACATAGCAAGATCCTCTCTCTTTAAAAAAAATAAACTTTCCAATGAATAAGCTCAACAGTTCAAGACCTTAAATGCCACATTTCAAGAAGACTTCAAATATCGGTGTTTTTATGTCTTTTCATATTTTTTGAAGTAAAATGTTTGGAATTTCCTCTAAAACAAAGGGGGTGGGCCACAGTGTCACCAGAGAAAGCAAGGCTGGTGGTGTGCTGGTAGCTGTTGAAGGTGGCAAGCTTACACTGGGTTCCTTCTGATTGGTTTGGTTTTGTTTTGTTTTTTGGAGACAGTCTCGCACTGTCGCCCAGGCTGGAGTGCAGTGGCGCAATCTCGGCTCACTGCAACCTCTGCCTCAAATTGGGTTCTTTAAAAAAAAAAAAAATTTTTTTTGTTGTAAATAAGGGCCAATTACCTGACCACATGCAGATACACTTAACCAAGTGCCCACTTCCAGGGTTCAGTTAGTCCATCCCTAACCTTGGAAAAGCCTCGGCCTTTGCTCACAACAGGCCACCCAGCACTGCAGCAGACAGGGGCACTGTGTGGCTTTCCAGTTCTGTCACTGTTCCCCCACCCCAGGCCCCATGCACAGCCTTTACTTCCCCCATGGAACCCTGACTGCATCTAGGCGACAGCTGACCTCTGACCCCTCACCCATTTGTGAACTAGGCCAATGGATCTGACTTCCAGTAACATAGAACACCTCTGCTCCAGACCTAGGAGGGGAAAACAGGCCTGAAACTGGAAATCTAAATTTTAGCTGTATGTTCCATCCCCTCTTTTTGGGAACTAATGACATCCTCTCAAGCAGTAAAGCTGACTCCACTGGAATGGTATTGTTTAAGCCAGTGGGGGTGAGCAAGGTCAGAATGATCACACACAACGGGGGCAAGCACGCCACATGCACAGTGACCTGAGTCCCGCAACCTCCTCTCTCCCAGGTTCCTCAAACCCAGGATGTCTAGTCCCGCTTTTAAAACAGCCATCCTAGGAGAAACTACTAGAAGCCCTGGAGCTCCCCAGCACTCGTGGTTACCTAAATCAATTCAAATCTTCACGAGAAAAGTAAAAATCTCTTAGAAGGGCCCAAAATCCAGTAGGCATCAAAAACAAGTCACTTGAGTCCATACTGTGCTACCCTGAGGAGGATCCCAACACCCACTCCGCATTCCGGCATGCCCGCTCAGGGTCCTTCAGCAGCTCGCTGTCACTCACCATCCGACAGCACTTCATATGCCTCCGCTACTTGCTTGAATTTTCTCTCTGCTTCTTCTTTATTCTCAGGATTTTTATCTGGATGCCACTTCAGTGCCAGTTTCCGATATCTTGGAAAGAATAAAGGATATAGATCACATTCTAAATCCAGAAATCAACTATGCTTTTGAAACTAACATCATTAACCACGAGAATGGCTTCAGAGCTGCCAACTGGTGAGATGAATACTGGTTTTAACTGTAAAACCTCCCTTTCCTCTACAATGAAATACACAAAGTTCTAAAATCCAGATAGCCAGGCGTAGTGGCGTGCAGCCACAGATAGACCCAGCTACTCCAGAGGCTGAGGCGTGACAACTGCTTGAGGCCAGGAGTTCAAGGCTACAGTGAGCTATGATCACACCACTGCAGTCCAGCCTGGGCGACAGAACAAGACTGTCTCAAAATTAAAATTGTAAAAATACTCATTAAAGTAAGTTTTAGAATAAAAATCCTGATAGCATAATACAAACGAACCTCTAGAGATAGAAAAATAAAGATCACAGTGTCCACAACGTGGACTGACAGTGACAAGACTGAGCAAGTATGTGAAGTAAAGGAGAAAGGCCAGGCGTGGTGGCTCATGCCTGTAATCCCAGCACTTTGGGAGGTGGGCAGATCACCTGAGGTCAGAAGTTCGAGACCAGCCTGGCCAACATGGAGAAACCCCAACGCTACTAAAAATACAAAATTAGCCGGGCATTGTGGTACTTGACTGTAATCCCAGCTACTCAGGAGGCTGCGGCAGGAGAATCACTGGAACCTGGGAGGCAGAGGTTGTGGTGAGCCGAGATCGCACCATTGCACTCCAGCCTGGGCAACAAGAGCGAAACTCCGTCTCAAAAAATTTTTAAAAAGGGAAAAAAAGGCCTGGGTCACTGAGCAGCAAGATCCAACATCACCATTCATATCCTTCCATGTTCTGATTCCCAGGACCCTACTTCCTCAGCCAGCCCCACTACCTAGCTCATCTGTGTGCCAAAGGTGAATCACCTGCCACCCAACAGGCCAGGATCTCAGAATCTTTCAAACACCCTCTGTGCCAGATTCAAGATCTAAACAGAGTTAAAACACTGACTTCTACAAAGATTCTATGACCAAGGTCATATTCTGTTGCAGAGTTCCAACTGACCAAATAATTGCACGCTATTTAAATACAAAAAAAAAGGCCGGGTGCAGCGGCTCACACCTGTAATCCCAGCACTCTGGCAGGCCGAGGTGGGTGGATCACCTGAGGTCAGGAGTTCGAGACCAACCTGGCCAACATGGCAAAACCCCATCTCTACTAAAAATACAAAAAGCCGGACATGAAGGCACGCACCTGTAATCCCAGCTACTCAGGAGGCTGAGACAGAAGAATTGCTTGAACCCAGGAGAAAGAGGTTGCAGTGAGCCAACATCGTGCCACTGAACTCCAGGCTAGGTGACAGAGCGAGCCTCCGGCTCAACATGAATGCATGAATGAATGAATGAATGAATGAATGAATACAAAAAAATCCTCTAGTCTAATTAGCAAAACCTAAGCAGCATATATTCAAAAGGAGGGTAACGTTAAAAAAGAGAAGCAGCATACCCCTCAAAATTTCAGACTAGTATACTAATCTGACAGTGCTTTTAACACTAGGCAAGTTATTACTGTAAAGCTGTTGTGGCTCAATTTAACTTACAACATGTTCAACAAAACCTTGGCTTAACCATACTAAAATCTGATTAAAGCTGGAGTCCAGAATACTTAACAGTAATTTATGTCACTGTGGACCTAAACAAACATGTAGCAGCCGGGCGCAGTGGCTCATGCCTGTAATCTCAGCACTTTGGGAGGCTGAGGCAGGCAGATCACGAGGTCAAGAGATCGAGACCATCCTGGCCAACATGGTGAAACCCCGTCTCTATTAAAAATATAAAAATTAGCTGGGCATCATGGCAGGCGCCTGCAGTTCCACCTACTCGGGAGGCTAAGGCAGGAGAATCGCCTGAACCTGGGAGGCAGAGGTTGCAGTGAGCCGAGATCACGCCATTGAACTCCAGCCTGGGTGACATAGCGAGACACCGTCTCAAAAAAAAAAAAAAACGTGTAGCAGTGGATCAAATAACCCTAAATGTGCCAGAAATCCTCAGTCAAAAATAACAGACCATACAAAAGACAAAAGAGAAAAAATGATTAGTGTGCAGTACTACCTATCATCTAGTGTTCATATGAAAACTTGGCAATGGATGAGAATGCAGGACAAGATTCAACTGTGTATGCCCCAGTCATACACTACTAAAATATTTAAAAATCAAGGTGTAATACAACACGATATGCAAGTGTAAACAGTGCCAAATGACTTTGAATGTTGACCTTCAGATCTGTTGGACCTGCACACCAGTACTTCAGCACCAAGGAAGGAAGGCCCATGGTGTGTGACTCAAACCCAGGAAGAGTCTGGTATCTCAGGAGAGATGCAGAACAGGTGGCAGCCACAGACCTTTAAGTCTTCAATCAAAAACTGTCAACACACAAAGCCAAGGGTACACAAGATAGACTAACAGCACGCCCCCATAGCTATCATTCTGCTCATTTTTAAAAGTCAGCATTTATACAACTGTACACTCAGGAGTGCAGGAAATCTCACTGCTTTTAAAGGTAACAGCCTTTTCTAAATTCCTACTTCAACGTCATGCTAGAGACACTCAGCAACCTGTATGTTCTCAGAAACAACTAAAACCAATCTACTCTCTAATGACCTCTATCATAAAGGTATGTAATTTCCATCATTACTGAAAGCACTGTACACATATTATGCTTATCCATTGATAAGGGCTGGCTATGTCCCCACCCAAATCTCAACTTGAGTTGTAACTCCCAGAACTCCCAGGTGTTATGCGAGGGACCCAGGGGGAGGTAACTGAATCATGGGGACTAGTCTTTCCCGTGCTATTCTCCTGATAATAAGCCTCACAAGACCTGATGGGTTTATAAGGGGTTTCCGCTTTTGCTTCTTCCTCATTCTCTTGCTGTCGCCATGTAAGAAGTGTCTTTCGCCCTCCTCCATGATTGTAAGACCTCCCCAGCCATGTGGAACTGTAAGTCAAATTAAACCTCCTTTTCTTCCCAGTCTCAGGTACGTCTTTATCAGCAGCGTAAAAACAGACTAATACATCCATTAACTTATTCGAGAGGAGTAAGGTATTCCCAACTGTCTTCGTCTTATAATCTGTCAAGTATGCCTGGCTGTTAACATTACTGATAAGAATAGTGTGAGCCTCAAGTGTGCAGCACAGGCTTCCTCACAGTGTGGGAAACCTCACTCTACTAGTGACAGCATCAGGGCCTGCCTGACCTCTCCTCAGTAGACTGCTTCTACTAGGTTCCTCGGCAGAGGTTTCAAATAACCTTCAGGCAACGTCAGCCATCCTGACTTGGCTTTTTTGAGACAGGGTCTCGGCTTGGTTGCCCAAGCTGGAACACAGTGGCACGAACATAGCTCACTGCAGCCTCAACCTCCTGGGCTCAAGCAATTCTCCTGCCTCAGCCTCTGGAGCAGTTGGGACTACAGGCATGTGCCACCACACCCAACTATTTTTTTTTGGTCAAGACAGTATCTCATTTTGTTGCCCAGGCTGGTCTCAAACCCCTGGGCTCCAGTGACCCTCCCACCTAGGCCTCTCGAAGTGCTAGGATTAGAGGTGTGAGCCACTTGCCTGGCCGTAATTTAGCATTTTAAAATGAACTATCTCAGCTACACACAGTGGCTCACAAATATAACCGCAGCAATCTGGGAGGCCAAGGCAAGAGAATCGCTTGAGCCCAGGAGTTTGAGACCAGCCTGAGCAACATATTGAGACTCTGTATTTTTATTAAAATTTAAAAATTAAGCAAAATGAACTATTTGGCCCCCAAAAAAGTTAATTCTATCTTCAGACCCACTAAGTCTAGCAGTATAGACACTCCATTATTTATTAACAATTTTTTTAAGTTGGTTCCAACTATTCCAGGCTAACTGCTCTCTAGCTATGTTAAAATCTAACAATCTGTTTCATGACGTCTTTGCTGTATACTCTACATTCACAGTTAACACCTCATTAATTAAACAGACTAAGGTTACCGTGAGAGCCTTCTGTGGCTGAACTGCCCTCCTCACAATGGCCAGGCCCTGGTCACACAGATGCAGGTACCACAGGCAGCGCTGCAGTTCTCGAACTTTCATATGAATCAGAAGGGACTCCAGTGGCATAGGCCGGAGCCCAACAATCACAACAAGAAAATTTGAGTGCTATGTACTCTGGGCCCCTGCCTTCCAAAGGGGCACTCAAGAATGCCAAGTCAGCTCCATTTTCAAAGTCCAATGTAAAAGATGTTTGGGATTATCTCACATCCTCAGTGAAACAATCATCAACTTCAGATATAAACCAAGTGACTGACTAATGAAGAGCAAAGCCCAGGCCTAGACTGCAAATGCTCGTTAACTGCTCTGTCAAATTAAACTATGTGGCATTCAAAGACTGGTATACTACATTAAAAGCCATTTTCATAGGCAATAGAAGAAGTTATACTACTCAATTACCAATGTACCACTGTGAAAATGCATTACCACAGAAATAAAACTACTTACGCCTTTTTAATATCCTCGGGTGAGGCATGTCTCTGCACGCCTAGAACTTCATAGTAATCCACCATGTTTTACGAGATTGTTGGAATGGGTCCTGCAAGTAAAAACAGGTGGTCAGTGATGAGGCTGCTGGGGATGGGCAAATCACGGTGGTGGGATGGGTCTGGAGAGGGAGGAAGGGGTGGTGTCACCTTAGCACCTACTGGCCTACAGAGGGAACTTCCACTAGAGCTAACCACTAGCCTGCTGGGCCAAGACCTTGTCTGGGAACTGGTTCCCAGATTCATGCCCTAAGACCCTTCTAGAGACGGGGAAAAAAGCTCTGAAATAGCCTAATAATAGCCTAAACTAAACAACAGGTGACTCTAGGCAGAGACTCCGTGCCACTTGACCACTAGCTGACAAAGTCTGTCATGTGTTCCTAGACACGGTCTGTGCTCAGGGAACGTCAGTTACCTCTTTCATTCAATGCATTCCTGTGCCAGGCATCGGGCAAGACCACGGGGCTCCAAGGACAAACACGTTGTCCCTGCCCTGAACTAACTTCACATGGGAACAATAGAAAGCCATCCTTCCACCATTCTGTCACCCACACGAGGGAACAGCAAAAGCCCTCCCACACATCTCCCAAGAGAGAAAGACCTTTGACTACACAGCAGTTAGCGTTAACTTTACCCTCTGGTTCCAAGCTCCCATCCATTCCTCTACCAAAGAAATACAATATTGCCCTGTTGACCACACTAATTAGATAGTATCACTACCGAATGGAAGGTGGAAAACCAGCAGCAGAGATTCATTCTCTAAGTTCCCCTATGGATTACGTGGTTCAACCTTGTTACTTCCCCGGGCAGTAAAATGTACAATGAAACCCATTCTGCTTCTGCCAGCTCTAATGGAGGATGTAGCCTCTGGTCCCACAAGGAGGAACTACGCACACTGCTGCTTTAAGATGTGACGTTTCCTAACCAATTTACTTCTTTCAATTTGACTGGCTAACCTACTCTTTTAAAACAACAATCAAGAATCTGCACAGCCGGGCGCGTGGCTCACACCTGTAATCCCAGCGCTTTAGGAGGCCGAGGGAGGTGGATCACTTGAGGTCAGGAGTTCGAGATCAGCCTGGCCAACATGGTGAAATCCTGTCTCTACTAAAAATACAAAAATTAGCCGGCATCGTGGTGCACACCTGTAGTCCCAGCTACTCGGGAGGCTGAAGCAGAATTGCTTGAACCCAGGAGGCAGAGACTGCAGTGAGCTGACATCGTGCCACCAGACTCCAGCCCATGCCACCGGACTCCAGCCCGGGCGACGGAACGAGGAAGGAAGGAAGGAAGGAAGGAAGGAAGGAAGGACGGAAGGAAGGACGGAAGGAAGGACGGAAGGAAGGAAGGAAGGAAGGAAGGAAGGAAGGAAGGAAGGAAGGAAGGACAACAGTATCACAAAGCCACAAAGACACATCTGTGGAAACTTCAACTCTTGGTTTTTGTTTTTTGTTTTTTTTTTTAATTGAGACAGGGTCTCACTTTGTTGCTGATCTTGGTCTCAAACTCCTGGGCTCAAGGATTCTTCCCACCTCAGCCTCCCAAAGTGCTGGGACTGCAGGCATGAGCCACCAAACCTGGACCTAAAACTCTTGTTTTTATGGAAGTCCTTTCATCAAAAAAACAAAAAACTATAATGGAAATCAGGATCTATTTAGATGTATATAAACTACATTATCAATTCGACAGAATGACTAACATCAAACTTAGAAAAGAAATGTACATCTTCAAATACATGACAGCAAAGATTCTAGGTGTTAAGTTTAATATGCCAACTACAAGATACGGAATTTAGAGTATCAAAATGTTCTTTTTCTTAAGTAGATTTGTTCCCAGTATTTTTAAAATTACAACTTAGAAAAAAACTTGTTCCTATTTTCTTGTAATTATTCCAATTTAACGTTATCAGCTTTGCTGGATACATAATAAAACAAAGATAAAATATTAATTGGAGAATGTGCCTAAGGGTATACCACTGCACAGTTCTTTCCACTCCATTTGGAAATAATCAATATAAAATATTAGGGACTTCATGTAATAAGTTACAAGGTAAGGAACCCCTAGTTATGAAAGATTTCCTCCCTGGTAGTTAGAATGACATGGCAACATACAGGATTCAAGCCACACAGGTCCGACCAGTCTCTAGAGAAAAGACAGGAGTCGACTCCCGTAAGTAGGAACACCGCAATCTTCTTTCAGTAACTAAAAACCTGCCCATCAGTCACAGCACACAAGACAGAGCAGGCAACAAGCAGCAGGAAAGCCAGCGTTTCTTCACGTCTCCCTCATTCCCTTGGCTGAGTGACTACGTGAGGTTATTTTCACTCCAGCTCCAGTTTGCTGCCAACGATCTGAGGTGGCATTTTGGCAGTGATGCCAGTGGCAGTACCTAGCAGAAACAGAGGGAAGCTGCTAATCCACTCTCACTAACAGAACAAGAGCAGAAATCTCAGTACCAGTCTCCCCATGCCAGACATCTGGATCATCCCCTCTGAGCACTATATATAGCAAGAGGCCATTCAATGTGCCACACACCAAGCACACATGCCCTCGCAAGTCCAAACAGCTCATCTTCTATCTGCACTTGTGTGCCTGTGTTTGTGCATATGGTGGTGGGAATGGGAGGAAGACACCTCCCGAGGCAGTGAGCACAGAGGTGAGAACGTGGGTGTGGGTGAGGGCCGCGTGGCCAGCTGGGGAATGCTGTGATTTACTTCACCACCAAAAACACTCTCACTGAAAGCCTGCTCTGTCATGTACGTGCAGCATCCACTAACAGCACTCGGTATTCATGCAGCACTCCATCAAATGGCTAGTTTCCTTACCAAATGAAGGCTACCCTACAAGGAAAGCATAAAGGCAGTATGAGAGCCACCCCCTGGAGTGGATGCCCTCACCTCTGCGCTCCTCCTGCACTGCTTACCCTTAGCCGCTCCACTTCCTTGCCTGGACTCATCCCCCAGTCCTGCTGCAGCTCCCCACTGCCTGCCACTGGAGGCTCTTATTTAAGGTCAGTAAAAAACCCACAGCACCACCCACAGACGTTTCCCAGCTCTCCTTGTCCAACTTCTCTCTCCATCTGCCTTCCACCACCAGCTTTCACCCCTCCACTGGCCCGCTGAAGAAACCACGGGAATGCTGGCCGGGTGCGGTGGCTCACGCCTGTAATCCCACCACTTTGGGAGGCCGAGGCGGGCAGATCACGAGGTCAGGAGATCAAGACCATCCTGGCTAACACGGTGAAACTCCATCTCTACTAAAAATACAAAAAATTAGCCAAGAGAGGTGGCGGGTGCCTGTAGTCCCAGCTACTCGGGATGGTGAGGCAGGAGAACGGCGTGAACCCCGGGAGGCGGAGCCTGCAGTGAGCCGAGATCGCGCCCGCGCCACTGCACTCCAACCTGGACGACAGTGAGACTCCATCTCAAAATAAATAAATAAATAAATAAAAGAAACTACGGGAACGCTAAAGGCTCAAGGCCAACTCTCATCCTACATGTGGGTTTTCATCCTTTCCCATTACATAAATATAATTTACTTAGCAATGAGTCCCAGATGTAAGCTCCAAGCTCAGGCCTCTCCTGGGCACTTCAGACACAAATAGACAGATGACTACTTGACACAGCCACTTGGATGTCCAGCAGACATCCTAAATAGAACACGACCAAAATTTAACTCTTAATCCTCCCCACCTCCTACATACCTGGTCATTTTCTAGTAAATTCTACCTTGAGCTCCGAGGTGCCTGTGAAATGTTCACCTTCGCCAACGTCACTACACTCAGCACACAGACACAAATAAATCACAAAGTTCTGCCGAGTCTACCTCTGAAATAAATGAAATTCATTCACTGTTCTTTATCTTCACCAGCATCATTATCCCTTACCCTGACCTACAGCAGCCTCTAATTTCATCCTGCCCTGTGCTCTCAGAGATGTCAGCTTATAAATGTGCAGATATTGGCTGGGCACGGTGGCACACACCTGTAATCCTGGCACTTTGTGAGACCAAAGTGGGAGGACTCCTTGAGCCCAGGAGTTGGAGACCAGTTCGAAAGCGTGCCACAGCACTCCAGCTTGGGGTGAGAGCGAGACCTGTCTCCAAAAAAATGAAAATAATTTTTTTAAAAAAAAAATTAAAACTAAAAATGAATAGCTGGGCACAGCGGCTCACACCTGTAATCCCAGCACTTTGGGAGGCCAAGGTGGGTGGATCACCTGAGGTCGGGAGTTCGAGACCAGCCTGATCAACATGGAGCAACCTTGTCTCTACTAAAAATACAAAATTAGCCGGGCGTGGTAGCGCATGCCTGTAATCCCAGCTACTCAAGAGGCTGAGGCAGGAGAATCGCTTGAACCCAGGAAGCGGAGGCTGCGGTGAGCCGAGATCGCACCATTGCACTCCAGCCTGGGCAACAAGAACAAAACTCCATCTCAAAAAAGTCGAAAAAAACAAACAAAAATGAATAAATGTGTAGATTATTATCACAACAGATACAATCTGTGGTCCTGCCCTGGACAAAACCAGCTATAAAGTACAGGTCAATTCAGAATTAAATTGAAATAAAAATTTACTATACTGGCTAATGCTAGATCAAGCAAGAAAATTTAAAAAGCTATCCAAAATCACAGACTCAGGCCAGGCGCAGTGGCTCACTCCTATAATTCCAGCACTTTGGGAGGCCAAGGCAGGAGGACTGCTTGAGCCCAGGAGTTCAAGATCAGCCTGGGAAACACAGTGAGAACTCTGTGCAACAAAAAAAAAATTTAAGTAGCTGTGCATGGTGGCATGTGTCTGTCATCCCAGCTACTCAGGAGGCTGAGGTGGGAGGATCACTTGAGCCAGGAAGGTTGTCAAGGCTACAGTGAGTCAGGACTGCACCGCGGCATTCCAGCACAGGCAACAGAACGAGACCCTATCTCCCATCCAAGCACTAACCAGGCCCAACTTATCACAAACAAACAAAAAAAAATACATACACACACACACACACACACACACACACACACACACCCCGGTCAAGAAAAACAACGGGACAGACAACCTGTAACTAAGAGTAAATGACAACTAAATACAATCTGGGTTCCTCGGATGGTTTCTAGAACAGGAAAAGGACATTAGCAGAAAAACAGGTGGAATATGAATAAAGTCCACATTTAACAATACTGTAGCGGTGTCAACTGCTTACTTTTGAGAAATTCACCACAGTTACCACAGTTACAGAAAGATTAAGGGAAGTTGGGTGAATGGTATACAGGAAAATCCCTGTACTATCTTTACAACTTTTCTGTAAATCTAAAACTACCTCAAAATAAAGTTTAAAAACTTCAAAAAGACGAAGTGTACATCAAAAGGACACAGAAACCAAACTGGACCGGGTGCGGCAGCTCACACCTGTAATCTCAACACTTTAGGAGCCCGAGGCGGACAAACTGCATGAGCCCAGCAGTTCAAGACCAGCCTTGGCAACACGGCGAAACCCTGTCTCTACGAAAAATTTTAAAAATTAAAAAAAAAAAAATTTGATAGGGCAATTCCTGACCTTAACGAGAATGTGGGCTTCAAAGTGAATTGACTGAATTGAATTTAAAACCTACATTTAAAATTCTTGAGTTCATGTCACTCTAAAAAGCCAGCAAGCACTAAGAATCAAGGATTTACCACCCTGCCTTCCCTGTACAGGGAAGCAGTAATGTTCACAGCGTAGGAACTTGGAAGTGGAACTGGGTGTTTATCGTAAACAAGCCGTGGTTCCTTGGAAAACTACCTACTCACTGTGGTTGCTTCCCCACCCTGTGAAGTGGGTGACATCCACTTCCATGGTTGTTTACAGATGATGCTCTCCAAGGGAAGAAAGCCCTGAGCTCCATCTAGAATATCCTAAGTGCTACCTGCTTGTGATGAAGTAGAAAGGAACCAGTAATACACGGAGTGGATGGTCTCACACAATGAGGAAGTGGGAAGGAAAGAGAAAAGCAGGCAGGAGCGATGGGCACACAGACAGCCGCCTGAGCACAGTCAGGAGAACTCATCTGCAGAGATGCCACACCCTCACCAGGGAGCCAGCAGGAATAGTCAAAGGACCTCCAAATCACCCCCACCCCCATCTTCATACCACCTCATTCCACATTCAACTGAATAAATATTCAGAGAGTAATCCACCATCAAATACACACTGCATGATTAAATAAAGCCTTCAGCAATACTGAAGATACTCCTAGCTTACTTGGAGTAAAAAAGAAAATTATATATATATACATATATATGTATATATTTTGAGACAGAGTCTTGCTCTGTCGCCAGAGTAGAGTAGCACAATTTTGGCTCACTGCAACCTCCAACTCCCTGGTTCAAGCGACTTTCCTGTCTCAGCCTCTGGAGTAGCTGGGATTACAGGTGCCCACCACCACGCCTAGCTAATTTTTCTATTTTTAGTAGGGACGGGTTTCACCATGTTGGCCAGGATGGTCTCGATCTCCTGACCTCGTTATCCGCTCACCTCAGCCTCCTAAAGTGCTGGGAATACAGGCGTGAGCCACAAATTGGAGTAAATATTTTAAATTGAGAAGTTTTGTTTTTTTGTTTGTTTGTTTGTTTGTTTTTGAGATAGTGTCTCGCTCTCTGACGCCCAGGCTGGAATGCAGCAGCACAATCTCGACTCACTGAAACCTCCCCACCTCCCGGGTTCAAGCAATTCTCCTGCCTCAGCCTCCCAGCTAGCTGGGACTACAGGCATGTGCCACCACACCGACTAATTTTTTGTGGTTTTTTTTGTTTTGTTTTTTGGGTTTTTTTTAAAGTAGACACAGGGTTTCACCATGTTGGCCAGGCTGGTTTCAAACTCCTGACCTCAGGTGATCTGTCCACCTTGGCCTACCAAAGTGCTGGGATTATGGGCATACACCATATCCAGCCAAACAAGTTTTGTGGTTTTTTTTGTTGTTGTTGTTGTTGTTGTTGTTGTTTTGAGACAGAGTCTCACTATGTCACCCAGGCTGGAGTGCAGTGGCACAATCTCAGCTCACTGCAAACTCCACCTCTAGGGTTCACACCATTCTCCTGCCTCAGCCTCCTGAGGAGCTGGGACTACAGGCATCCACCACCACACCTGGCCAATTTTTTTTTTGTATTTTTAGTAGAGACAGGGTTTCACCATGCCAGCCAGGATGGTCTCGATCTCCTGACCTTGTAGATCCGCCCTCCTCGGCCTCCCAAAGTGCTGGGATTACAGACATGAGCCACCGTGCCCGGCCCACAACAGTTTTTTAATAGAGTTTTTGGTAAAACCATGAGTTGGGAGACAGTCAGGCTTAGTTCTTCCAACTACTATTGACCTTTAACATTCTTTTCAAAGACTCAGAACAAAAACAGTGAGACAGTATTCAAAGACAGGACAGGTATGGTGGCTCAGGCTGAGGGGGGCGGATCACCTGAGGTAGAGAGTTCGAGACCAGCCTGACCAACATGGAGAAACTCTGTCTCTACTAAAAATACAAAATTAACTAGGCATGGTGGCACATTCCTGTAATCCCAGCTACTCAGGAGGCTGAGGCAGGAGAATTGCTTGAACCTGGGAGACGGAGGCTGCAGTGAGCCGCGATTGCACCATCGCACTCCAGCCTGGCCAACAAGAGCGAAACTCTGTCTCAAAAAAAAAAAAAAGACTGGACAAAAGTTAAGCAGCTGGCTAATGTCTGGCATATGCTACCACAGAATCTCAGAATTAAAAAGTTGTTGTCTCTGGCCAGGTCTGGTGGCTAACACCTGTAACGCCAGCTAAGACTCGGGAGGCTGAGGCAGGAGACTCACTTGAACCTGGGAGGTGGTGGTTGCAGTGAGCCAAGATCGCACCACTGCACTCCAGCCTGGGAGACAGAGTAAGACTCCATCTCAAAAAAAAATAAAAAAAAAAAGGTTGTTGTCTCCAAGTACTTCGAGAAAAGTGCCATATTGGGCGTCTTCCTCAAATTCTTATTAAAGGACCTTTATATCACCAAGTTCAAGCTCTGACTCATAAGGCATCCACACTTCAATAACCACTAATTAGTGCAACCTTTCTCTGCCTGAACAAACGCCAGTGACCGGAACTCATTATCTCCAAAGTCAAGCCCTGAATTTTAGTTAACTACAGGAATTCTTCCTTATGCTGGGGAGCGGGGGTCTCCAAGGAATTTTCACCCTTTGGTCCTTATTCAAATTATGCGATACAGGTTCAATTTCTCTTCCGCATAGTTACCTTTGGATATTTGGGGGCTTTATCTTGGCAAGTTTTTCTGTCTCTAGGCAAATATACCCTTACAATTCTTCACAGTTCCTCCTGAGAAACCCTGACCTACCTGGTCCCTCCCCTCTGAGCAAGCTCCAATGTCGTAATGTCTTAGTGCCCCCAGTCCAACACAGATACTCCAGGGACAGTCCAATTGCCACCAACAAAAGATAACAAGACCCACAGCTCTCTTTCTGATCAGGACGGGAAAATGGACCAGGATGCTACAATTAACAATAAAATTCGGGCAGGATGCAATGGTTCATGCCTGTAATCCCAGTGTTCTGGGGACAGAGAATGAGGGAACGCTTGAGCTAAGGAGCTCAAGACCAGCCTGGACAACAAAGGGAGACTCTGAATCTACTAAAAATAAAATAATTAGCCGGGCGTTGGCCAGGCGCGGTGGCTCATGTCTGAAATCCCACCACTCTGGGAGGCTGAGGCGGACAGATCACCTGAGGCCAGGAGTTCGAGACCAGCCTGGCTGACATGACGAAACCGTCTCTACTAAAAATACAAAAATCAGCTGGGTGTGGTGGCATGAACCTGTAATCCCAGTTACTCAGGAGACTGAGGCATGAGAATTGCTTGAACCCGGGAGGCGGAGGTTGCAGTGAGCTGAGATCATGCCACTGCACTCCAGCCTGGATGACAGAGTGAGACTCCGTCTCAAAAAATAAAATAATTAGCCAGGCATGATGGCACAGCGCATGGTCCCAGCTACTCGGGAGGCTGAGGTGGGAGGATGGCTTGAGCCCAGGAGGTCTAGGCTGCAGTGAGCCGTGATTTTACCACTGCACGCCAACCTGGGTGACCGAGCAAGACTCTGACTCAAAAAAAAAAAGTAATAAAACTCTGCTAAGTCCCCTGGTCTTTTCTAACCTGGGGTCACGGTCCTGCCTTCCCATTACCTTTGGGCAGGTGAGACTCTCAAGGGAAGGGAGGGTCACACCTTGCCCAACTGTTTCATTTTAGTGAGACTGGCCCCATTAGTCAACCAATCAAAGCCTTCCTAATGTTAAAAGAATATTGTCATTCTGATTGAATTTAATCATACAAACTTACTATTTATAACACACACTATGCTAGCTTTGGAAATAATAAAAGTCATCAAGTTTAGTGGAAGACAGGCATGTAGACAAATATGCACATGGCCGTTGCAGGGTCTCACACCTGTAATCCCAGCACTACTGGGAGGCCGAGGCTGGAAGACTGCTTCAGCCCAGGAATTCCAGATAAGCGTGAGCAACAACACAGCAAGCCCTCATCTACACAAAAAATAAAAAAAAATTTAAAAAGACAAATATGCACAGAGTGCTGGGGAGATGGTATAGAGACCATGAGGAAAGGAAAAATTAACACTGACATTTTACTGACGAAATGAAAAACAAGAGTAAGCTCCCCAGGCAGAGAACAGAGGCAAAAGTATTCCACACACAAGTAACAGCGTATGCTCAGGCAAAATAACGACAGCACACAGCCCATGTGGGACGCAGCAAGTTAGTAGGGTGGAACGTCAGTGTGAGGGTGCTGGGAGTAAGAGGGAGGGGAGGGAGTCAGGACAAGAAAGAACAGGGCGCAACTGAAGAATTTTACAACTAAGGAATTAGGACTCTTCCACTGTAAGTAGAAGAGTTAAGCGGTGGTGTGAACTCAACAGGAGTATGTGGAAAGATAACTTCTAACTACAAGGGAGATGGACTTAAGAGAGTGATGACTGGACGGCAGGGTTACGAAGATGCTCCAAACGATATGTGCGGGAATCAAAAACGACAGGAATGCAACCAAGCGCAGACAGGAGAGCTATTTAGGAAACTGTTTAGGGTCCTTCTCCAAGGCAAGAAAACTTCACCAACAGGGTTCCATGCACATCCACAAACGCTAGGACTGGTGCAGAAATCTTCCATTCCTATTTAAAATATGGCAATATTAAAAAATAAGACTGGGCGCAGTGGCTCATGCCTGTAATTCCAGCACTTTGGGAGGCCAAGACGGGTGGATCACTTGAGGTCAGGAGTTCAAGACCAGCCTGGCCAACATGGCGAAACCCCATCTCTACTAAAAATACAAAAAATTAGCTGGGCAAGGTGGTGGGCGCCTGTAATCCCAGCTACTCAGGAGGCTGAGGCAGGAGAATCGCTTGAACCCGGGAGGCAGAGGTCACAGTGAGCCAAGATCACGCTACTGCACTCCAGCCTGAGCCACAGAGCAAGACTCCATCTCAAAAAAATAAAATAAGGCCAGGCATGGTGGCTCACGCCTGTAATCCCAGCACTTTGGGAGGCTGAGGTAGGTGGATCACCTGAGGTCAAGAGTTCAAGACCAGCCTGACCAACATGACGTAACACCATCTCTACTAAAAATACAAAAATTAGCTAGGCATGGTGGTGTGCACCTGTAATCCCAGCTACTCGGGAGGCTGAGGCAGAAGAATCGCTTGAGCCCGGGAGGCAGAGGTTGGAGTAAACCAAGATCACACCACTGCACTCCAGCCAGGGTGACAGAGCGAGACTCCAACTCAAAAAAACAAATAAATAAACAAACTTCTTATAACCTGAATGACAACAGGTAATTTTAAACGTGACATGCTAATCATCAAGTCATATGATGCTTAATTAGTTTACTAATAATTGAGGCTTAATTATTAGCCGATTAAGGGGGAAAGGAGCTGGGGCAACAATGTGTTACTGACTCACGTGTCACACATTCTTACAGGTACGTATTCCATCACAGTCATTCTGTGAGTTACTGTTTGTAGGTGAGGAAACGGGGGCTCAAAGGAATTAAGTAAATGTCAATGTTCCAGCAAGTTCAAAACCCAAGTCTGAGCCGAGCACAGTCACGTGCACCTAAAGTCCCAGTGACTCAGAAGGCTGAGGCAGGAGGATGGCTTCAGCCCAGGAGTCTGAGTTCAACCTGGGCAACATACCAAAGACACTGCATCTTTAAAAATAGTAAGAATCCAAGTTTGCCTCCAGAACTCATGCTAGCCTGTATCGTGGCACTATGCTGTCAATGTACACAATTCCAACCCTCAAGGCTATGGGACATTCTCTCACCAGTACTTGAAATCTCAAAATTACCTTTTTAGTTTTCATCAAATGCCAGTAAGACTAACAAATTTAGAATATAAATTAAATACAAATACGCATTACAGAAACAACAAAATGAAAATAGCTGGCCGGGCGCGGTGGCTCATGCCTGTAATCCCAGCACTTTGGGAGGCCGAGGCAGGCGAATCACGAGGTCAGGAGATCAAGACCATCCTAGCTAACACGGTGAAACCCCGTCTCTACTAAAAATAGAAAAAATTAGCCGGGCGTGGTGGCGGGCGCCTGTAGTCTCAGCTACTTGGCAGGCTGAGGCAGGAGAACGGTGTGAACCCGAGAGGTGGAGCTTGCAGTGCGCCGAGATCGCACCACTGCACTGCAGCCTGGGCGACAGAGCAAGACTCCATCTCAAGAAAACAAGAAAAAAAAGAAAATAGCTGAAGGTCTAGAAAGAGAAATCCACGTGTCTCCAAGGAAACCTGCAGAGCTGGCTGAAGTGCTGATGCTGCAACAATCCCCACTGTTTGCTGCAAGCTCACTCCTTACTGCTTCAGTCATCACTGATGTAAGACACAATTTAAAATTTGACAAACTCCATGAAAGGTTACCTGCATTCAAATTTTTTTATTAACCTCAGAATTTCAAGGCTACCTATACATTTCTATCAGTATTTCCCTATAGAAGTATTTTTGGTAACACTATCTTTTTTTTCCTCAGACCTCTCAAAAACAGTGTTTAAAAAAAACTGATAAAACTATATATTAAATATCCAACTGTGTATTAGATGATAAAGCAGCCTGAAGCTGTAGAAATACTAATGCATTCCAAAACAATTTTAAGCAAAAAGTTGCCTAATCAAGATATAAAACTAGGTACCAATTAGCATTATTTGATACATACTTGGACGATTTCCCTAGTCACAGAGAAACTAAGTTGTATCTTTAACTTTTTTTTTTTTTTTTTTTTTACTACTCCTTGCAGAGCAGGGCTACCCCATAGGCAGTGTGCCCGGAGTAGCCTAATATCATTTAAGTGTAAAATACATGGATTCATTTCTTAAAAGACACCATTTGTGGCAATAAAACATTTTAACTGGCCTTCATCTCCCTAAGGTTGGCCCTGAATCCTTCTGGCCCGCCCAGCACTGTGAGGATGAGCACAGAGGACAAAGCTCCTCTACTTCCCTCTTCTCCTGGCCCGTGTGTTCAATGCACATTACAGAAAACAGGTGATCCCAGAAAAATGTGGGCCCTCAGGAGGACTGGAAGGCACACTCAAGCTGCCTTCCCTGCCCAGCGAGAGCCTGGACTCCAGCCCTCCACCCTACAGAAGCTCAGCCAGGAAAAACCAGCTTCCCTCACCAAGAAACCAGTGCATCACCTGCATTTTAAAATAATATACTAAATCAAAAGAAGTAATTTCTACAGCAGATCACTCACATCAGAGCTCTACAAGCATAGGTGTCCATTAGAACCCCACTTGGCAAAAACCTTTTTAAAACCATGCTGCTCAAAAGACTCCATAAGCCAAATGCAGCTATTTAAATCTGAAGTCATTAAAATTATACACAATTTAAAATTTGGCCCCTCAGCAATCTTTGTTTGGATATGACCCCCAAAAGCACAAGGAACAAAAGCCGAAACAGACAAGTGGGATTACATCACACTGAAAAGCTTCTAGACAGCAAAGACACAGGAGTGAAACAACCTTGGAAATGTGCAGAAGGATCACTTGAGCCCAAGAGCTTGAGACCAGCCTGGGCAACACAGTAAGACACCATCTCTACAAAAAGATAAAAAAAATTAGCTGAGTGGGGTGGCACATGCCTGTACTCCCAGCTATGCAGGAGGCTGAAATGGCAGGATCACTTGAGCGCAAGAGATCAAGGATGCTGTGAGCCATGTCATGTCACTGCACTCCAACTTGGACAAGAGACAGGGCAAGGCCCTGTCTCAGAAAAAAACAAAATATATAAAAAATAAAAATTTTAAGCCAGGCGCAGTGGCTCACGCCTGTAATCCCAGCACTTTGGGAGGCTGAGGCGGGTGGATCACCTGAGGTCAGGAATTCAAGACCAGTCTGGACAACATGGTGAAATCCTGTCTCTACAAAAAATACAAAAACTAGCCAGGTGTGGTGGCGGGCGCCTGTAATCCCAGTTACTTGGGAGGCTGAGGCAGGAGAATCACTTGAACCTGGAAGGCAGAGGTTGCAGTGAGCCGAGACCACTCCATTGCACTCTAGCCTGGGCAACAAGGGCGAAACTTCATCTCAAAAAATAAAATAAATAAAAATAAACAAAAAACTTTAAAGTTAAAAATGATAAAATAAAAGTGACAGTGCTGTAAAGTAGCACTTTAAAAGAAATCACAGCTGGGTACAGTAGCTCATGCCTGTAATCCTAACACTTTGGCAGGCTGAGGCAGGGGGATCACTTCAGCTCAGGAGTTCAAGACCACGCTGAGTAACACAGCAAAATCTTGTCTCTACGAAATATAAAAACTCAGTAGGGTGTGGCAGTGTGCACCTGTAGTCCCAGCTACTGGAAGTGGCTGAGGCAGGAAAATCACTTGAGCCCAGGCAGTCGATGCTAGTGAGACGTGAACGCACCAATGCCCTCCAGCCTACGTAACGGAGCAAGACCCTGTCACAAAAATAATAAATTTTTTTTTAAATAAAAAATAAAAAAACAAATAATTTCAGGCTGGAAGGGAATTTGCGTAGAGCAGGAAGATATTCTCTAACTACAAAATTAACTTTTTTTTTTTTTTGAGTTTGAGTCTCACTCTGTTGCCCAGGCTGGAGTGCAGCAGCACAATCTCAGCTCACTGCAACCTCCACCTCCCTGGTTCCAGCGATTCTCCTGCATCAGCCTCCCGAGTACCTGGGACTACAGGTGTGTCCCACAATGCCTGGCTATTTTTTTTTTTTTTTGAGACGGAGTCTCACTCTGTCACCCAGGCAGAGTGCAGTAGAGTGCAGTAGAGGGATCTCGGCTCACTGCAAGCTCCGCCTCCCGCGTTCACGCCATTCTCCTGCCTCAGCCTGCTAAGTAGCTGAGACTACAGGCACCTGTCACCACGCCCAGCTGATTTTTGTATTGTTTTAGTAGAGATGGGGTTTCACCATGCTAGCCAGGATGGTCTCAAACTCCTGACCTTGTGATCTGACCACCTTGGCCTCCCAAAGTACTGGGATTACAGGTGTGAGCCACCACACCCGGCCCATAATTAACATTTCTAATAACAATTATGAAACTTCTTTAAACTATTAACTAGGTCCTACTGTCTATTAAGGAAGCCATAGAAAACTTTTCAATTAAGAAATTAAGAAAAAATATTTCTTAGGAAAACTCGGTTTGTTAATTTCTGCAATTTCCAAAAGCAATACATCTAAATCAAGTTTAAAAAAACGAAAAATCTCTATTAAAACCATGAAAAAAATTAGCCTAATCGCCATTAATCAAAAATAACCTTCTCCAATAAATTCAATGACCTCTAAGTTTAGGACTTTTAAAAAAACACGTCACATAAAGATTAGGCGTGGGTAGCTCATGCGTATAATCCCAGCACTTTGGGAGGCCATGGCAGGTGGATCACCTGGGGTCAGGAGTTTGAGAACAGCATGGCCAACGTGGTGAAACCCCGTCTCTACTAAAAATACAAAACCCAGTCAGACGTGGTGGCGCCTGTAGTTCCAGGTGAGGCAGGAGAACTGCTTGAACCCGGGAGAGTTTGCAGTGAGCTGAGATCACACCACAGCACTCCAGCCGGGGCAACAGAGCAAGACTCCATCTCAAAAAAAAATAGTGGTTTCTAAATTCATCTGAGGCCAGGTGAGGTGGCTCACGCCTGTAATCCCAGCACTTTGGAGGGCCGAGGCACGCAGATCACCTGAGGTGTTCAAGACCAGCCCGGCCAACATGGCAAACCCCTTTCTCTACTAAAAATACAAAAATTAGCCAGGCATGGTGGTGAGCGCCTGTAGTCCCAGCTACTCGGCAGCCTGAGGCAGGAGAATTGCTTGAACCTGGGAGGTGCAGGCGCAGTGAGCCAAGATAGTGCCACTGCACTCCTGCCTGAGCAACAGAGCAAGACTCTGTCTTAAAAAAAAAAAAAAAATTACCTGGGTGTGGTGGTGCACATCTGTAATCCCAGCTACTCAGAAAGAAGGCTGAAGCACAAGAATTGCTTGAGCCTGGGAGGCAAAGGTTGCAGTGAGCCAAGATCACGCCGCTGCACTCCAGCCTAAGTGACAGAGTGAGACTTGGTCTCAAACAACAAAAAAAAAAAGCAAAAACAAAAAAAGTACAGACAGGTAGGAAAAAAAAAAACCCACAGCAGTGAATTTTCATTCCTTATCACACACATCACCTACTTATTTCATTATCCAGTATGTCCTAAAATATTTCTGAAACAAACACAGAAGTTATTTCCCCATTACTCAAGATCAGAGACCATTTCTTCAACTAGCACTCATCACCTATTAGATACTTCCAAGCTTAACTCCCTTTCATTAAAAAATCATAATAGGCCAGGCTTGGTGGCTCACACCTGTAATCCCAGCACTTTGGAAGGTCGAGGAAGGTGGATTGAGGTCACAAGTTCAAGACCAGCCTGGCCAACATGGTGAAACCCTATCTCTACTAAAAATATAGAAGTTAGGCCAGCACGCTGGCTCACGCCTGTAATCCCAACACTTTGGGAGGCCAAGGCAGGCGGATGACCTGAGGTCAGGAGTTGGACAGGGCAAAACCCTGTCTCTACTAAAAATACAAAATTAGCTGGGTGTCGTGGTGCATGCCTGTAATCCCATGTACTCGGGAGGCTGAGGCAGGAGAATCGCTTGAACCTGGGAGGCAGAGGTTGCAGTGAGCTGAGATTGCACCACTGCACTCCAGCCTGGGCAACAAGAGTGAAACTCAAAAAAAAAAAAAAAAAAAAAAAAAAATTAGCCAGGATAGTGGCACGTGCCTGTAATCCCAGCTACTCCGGAGCCTGAGGTAGGAGAATCACTTGACACTAGGAGGCGGAGGCTGGGGTGAGCTGAGATCACGCCACTGCACTCCAGTCTGGGTGACAGAGTGAGACCCTGTCTCAAAAAAAATTATTATTATAATAAAATAGGGCCAGGCTCGGTGCTTCACACCTGTAATCCCAGCACTTTGGGAGGCCAAAGCAGGTGGATCACCTGCTTCCAAACCAGTCTGGCCAACATGGCAAAACCCACTCTCTACTAAATATACAACAATTAGCCAGGTGTAGTGGCGAACGCCTGTAATCTCAGCTACCAGGGAGGCTGAGGCAGGAGAATCGCTTGAACCCCAGAGGTGGAGGTTGCGGTGAGCCAAGATCGCGACACTGCACTCCAGCCTGGGTGACAGTGTGAGACTCTAAAATAAACAAAGCAACACTCGGTTAAGTACTCAGTCTCCAGTGCTGCTGAAACTTATTTTTTCCAACTTTCTTGAATTCTGGATTCCATTATTAATCACAGGAAGGTCATCAGGACATACACAAACTAGAAAGAATCTAATTCAATCAATACTTTCTAAGCACTCTGTGTCCTGGACATTCCTATAAACACAAATAACTTCAGATTCAAAGCCCACCCAAGTGGTACATGCCATCTCAAGGTGGCAGAGAGGAATAAGTATTAGTACACAGTTCATAAGCATACCAACTAGAGCACACACGTATATATGCACAACACAAATATAAAACACACTTTTAATTTAAGCCTTTGGTGGCAAAAGGTAAGTAGAAAAATATCAAAGGGGGAAAAATCATATGTAGTGTAAACTAAATCACCCTTCCAAAGACACGTAATTTTGCAACACAGCTTAAGAATTCTAAAATATGGCCTGGCGCAGTGGCTCACACCTGTGATCCCACCACTTTGGGAGGCCGAGGCGGGTGGATCACGAGGTCAAGAGTTCAAGACCAGCCTGGCCAAGATGGTGAAACCCCCGTCTCTACTAAAAATACAAAAATCAGTCGGGAGCAGTGGCAGGTGCCTGTAATCACAGCTACTCGGGAGGCTGAGGCAGGAGAATCGCTTGAACCCGTGCGGCAGAGGTTGCAGTGAGCCGAGATGGCGCCACTGCATCCAGCCTGGGCAATATGAGATTCCATCTCAACAACAACAAAAAAATCTAAAATCTGGCCAGGCACCTGGCTCACACTTGTAATTCTAGCACTTTGACAGGCCGGGATGAAAGACTCACTTGAGGCCAGGAGTTCGAGACCAGCCTGGGCACACAGGGTGATTCCACCTGCGCGCGCGCACACACACACACACACACACACACACACACACAGCCAGGTGCGGTGGGTCACGCCTGTAATCCCAGCACTTTGGGAGGCGGAGGCAGGGGATCACCTGAGGTCAGGTGTTCGAGACCAGCCTGACCAACATGGTGAAACCGTCTCTACTAAAAATACAAAAATTAGCCAGGCGTGGTGACACGCGCCTGTCATCCCAGCTACCTGGCAGGCTGAAGCAGGAGAATGGCTTGAACCCAGGAGTGCAGTGAGCCAAGACCGCGCCACTGCACTCCAGCCTGGGACACAGAGCAAGGACTCCATCTCAAGTAAATCAGTCAGTCAACTAATCATCAATCAATATTCCTTCTCAAGTAGGATATCTCCAGGAACATGAAACAGGTCAACAGTGATTTATGTCCATACAAAAACATAAAGGGTTTTGTTTGACAAAACACCTCATTAATATCAATACAAAAAAAAAAATCACATTTTTACTAGTTGACTTTTCTGCAGGTAGGCGTTGTCGTTTTTCCATTCCTACATCATCGTTTCTAACATATTCTTGTTTTCACCAACTTTGCTCTTCTTCTCATTAACCTCATTTTTTTGAGTTTGATATTCTCAAATTCTATTCATCCTTGAACTACACCATTTGCTAAATCCTGCCACTGATCCTACTCTTACTCGCTAATGAGCCTGCAGTTACCCGCCTCTCACCACCAGGTGGGGTCCTGCACAAATTTAACCAAACCACATTTTGAACAGAATCATTTCTGAGGAAATGAAAAAGTTTTAAAAAGGTTTCCAAAAAACGCTGTTAATCCAGTGTGTAACCTCGATGCAAATAAATACTAAGAAGTAAAAATCCCGTCAAAACGTCAACTCACAAATACAAAGGCTAATTACATTCTCTTATTCCTCAACAGATATCTGTAAGCATTAACCAATATAGAAGCTGACCTTTACAGCAGACGACAGTAAGGTGTCTGTGCGGTCCCGCGGTGACACCCAGTCCACAGCGACACGTTCAGGATGACTAAAAATACCTGCCCAAGTTATGAAGTGCCCTCTTATAATACTCTTTAAAGTGACAGCCGGACGCGCGGGCTCACACCTGTAATCCAGCACTTTGCGAAGCCGAGGCGGGTGGATCACCTGAGGTCAGGAGTTCGAGACCAGCCTGAACAACATAGTGAAACCTCGTCTCTAATAAAAATAGAAAAAATTAGCTGGGCGTGGTGGCGCATGCCTGTAATCCCAGCTACTCGGGAGGCTGAGGCAGGAGAATCGCTTGAACCTGGGAGGCGAAGTTGCAGTGAGCCAAGATGGTGCCATTATACTCCAGCAGGGGCAAGAGCTAAACTCCATCTCACACACACACACACACACACACACACACACACACACACACACACAAAAGGCCGGGCGCGGTGGCTCATGCCTGTAATCCCAGCACTTTGGGAGGCCGAGGAGGCGGATCACGAGGTCAGGAGATCAAGACCATCCTGGCTAACACGGTGAAACCCCGTCTCTACTAAAAAAATACAAAAAAATTAGCCGGCTGTGGTGGCGGAAGCTTGAAGTCCCAGCTACTCGGGAGGCTGAGGCAGGAGAATGGTGTGACCCCGGGAGGTGGAGCTTGCAGTGAGCCGAGATCGCGCCACCGCATTAATTACGGCCTGGGCGACAGAGCAAGACTCCGTCTCAAAAAAAAAAAAAAAAAAAAAAAAAAAAAAGGTGCAAACAGACCATTCCACCCCCACCTCAGACCTGGATTTAGGTTATCTAGGTTGAAGACTGATGAGGGTGACGGGTACCACTGTCCAAAACAGAGTTAATAGAAGGGAATTACGGGCTTGCTTAAAAATGAAAGCTAATGTACGCCACTCAGTAACAGGTATCACACTGTAATACCATATGCATATTTTAGTCTTCACAACATTCAACACTCCCCACCTAGTGTTCCGGAAAAACTGTCCTACAGCCAGAATTACTTCCCAAACCTAACACTTTCATATCCAGAAGAAAATAAATTTTAAAACACTGTTTTGAAGAGAGTGCTGAACTCATCTCAAATTCTTTAAGAGCTCTGCCCTCTGGAATTCCCAACTTTCTCACCTTCCACAGCACAGATGAAGCCTGGACACTTTCCAAAAGCTTCCCAACCCCTTTGTTCTCCCACTTCCTGTCAAATCTCCACATCTACCAACTTAAGGCAACTTACTTCCCAAATTTCACAGCCTGCGTAATCCACAAAAACCCGCAGCTCGCTGAAGCGTGCATAAAAACTATTCATCCCTTTATCACGGAAGGCAGAAAGAAATGTGAAAGCACAAACTCCAAGGGAGCTTAAGGCCCTCAGGAGTGGAAACAAGTCTGGAGTCGGCGAGGCGCGGTGGCTCGCGCCTCTAATCCCAACACTTTGGGAGGCCGAGGCAGGCGATCACTTTAGGTCATAAGTTCGAGACCAGCCTGACCAACACGGTGAAACCCCCGTCTCTACTAAAAATACAAAAATTAGTCGGACATGGTGGCGAGCACCCGTAACCCCAGCTACTCAGGAGGCTGAGGCAGGAGACTCGCTTGAACCTGGGAGCTGGAAGTTGCAGTGAGTGGAGATCGCGCCACTGCACTCTGGCCTGGGCAACAGAACAGACTCCGTCTCAGGAAAAAAAAAAAAAGGAAGTCTGGAGTAAACCCAGAGAGAACGCGGGACGGGTGGACTGGCGGAGGAGTAAGGCGGCTGCATATAATTCCTTTCAGAAATCATGAATCGTTCTGATACGCAACACTATTTGGAAAAGTGCGGTTAAACACGAAGCAGCAGCAATCAAGCTTTAATGGTTAACGTCTGTTTCCTTTCTTCGGTCTTCACTCTAACTTTTCTACTAAATCAATAATTTGGCTTAAATTGTAGCGACAAATCCTTACTAAAATTCGCAACTCAATAAAAACGTTGAAAACTACAAAGAGCGCCGCTCAGCCTACTCTTCCCAAACAGGCTGAAGCCTCCGAGCTCGCAGGCGGCACCCCTTCGGTGGTGGCACGATCGTTCTACTTGCGCTGTTTCCTGCCCCGTTTACGTGAGAAGTTAGCACAGAAGTTTACGTCTGACTAGCAAACCCATCCTTTAAAAAATTCGCTAGTGCCAAAACCTTTCTCGAGCCAATATATGATTTGCAGTTTACACTGCGTGTGTCACTGACCTTCCTTAGGTAAGAGTTAATGTAAACTTCTTATATAAACTTCAGTTGCATCAACTACGGTGCAGATTCTTTAACGCAAAGCAAAGCAGACAAACATTCTGAGTGAGAAAGGCAGCCTGCTCTTCCACAAACTTCTGAACAATCCGTCCGGAGTTCTAGAAACAGGGCTTTGCGGTCCCCCACCTGCTTCTTCTCCCTCCGAACTTGGCGGCACGGCTGCGGCATTCCTGCTCCGCAAGCCACTCCCGTTTCTGGTTTCAGACGCGAGTGCGGGAGCCTTAGAAAAAGAAGGCGCTCCACGCCTCCCACGCTGCCGGCCCCGCCGAGCCCCAGCCGAGCCCCAGCCGGCCGCTCCCAGGCCGGGCCCCACCCCCAACCGCCGCCGCGGAGGCTGGGCCGCGTTCCGGCAAGGACGCCGGGCGGGGAGGACGCGGCCGGGCGGCCCCAGACCCCAGCCCCGGCCCCGGCCCCAGACCTGACCCAGAGGACCCCGCCCACCCTTCGCCCCGCAACCCCGGCCACGGCCCCCGCCCCGTCCAGTCCTTTCCCCGGCCGGCGACCCCGGTCACCCCCCGCGCTGTTGCCAGGCGCCGGGTGAGGTCCGCCGTCTGCCGGGCGCGCGCGGGGCCCTAGGCGACCTCCCCCGACCCTCGGAACAGACCCTCACCGAGGACAGAAGCGGCCGGTGGCGGGACGCAGGGGAGGCAGGGTGACGGCCCGAATCTCCTCACAGCTCCAGGACTGCTGCGCTGGTGGTGGCGGCGGCTCCTCGCGCTTTCCTTTCTCTCCTTTCTCCAACAACAAACAGGAAATGCGTCACGCGGCGGCGGCACGGCGGCGTCAACTTCCGCCCGACCCTGACGCCGCGCATGCGCAGTTTCCACTGCCCATACCGCGGGCCCAACCTCGGGGGCGCCCGCCCCACCTTCGCGAAGGTTCTCGGCTCTTCCGCCGCCCCGAAGAGCCCAGGAGACTGGGGGCGAGGGGGCGGGGAAGCCCAGGGCGAGGGGGCGGAGCTCGGGGCCGGGTCTACGGTACCGGGGAGCCCAGACGCGCGGAAGGCACAGAGAAGGCCGAGAAGATTCCAAATGGCACTTATTGTTGGGCCAGAAGGAGCCCATTCTGGAAACCGCGAAGTCGTCGCGCCCTTCATCTTCCTCTTGACCGGCGGCCCCCGGAGCGCGTCTGCCGCCTCTCGCTCCGCGGTCCTGCGGTGGAGCTGGGTGGCATCTCCGCACAGCGGGACGAAAGCTGGGGCGCGGGCGCGGGCGCGGGCGGAGAAGTCCCCGAAGGAGAAGAAGAACAAACCAAGCGGCGGCCAGCGAAGGCGGGCGAAGGCGCCGGCCCCCGCTTGTCAATTTAGGGAAGCCCGGATACCCTAAGTTCCCCGGCGAACGGGAGCGCGTGGAGACTTCGCCAGGGAATAGTGACTGAAGGAAACGGAAGCAAACTGTGGCAGAAAATACAGATGAAGCTTTTTAGGTTAAATCGTGGCAGTAGTTTTTCTGAAAACGCGGCGCATTTTGATAGCTGGACTTTAGGTCATCCCCAGGCTTCCTAGCCTTTCCCGCGTCCTCAGGGGTTCTGGTTCTAACCCTGGAGACCAACACCACATGCGTGTAGATGGTGACCAGCAGGAGCAGGGAGTCTCAGACCCAGTGCAGTCAGACAGGCTCCCATTCCCAGTAGCGAAAGGGTCCCGCAGACCCAAAGCCTAAGGAGCCAACAAGCAGTTCGTCCATGGAGCCTGGCCTGGATCTCCCACTGTCTTCCTCTCCAGCATTCAGCCAGATGTTTGCTACTGTGTTGTCTTAGTCCTGGCCCACCTTATCCTTTCCTTTAAGAAATAAAAATCTCAACTGGGTGCGGTGGCTCACGCCTGTAATCCCAACACTTTGGGAGGCCAAGGCGGGCGGATCACCTGAGGTTGGGAGTTCGAGACCAGCCTGACACATGGAGAAACCCCGTCTCTACTAAAAATGCAAAAAAAATTAGCCAGGTGTGGTGGTGCATGCCTGTAATCCCATCTACTGCAGAGGCTGAGGCAGAATAATCGCTTGAACCCAGGAGGAGGAGGTTGCAGTGAGCGGAGATCACACCATTGCACTCCAGCCTGGGCAACAAGAGCGAAACTCTGTCTCAAGAAAAAAGAAAAATCCCTTTTTGTTACACCTTTCCTGAACTTCAGATCCTGTGGCATGCTGACACTGAATTCCGGGGGCCTGCTCAGCCACCTTCTGAACTAACAACGCTTATGAATTCGTGATCGTTTAAGCCTGGGAGATATTCAAGTAAAAGGCACTTTAACACTTGAATCACTTTTGGTTTAAAATAGCTCGTTAGTAATGAAAGAGTTGGAGAAATGCCACCCTGAATTATGCCATATTAGGATACTGATTACTAACTAGTTCACTGATTACCACATTAGTATGCCCTCAAACTGAGGGCACATGGGGACCTGCCAATGCAGGGAGGGGCATTCTGTGAATCCCCCATTATTTACATAAAGACAGATCATCCCAAAGGGACTCAATTGTCTTGACCCCCTCCCTGGAAGTCTCATCCAGGGAAGAATGAGCCAGGATCACGGGAGAAGAGCTTCAAGGGACGTCAGCTGCACACCCAGACAGATTTTGCCACAGGCCACCACCTATTCTGAAGGCAAAAAATCATTTTCTCTCCCCTGAGCTGCCTGCATCTGCCTCCCCTCTCTTCTATGAAGGGGCTGTATAAGCTTCCAGATCTCACTGGATTCTGGGATGCCCTAGTACATGTTATAGATTTGTATACTTTTTCTCTTACGAATCTGTCTATTGTCAGCTTAGTTCAGAGACTCAGTTGTGAAACCTTCAGAGAGTACAGGGAAAATTTTCCGTCTACACCTGCCTCATTTTAGACAACTGGAACACTTGGTTAATGGCTGTAATTGTTATACTTCAAAATGAAATACTGCCCTTTTTTTTTTTTTTTTTTTTTTTTTTTTGAGACAGGGTCTTGCTCTGTCACCCAGGCTGGAGTGCAGTGGTTCAATCATGGCTCACTGCAGCCTTAACCTCCTGGGCTCAAGCAGTCCTCCTGCCTCAGCCTCCCAAAGTGCTGGGATTACCAGCATGAGCCGCTGTGCTGGGCTCATTTTTTGTGTTTCTTAAACTTTAATTGTATTACTGCATGTCATTTCTAGCAAATGATCAGTTAGCAAAGGAAAATCTGACTGGATTCTCTATTCTTATTTGAGACTGAGTCTCTCTGTCTGTCCTCCAGGCTGGAGTGCAGTGGCACAATCTAGGGTCACTGCAACCTCCACCTCCCAGGTTTAAGTGATTCTCTTGTCTCAGCTTCCTGAGTAGCTGGAATTACAGGCATGAGCAACCATGCATGCCTAATTTTTTGTATTTTTAGTTGAGATGCGGTTTCACAATGTTGGCCAGGCTGGTCTCAAACTCCTGACCTTAGGTGATCCACCCACCTCAGCCTCCCAAAGTGCTGGGATTACAGGCATGAGCCACCAAGCCCAGCCTCTATTCTCTTTTTTTACTGGTTATATAAATGACTGTTCAAAAGGAAGAAATAATAGTTTGTGTTAGTATGGGCATCTCATAATAAAACCTAAAATAATCTCAGCAAAGACTGGAATTTCAGATATGTGCACAGCTTGGCACTGTCACATGTAACCTATCTGCTTGCAGATTGATGGAGGTTTAGTTCCATCTCAGTGTGGACAGACAGTACTATCATGGGACATTTTACATGTCAATACGTCCCTACAGTGATTGTGAGCTCATCTTGAAATGTAAGCAGCACAGACATGAATTTTACATTGTAAGTGGTAGGCTAGCCACAAATAGCTTTTCCCCCTTCGAAAAAGAAAATATATGTGTGTGTATGTGTGTGTGTGTATATATATATACACACACACACACACATTAAAACGCGTATCAGGCTGGTCACAGTGGTGCACACCTGTAATCCCAGCACTTTGGGAAGCTGAGGCAGGAGGATTGCTTGAACCTAGGAATTCCAGACCAGCCTAGGTAACACCGCAAGACCCCATTTCTACCAAAAATAAATTATTTTTTTCTGGCACTTTGGGAGGCCGAGGCGAGAAGATTGCTTGAGCTCAAGAGTTCGACAGCAGCCTGGGCAACTTGGTGAAACCCCATCTGTACAAAATATAGCAAAATTAGCCAAGTGCGGTGGCACACACCTATAGTCCCAACCACTCAGGCGGCTGAGGTGGGAGAATCACCTCAGCCCAGGGAGGTCCAGGCTTCAGTAGAGCACCACTGTACTCCAGTCTAGGCAACACAGACCCTGTCTCAAAAATAAATACATAGAAAATTATGACCAGGCACAGTGGCTCACGCCTATAATCCCAGCTCTTTGGGAGGCTGAGGTGGGCAGATTACAAGGTCAGGAGTTCGAGACCAGCCTGGCCAACATGGCGAAACCCCATGTCTACTAAAAGTACAAAAAATTAGCCCGGTGTCGTGGCACATGCCTATATTCCCAGCTACACAGGAGGCTGAGGCAGGAGAATTGCTTGAACCCGGGAGGCAGAGGTTGCAGTGAGCAGAGATCGTGCTTCTGCACTCTAGCCTGGGTGACAAAGCAAGACTCTGTCTCAGGAAAAAAAAAGAAAAAAGAAAATTTTCTGGGCATGGTGGCACACACCTATAGTCCCAGCTACTCAAGAGGCTGAGTAAGAGGACCACTTGAGCACTTGAGACTAGGAGGTCGAGGCTGCAGTGAACAGTGATCATGTCATGGCACTGCAGCCTGGGTGCCAGAGCAAGACTCTGTCTCTAAACAAATACATACATAATTTTTAAGAAGCATGTCAATACAATAAATTTTATCATGAAGAAAAGCAACCAGTACAAAACAAGGTCCCCATCCTGATGGACTTCACATAGCAGTTAGGGAGGACAGGTATAAACACCTTGGAGATTAAATGGTAATATTTAATTAACTCTTTTGAAACAACGAGGTCTTTCAATGACAAGGATTTATCCCAGAAAAGATTTAAGTAGGAGTGAAAAGTCTTTGGAGACCGAGTGCGGTGGCTCACGCCTATAATCCCAGCACTTTGGGAGGCCGAGGTGGGCAGATCCCCTGAGGTCAGGAGTTCAAGACCAGCCTGGTCAACATGGTGAAACCTGGTCTCTACTAAAAATACAAAAAGTAGCCGGGCGTGGTGGCGCATACCTGTAATCCCAGCTACTCGGGAGGCCGAGGCAGGAGGATCACTTGAACCTAGGAGGTGGAGGTCACGGTGAGATGATATCGTGCCATTGCACTCCAGCCTGGGCAACAGGAGTGAAACTCCGTCTCAAAAAATAAAAGAAAGAAAGGAGGAGCGTGGAGAATGTGGATGGATTTGGGGTAATGGCTTGCAGGGAGCCCCGGGGGTTGAGGGCAGCTGAAATGTTCAAGGCCAAAAGTGGACCGAGAAGCTTCATGGGCCAGCAAGCACAGAGGCTGCAGGGCAGAGGGAAGAGGACCCAGTGCTGACTGGGGCCAGACTGGAGGCTGAGTGGCCACAGGGGTGCGAGGCATGGTTCCCTGTGGTGCCCACATCCCCTGATGCCCAATAAAACTTTAGGGCTGATGACGCACTGACTTTACCCACATCAACAAGCCTCGGTTTCCCTATCTGTAAAATAGGAAGAAGGATAGCTACGGATAGCTACTATACTGGTATCAGAAATAAACAGGGCAGTGTATGAGAACTGTGGTATCTCACACACATACTTATTTAATGTTTCTCTAATGAAATCCCTGTGCTCAAACCCTCAGAGGAAAGTATGTAAATCAAAACTGTCAAAGAATACCTAAAATTTGATTACCTTTGAAGAGTCCTATATATAAGTGCTTTACTTGTTACGTTTCCTGCCATCAAAATAAATTACCCACTGCTCATTTTAGAAATGTTAGCTTTAAAAAAGACAAATATTGGCTTAATCCCTGATTATTCAAACACACTAAACAGGAACTTTCTCATGCCTATAATCCCAGCACTTTGGAAAACTGAGGTGGGAGGATGACTTGAGGCCAGGAGTAAGGAACTTTCACTGTATTACAGAATTATTCACATATATTCTTAGAAATCACTTTATCTTATCATCATCAAGATATATTGCTAAGTAAGAAAAAAAGGCAAGGTTTAAAACATTAGAACAGTGTGTATAGCAAGGAGAGAAAGAAAAAGAACATGCATTTGTATAAGAAACTCTGCAATTACACTTAAGACATTGGGGAGTGGGGCAGAAAATACAGAGAAGAGGGGGCTGAGGGTAAAATGATGTTCACTGAATATGTTTTAAACTATGTGAATATATTGCCTGTTAAACATATATATGCTTAATAAAAAATATCAAAATGGTATATATGTTTAATATGTTTTTAAAATATATATGTTTAATAAAAATATCAAAATATATATGTTTAATAGACATAAACGTATATATATACACACACGTTTTTTTTTTGAGACGAAGTCTTGCTCTATCGCCCAGGCTGGAGGGAAGTGGCATGATCTTAGCTCACTGCAACCTCCGCCTCCACGGTTCAAGTGGGTATAAGCAATACTGCCACCTCAGCCTCCCAAATAGCTGGGATTACAAGCATGCACCACCAAGCCCGGCTCATTTTTGTATTTTCAGTAGAGGTGGGGTTTAACCATGTTGGTCAGGCTGTTCTCAAACTCCTGACCTCAAGTGATCCACCTGCCTCAGCCTCCCAAAGTGCTGGGATTACAGGCATGAGCTACCACACTCAGCCTATTCTATTCTTTTAACTTTTCTTTAGCTTTAAAATTGTTTTGGCAGGTTCAGTGACTCATGCCAGCAATTTGGGAGGCCAAAGTGGGCGGATCACAAGGTCAGGAGTTTGAGACCAGTCTGGCCAACATAGTGAAACCCCATCTCTACTAAAAATACAAAAAATTAGCCAGGTGTGGTGGTGTGCACCTGTAATCCCAGCTACTCGGGAGGCTGAAGCAGGAGAATCTTGTGAACCCGGGCAGCGGAGGTTGCAGTGAGCCGAGATTGCGCCATTGCACTCCAGCCCGGGTGACAGTGTGACACTGTCTCAAAAAAAAAAAAAATTGTTTTTAGGCAGGGTGCAGTGGCTCATGCCTATAATCCCAGCACTTTGGGAGGCCAAGGTGGGTGGATCATTTGAGGTCAGGAGTTCGTGACCAGCCTGGCCAACGTGGCGAAACCCTGTCTCTACTAAAAATACAAAAATTAGCCAGGCATGGTAGCGCACACCTGTAATCCCAGCTACTCGGGAGGCTGAGGCAGGAAAATTGCTTGAACCTGGTGGGTGGAGGGTGCAGTGGACAGAGATGACACCACTGCACTCCAGCCTGGGTGACAGTGAGACTCTGTCTCAAACAAACAAAAGAAACAAACGAAAGAAACAAACAAAACTTTTTTTTAAGTTGCAGGGGTTGGGGATGGGCAAAAGAGCAGAAAACTGTTAGGGGTAAGTCCTGAGAAGCAGAGAAGGAAAGAGGAATTTTTTCTTTTTTTTTTTTTTTGAGACAGAGTCTCACCCTGTCACCCAGGCTGGAGTGCAGTGGCACGATCTCAGCTCACTGCATCCTCTGCCTCCCGGGTTCAAGTGATTCTGATTCTCCTGCATGAGCCTCTTGAGTAGCTGGGACTACAGGCACGTGCGCTACCACGCCTGGCTAATTTTTTTGTATCCTTAGTTTCACCATGTTGGCCAGGCTGGTCTCAAACTCCTGACCTCGTGATCCGCCCTCCTCGGCCTCCCAAAGTGCTGGGATTACAGGCATGAGCCACCGCACCTGGCCGGGAATAGGAATTTTCACACACTGTCCTTTATACTTCTTGTTTGAACCTCGTGGCATGGGAATGTATTCACATATAGAATAAATAGACCAAGAGGAAATGTGGAGTAGAAAGGGCGAGACAGAAGCACCTGGTGCTGCGTCTCCACCTCCGGGGTTCCAGCGGGTATAAGCAATACTGCCACCTCAGCCTCCCAAATAGCTGGGATTACAAGCATGCACCACCACGCCTGGCTCATTTTTGTATTTTCAGTAGAGGCAGGGTTTCACCATGCTGGTCAGGCTGGTCAGCACGGGTCAGCACTCCCCGAAGGCTGGCCGCTGGTGGTGACAGATCCCGACTGTGGCAGGAGAGACTGTTGTGTCTGCGTGGCCTTGAAAGTGGGTCAGGCCGGGCTTTCATTGGCAGCTGGTGAGCAGCCTCACACTGCCTCAGGACACTGGATCAAAGATAAGTCAGGCTTCTCTAAACACGAGATGGGCCGTGAGTTTGCTTCTCAGCCTTGCATCCTCTGATTTCTTCGCAGATGGGTTTGTCTCACTTGAGTAGGGGAATTAGATACGAAACACCACTTCGACAAATTCAGCTAATGTGGGCAAGTCCAGCTCCCACACATCCACTACACCAGTTCCATGTAAACTCTCTGTGGCATTAAGCTCCCCATTCCTCCTTCCAGGAAAAGTGTGAGCTCCTGACAATAAGCAAGCACAGGGTCTGTGTCCCAGGAGGAATCCACAGGAGACTCTGTGTGCTCAGGAAACCTGCACACCATTAGAGAAAAAATAATACTGATGATGGGTGATAGTCACAGATCAAGTCACAATTTAATTTCGTGCTAGCTCTGCAAAGTCTTCTATATTCTCCATATATCATTCAGCATTACTTTAGAATAGCTGTGAAAAGAAACTACATACCGGGATCTAGAAACAAAAGAATGAGTTTGATGCCAAAAATTATTTGTAGGTTCTTATTAATCCCAATTGCTTTTTTACTTATTTTATTTTATTTTTTGAGGCAGAGTCTCGCTCTGTCACCCAGGCTGGAGTGCAGTGGCACAATCTCACTTCACTGCAACCTCCGCCTCCCAGGTTAAAGCGATTTCTCTGCCTCAGCCTCTGGAGTACCTGGGACTACAGGCACGTGCTACCATGCCCAGCTACTTTTTGTATTTTTAGTAGAGACAGGGTTTCACCATATTGGCCAGGCTGGTCCCAAACTCCTGACCTCAGGTGATCTGCCCAATTCAGCCTTCCAAAGTGTTGGGATTACAGGCCTGAGCCGCCACATCCAGCTGCTTTTTTTTTTAATTTTATTTTTTTGAGACAGAGTCTTGCTCTGTCACCCAGGCTGGAGTACAGTGGTGCAATCTCGGCTCACTGCAACCTCTACCTCCCAGGTTCAAGTGATTCTCATGCCTCAGCCTCCCGAGGATCTGGGATAACAGGCATGCGCCACCGCACTGGGCCAATTTTGTATTTTTAGTAGAGACAGGGTTTTGCCATGGTGGCCAGGCTGGTCTTGAACTCCTCACCTCAAGTGATCAACCCCCCTCGGCCTCCCAAAGTGCTGGGATTACAGGTGTGAACCACGTGCCCAGCCCCAATTGCTTTTCATTGATCCCTTTATGGCTGACTGGTATCATGGCAGTCACATCACCACTAGGCTCATTTAAATGACAAAAATATCCAAAAATGGTTTGGGGATTTAGTGTTTGTCTTGCTGAGCAATTGATCCGCATGCTCTTTGCAGCTACAGGGATGTTCTCAGCAGCAGCTCAATACATAAGCTTTATTTTATTTATTTATTTATTTATTTAGAGACAAGTCTTGCTCTGTTGCCCAGGCTGTAGTGCAGTGGTGCGATCTTGGCTCACTGCAACCTCCGCCTTCTGGGTTCAAGCGATTCTCCCGCCTAGGCCTCCCAAATAGCTGGGACTACAGGCGCGTGCCACCACGCCCTGCTAATTTTTTGTATTTTTAGTAGAGACAAGGTTTCATCATGTTAGCCAGGATGGTCTTGATCTCCTGACCTCGTGATCCTCTCGCCTCGGTCTCCCAAATTGCTGGGATTACAGGCGTGAGCCACCGCACCCAGCCAATAAATAAGCTTTAAATAATGAATCCCAAGGTTCTAGCGGGTGCCTTACAGAGCCTCTGAAGCAATGACTGAAGAGGCCACCTTGGATAAAATGAAACACTAACCCCAAGCGTGGCAAGGCTTGTCACCATCGTCACTGTGCCCACTTCAGAACAGGCATCACTCCTTCAGCCTGGCCAACCTGGCGAAACCTTCTCTCTACTAAAAATACAGCAATTAGCTGGGCGTAGTGGCACACACCTGTAATCCCAGCAGTTTGGGAGGCTGAGGCAGGTGGATCACCTGGGGTCAGGATTTCAAGACCAGCCTGGTTAACATGGCAAAACCTCATCTCTACTAAAAATACAAAACTTAGCTGGGGCCGGGCAAGGTGGCTCACACCTGTAATGCCAGCACTTTGGGAGGCTGAGGCGGGCTGATCACGAGGTCAGTAGATCAAGACCATCCTGGCTAATATGGTAAAACCCCATCTCTACTAAAAATAAAAAAATTAGCTGGGCATGGTGGCAGGCACCTATAATCCCAGCTACTCGGGAGGCTGAGGCAGGGGAATTGCTTGAACCCGGCAGGCAGAGGTTGCAGTGAGCCGAGGTCGCACCACTGCACCACTGTACTCCAACCTGGGCGACAGAGTGAGACTCCGTCTCAAAAAAATCAAACAAACAAAAAAAACTTAGCTGGGTGTGATGGCAATCCCAACTACTTGGGAGGATGAGGCAGGAGAATCACTTGAATACGGAAGGCGGAGGTTGCAATGAGCTGAGATTGCGCCACTGCGCTCCAGCCTGGGTGATACAGCAAGACTCCATCTCAAAAAAAAAAAGAAAAACTAACTAAAAAAACAAAACAAAAAATAGGCATCATCCCGTTCCCCAACCCAGAAGGAAGGAGACAGAAGAAAATCTTCTGGCCGGGCGTGGTGGCTCACCCCTGTAATCCCAGCACTTTGGGAGGCCGAGGTGGGCGGATCACGAGGTCAGGAGATCGAGACCAGCCTGGCTAACACAGTGAGACCCCATCTCTACTAAAAATACAAAAAATTAGCTGGGTGTGGTGGCGAGCACCTGTAGTCCCACCTCCTTGGGAAGCTGAGGCAGGAGATTGGCGTGAACCCGGAAGGTGGAGCTTGCAGTGAGCCGAGATTGTACCACTGCACTACAGCCTGGGTGACAGAACGAGATTCCATTTCAAAAAAAAAAAAAAGAAAATTTTTCCTTTTTTGAGACAAGGTCTCACTCTTCCCAGGCTGGAGTGCAGTGGCACGACCACAGCTCACTGTAGCCTTGACCTCCCAGGCTCAAGCAATCCTCCCACCTCAGCCTCCTGAGTAGCTGGACAAGCCTGGCTAATTTTTTATGTTTTTTTTTGTAGAGACATGGTCTCACTTTGTTGCCTAAACTGGTGTTGAACTCCTGGGCTCAATGAATCCACCCACCTCAGCCTCCCAAAATGTTGGGATTACAGGCGTGAGCCACTGTACCCAACAAGAAAATCTTAAAGTCAAACTGAAAGGCTGTCTCTCCCCAAGCCAACCGCACCCCACCCCACGCGACAGTCAGCCTAACATTGAATAGCTGAAGTTCCAGACTGTGGGTCAGGGGATCTGCACTGTACGCCATGGGACAAATTGACCTCGTTTTCTTTTTTTTTTTTTTTTTTTTGAGACGGAGTCTAGCTCTGTTGCCCAGGCTGGAGTGCAGCGGCTGGATCTCGGCTCACTGCAAGCTCCACCTCCCAGGTTCACGCCATTCTCCTGCCTCAGCCTCCCAAGTAGCTGGGACTACAGGTGCCCGCCACCATGCCCAGCTAATTTTTTTGTATTTTTTTTTAGTAGAGACAGGGTTTCACCGTGTTAGCCAAGATGGTCTTGATCTCCTGAACTCGTGATCCGCCCACCTTGGCCTCCCAAAGTGCTGGGATTACAGGTGTGAGCCACCGCACCTGGCCTTGACCTCGTTTTCTTTGAATGAATGCTAACAAACAGGGTAAGAGAAATTCAATGACCAGTGAAAACATTCATTGGTATCTCTGCTTCCATTGACCCACCATTGCCACACAGGACCCTGTACGGGTTTCTTCCCAGAGAGCCCTGGCGCTCCAGGAACTTCCGTTTGGTAGCCCTTCACTGGGGACATACACATTGGTTTCTGATGCTCACAGCGATTGCTTTCTTTTTCGTTTGCTTCTGCTCGCTGGGCACTTCTCTAATGAGTGCTTCTTCACTTCACATCATTACGGTTTGTCCGCTCTCCTCCAACCGCGAGACTCCTCCAAATCACCATGCATCATGTGTTTCTGTTACTATATGTTGTTCTTATGTTCTCATAATGCAAGGACATCAAATCTAGACATCATGCAATACCATGGACACATTACAATGAAACTCAGGGTTAAACCCTGCCTGGTACTTGAGAGCACCTAGTTAGAACCCTGTGTGGTTGTGCTTGAGACCTCAACTGTAGGAATTAGTTCACTGAGAAAAGTGGTTGTTGCTGCCTCTTTAAATTTTTAAGCATGGCTACTCTGGGAGTGCTGCCTTTGGGTTAGCCCTGCTTTATAAGGAGCAGTCAAAAGAAAAAAAGAAATTAAAAAGAAAAATCAGCTGGGCACGGTGGCTCACACCTGTAATCCCAGCACTTTGGGAGCCCAAGGTGGGTGGATCACCTGCGGTCAGGAGTTCGAGACTAGCCTGGCCAACATGGTGAAACTCCATCTCTACTAAAAATACAAAAATTAGCCGAGCACGGAGGCAGGTGCCTGTAATCCCAGCTACTGGGGAGGCTGAAGCAGGAGAATCACTTGAACCCAGGAGGCGGAGGTTGCAGTGAGCCAAGATCGCGCCATCGCAGTCCAGCCTGGGCGACAAGAGTGAGACTCCATCTAAAAAAAAAAAAAAAAAAAAAAAAAAATTAGGCATAATTTTCTTATCTCCAGCTTGATGACATTGGAATATTAAGAGTATCTCGGCTGGGTGCAGTGGCTCACTCCTGTAATCCCAGCACTTTGGGAGGCTGAGGCGGGTGGATCACCTGAGGTCAGGAGTTCAAGACCAGCCTGACCAACATGGTGAAACCCCGTCTCTACTAAAAATACAAAAATTAGCCAGGCACAGTGGTGCACACCTCTAATCCCAGCTACTCAGGAGGCTGAGGCAGGAGAATCGCTTGAACCTGGGAGGCAGAGGTTGCAGTGAGCCGAGATCGCACCACTGCACGCCAGCCTGGGCGACAGAGCAAGACTCTGTCTCAAAAAAAAAAAAAAAAGAGAGTATCTCTAGGCCGGGCACAGTGGCTCACCCCTGTAATCCCAGCACTTTGGGAGGCCGAGGGGGGTGGATCACTTGAGGTCAAGAGTTTGAGACCAGCCTGGCCAACATGGTGAAACCCCATCTCTACTAAAAATACAAAAATTAGCTGGGTGTGGTGGTGAGCACATGTAATCCCACCCACTCGGGAGGCCGAGGCAGGAGAATTGCTTGAACTTGGGAGGCAGAGGTTGCAGTGAGATGAGATCACACCATTGCACTCCAGCCTGGGCAACAAGAGCAAAAACTCCATCTCAAAAAAAAGAAAACACAAAACAAGTATCTCTATACAATTCTAATACAGAGGCCAGGTGCAGTGGCTCACGCCTGTAATCCTTGCACTTTGGGAGGCCAAGGCGGGCAGATTGCCTGAGCTCAGGAGTTCGAGACCAGCCTGGGCAACATGGTGAAACCCCATCTCTACTAAAACACACACACAAATTCCAATAGAGAAAGCAATGCAAACACTATCACCAAGTGGGTTCCCTCTAATACTAAACTAATAGTAGTCACCCATTTTAGAGAATAGGTAAGGTTTAAAAGGAAGAAAAAGAGTATCTTGGGGAACAACAGCATAGGGCTTACGTGAGAGAGGAGAATGCGAGGAGGGAAAGCTTCAGGAAAAAAACAAATGCTGGAGGCCAGCGCGGCGGCTCACACCTGTAATCCCAGCCCTTTGGGAGGCCAATGCAGGCAGATCACATGAGGTGAGACCAGCCTGGCCAACATGGTGAAATCCTGTGTCTACTAAAAATACAAAAATTAGCCAGGCATGGTGGCGGGTGCCTCCGTATCTCAGCTACTTGGGAGGCTGAGGCAGGAAAATCGCTTGAACCCAGGAGGCAGAGGTTGAAGTAAGCCAAGATTGCACTACTGTACTCCAGCTTGGGCAACAGAGGGAGACTGTGTCTCAGAACAAAAATTTAAAAAAAGAAAAATTGGTTGGGCATGGTGGCACGTGACTGTAGTCTCAGTAACTAGAGAGGCTAAAGTGGGAGGATAGGTTGAGTCTGGAAGGTCAAGCCTGCAGCGAGCTGAGATCACACCACTGTACTCCATCCTGAGTGACAGAGTGAGACCCTGTCTCAAAAACAAAACAAAACAAACAAAAAAGTTCAGCTGGGACCAACACTGAAGCCCCAGGAGGCTCCAGTTAGTTTCACAGACACCGTCCCTTTCAACAGAGCTGAGCCTTAAGACCTGCCATCTGCCCTAGAAATATGTTGAATCTGTGTTAGCACTTCAAATTCCGATTCGATAAAATATTTACTGCTTTCAAATTATTATAATTTTCAATTATAATCAATTTAATTGAAATAATTTTTTATTTGTATTTATTTTTTTTAAATATATTTTTTACACAGTCTCACCACGTTGCCCAAGCTAGAATGAAGTGCGTGCTCACGGCTCTCTGCAGCCTCCATCTCCCCAGCTCAAGTGATCCTCCCACCTCGGCTTCCTGAGTAGCTACGACAACAGGCATGTGCCTGTTTTTGATTTGTTCATTTATTTATTATTTATTTATTGAGACAGAATCTCGCTCTGTCGCCCAGGCTGGTGTACAGTGGCATGATCTCAGCCCCCAGTAACCTGCACCTCCTGGGTTCAAGTGATTCTCATGCCTCAGCCTCCTGAGTAGCTGGGATTACAGGCACATGCCACCATGCCCAGCTAATTTTTGTATTTTTAGTAGAGACGGGGTTTCTCCATGTTGGCCAGGGTGGTCTCGAACTCCCGACTTCAGGTGATCCACAAGCCTCGGCCTCCCAAAGTGCTGAGATTACAGACATGAGCCATCGCACCCGGCCAAATTTCTATTGAAGAGATATTCCCTACCCTTCCCAGAACAAAGTATGGGACCAAATCATTATTTTGATATAAAGTAATACATGTTTGAGCTCCTTTTTTTTTTTTTTTTGAGATGGAGTCTCTCTCTGATGCCCAGGCTAGAGTGCGGTGGTGCAATCTCAGCTCACTGCAAGCTCCGCCTCCTGGGTTCACGCCATTCTCCTGCCTCAGCCTCCCAAGTAGCTGGGACTACAGGCGCCAGCCACCACGCCCGGCTAATTTTTTTTGTATTTTTAGTAGAGACTGGGTTTCACCGTAGCCAGGATGGTCTCGATCTCCTGACCTCGTGATCTGCCCACCTTGGCCTACCAAAGTGCTGGTATTACAGGGGTGAGCCACCGCACTTGGCCATGTTTGAGCTCCTGACCTTGCTGAGGGCTTTCTATTTTATCAGTTAAAATTTAGTTGCTCATAACTGAAATTAATTCTGTATTTATTTGTTTTATTTATTTTTTTGAGACGGAGTCTCACTCTGTCACCAGGCTAGAGTGCAGTGGCTCCATCTCAGCTTACTGCAACCTCTGCCTCCCGAATTCAAGCAATTCTCCTGCCTCAGCCTCCCGAGTAGCTGGGACTACAGGCATGCATCACCACGCCCAGCTAAGTTTTGTGTGTTTAGTAGAGACAGGGTTTCACCATGTTGGCCAGGATGGTCTCAATCTCTTGACCTCATGATATGCCCACCTCGGCCTCCCAAAGTGCTGGGATTACAGGCATGAGTCACCACGCCCGGCCTAATTCTGTATTTCATATGTTTTGCAAATTGGCATTCACTGTGATTTCAATATCATTCATAGTAGTAATAATAATACCAAGTATATAAGGGCTGCCATCAAAAAATGCAAGAGTTTTATTCTAAAAATTTTATTTCCGCTGGATGCAGGGGCTCATCCCTATAATCCCAGCACTTTGGGAAACCGAGACGGGAGGATAGCTTGAGCTCAGGAGTTCAAGACCAGGCTGAGTAACATAGTGAGACCCCATTTCTACCAAACTTTTGAAAATTAGGTGGCCCAGCACAGTGGCTTATGCCTGTAATCCCAGCATTTTGGGAGGCCGAGGCAGACAGATCACTTGAGGTCAGGAGTTTGAGACCAGCCTGGCCAACATGGTGAAACCCCATTTCTACTAAAAATGCAAAAATTAGCCAGGCATGGTGGTGCATGCCTGTAATCCCAGCTACTCGGGAGGCTGAGGCATAAGAATCACTTGAACCCAGGAGGTGGAGGTTGCAGTGACCTGAGATCACACCACTCCACTCCAGCCTGGGCGAGAGTGAGACTCTATCTCCAAAAATAAACATAAAAATAAATATCCCTACCTTGCACTGTATACAAACATTAACTCAAGAGAGATCACAAACTCAAATGAAAATCTGAAACAATAACACTTCTAGAAGAAAACAGGTGAAAATAATTGAGACTTTCTGGGAGGCAGAGTTTTTTTGCTCAGGATACCAAAAGCATTTGCCATAAAAGAAAAAAATTCATGGCTGGGCGCAGAGGCTTATGCCTGTAATCCCAGCACTTTGGGAGGCCGAGGCGGGAGGATCGCAAGGTCAAAAGTTCAAGACCAGCCTGGCCAAGCTGGTGAAACACCGCCTACACTAAAAATACAAAAATTAGCCGGGCACGGTGGCAGGTACCTGTAATCCCAGCTATTAGGGAGGCTGAGGCAGGAGAATCGCTTGAACCCGGGGGTCAAAGGTTGCAGTGAGCCAAGACTGTGCCACTGCTCTCCAGCCTGGGCAACAGAATGAGACTCTGTCTCAAAAAAAAAAAAAAAAAAGAAAATTCATAAATTAGATCTCTTCAAAATTAAACACTTTCACTTTCCAAAAACCACAGTATAAAAATGAAAAAGCCAGGCTCTGAGCCCAGAGTTCTGGGCTCAGAATGCTGTGGTGGCTTCCACCTGCAGTTCCAGCTGCTTGAAGGTCTGAGGCAATAGGATCACTGAGCACAGGAGTCTGAGACCAGCCTCAGCAACAACAACAACAACAAAAGACAAGCCCAGGCCGGGGGCGGTAGCTCAAGCCTGTAATCCCAACACTTTGGGAGGCCAAGGCGGGCAGCTGATGAGGTCAGGAGTTCCAGACCAGCCTGATCAACATGTTGAAACCCCGTCTCTACTAAAAATACAAAAAAAAAATTAGCCAGGCTTGGTGGCGTGCGCCTGTAATCCCAGCTACTCAGGAGGCTGAGGCAGGAGAATCACTTGAACCCAGGAAACGGAGGTTGCAGTGAGCTGAAATGGCACGACTGCACTGCAGCCTGGGCAACAGAGCGAGACTCCATCTCAAAGACAAGCCCAAGGCCAAGCAGGGTGGCTCAAGCCTGTAACGCCAGCACTTTGGGAGGCCGAGGCAGGTGGATCAGGACTTGAGGTCAGGAGTTCAAGACCAGCCTGGCCAACATGGCAAAACCCTGTCTCTACTGAAAATACAAACATTAACCAGGTGTCGTGGTGCTTGCCTTTAATCCCAGCTACTCAGGAGGCTGAGGTATGAGAATCACTTGAACCCATAAGGTGGAGGTTGCAGTGAGCTGGGATGGAGCCACTGCACTCCAGCCTCGGCTACAGAGGAAGTCTCTGTCTCAACAAAATAAAACAAAGACAGCCCTAGACTGAGCTGGACCCAGGACGAGATGCAGGGGTGACCTTCCAGGCCCAATCATAGCTCAGGATGAGATCCTGGGGTGACCTTCCAGGCCCAATCATAGCTCAGGATGAGATCCTCGGGGTGACCTTCCAGGCTAACCATAGCTCAGGATGAGATCCTCGGGGTGACCTTCCAGGCCAACCATAGCTCCATGCATAACCTATGCCACTTGTGGCCTCTCTCGCGGGACATGTAGTCCCCTGTTATAAACTGTCCCTACCAGTAGCCTTCAGGTCCCTGCCCGGGCTCTAAAAGGTCATCAGGGTGAGCAGACACGGGGGAGCTTTACAGAGGAGGTGGGTGTTTGCAATAATTTTCATCCACACTTCTCCAAATGGAAGGGGCTGCCTCATGAAGTAATGAGAGGAGTCAAACTCAGAGCAGACTAATCTCTGTTATGCTATTTGAGAGAAAATTCAAACCATGAGGGTTAAACCAGAAGTACTAGACGTCCTGCCAATTCAAAACTCTGGTGCCGATCACAATGGTGTGCTCAAAGAGGCCAGGGTGCAGAGGACCTGGCTCCCTTTCCTTCCAGTCAACTCTGCATCTCTTTGTATTTTTATTTTTATTTATTTATTTTTGTTTTGAGATGGAGTTTTGCTCTTGTTGCCCAGGCTGGAGTGCAATGGCGCAATCTTGGTGCACCGCAACCTCCGCGTCCTGGGTTCAAGCAATTCTCCTGCCTCAGCCTCCCGAGTAGCTGGGATTACAGGCATGCACCACCATGCCCGGCTAATTTTGTATTTTTAGTAGAGACAGGGTTTCTCCATTTTGGTCAGGCTGGTCTCGAACTCCTGACCTCAGGTGATCCGCCTGCCTTGGTCTCCCAAAGTGCTAAAATTACAGGTGTGAGCTACCATGCCCAGCCATCTCTCTCTTTTTATAATTTAATAAAGTTTTTTTTTTTTTTGGCTGGGCGCAGTGGCTCATGCCTGTAATCCCAGAACTGTTGCCTGTCACCCAGGCTAGAGCGCAGTGGCAGGATCTCGGCTCACTGCAACCTCCACCTCCTGGGTTCAAGCGATTCTCCTGCCTCAGCCTCCTGAGTAACTGGGATTAAAGGCACCTGCCACCACACCTGGCTAATTTTTGTATTTTTATTAGAGACAGCATTTCACCATGTTGGCCAAGCTGGTCTCCAACTCCTGACCTCAGGTGATCCACCTGCCTTGGCCTCCCAAAGTGCTGGGATTACAGGCGTGAGCCACCGTGCCCAGCCGGGACATGGGATTTTAATAAAAGTCCTAAGAGTATGTAAAGTCCCTAAACAGTCCCTTTCATTTTCTTCCATGGGCCATAAATTGAGTCAGTTCTATAATGAGGCTGGACTGGCAAAGAATCAGGCAGATTTCCAGCAGGAAGGGGCGTCAGATGGTACCAGATCCAGAGGCCTCATCTTCCAAAGAGGAAACAGGTTGAGACATCCACGAAGGGATTCATGGGCAGTTCTGGATCTGGATCCGGAGAGGCAGGTGAGTGAGGTCACTGGGCCCAGAGCTTCCTCATCTCAGAGCTGAGACAGCACGCAAACAAACGCCTCCAGGAACCCTCAGCTGAGCCAGAAGGAAGTGACTGTCCTGGGCTCAGAACGCTGAGGTCTCCTCTTCATGCCTGAACCCTGAGAGTGATCAGCAGAGTGAAAGAACAGGCAGATTCTGCGGAGGAAACTAAAGCCGGGCCTTTGTTGCTCTTGCAAGCTTCTCTAGCACTCAGCCTGTCAAGCAGCGTCCCCTCCAGAGGGAATGTTTTCTCATTTTCAGTCAATTGGTAGATTTTCCCCACACTTCCCCCACTTTTTTGAAGTCTGAAATCTGGGAAATTTTCTTTTCTAGTTGATGCTCAGCCCTATGAAATGACAGGGCAGGGTTTTCCCTGTCCCTTCCCAGCAGCCACTGGGCAGGCCCTGACAAGCTCAACCTGCAGCTCAAGGGAGCCACCCGGGGCTCCTGGGCATGGCGGGGTCATCAGCGTCCAAGGGCCCAAAGCCAGGCTGCAGAGGTCCCATGCGCCAGCTGACCGTCCCTTTAACACAAAACACAAAACACTGTCCCCGTTTCTGATTTCATTTTTCAAACCTACAGAAAATTTGAAAAAATAATCAAGTGGGCTGGGTGCGGTGGCTCATGCCTGTAATCCCAGCACTCTGGGAGGCTGAGGCGGGCGGATCACAAGGTCAGGAGATCCAGACAATCCTGGCTAACACGGTGAAACCCCGTCTCTACTAACAATATAAAAAATTAGCCGGGTGTGGCGGCGGGCGCCTGTAGTCCCAGCTACTCGGGAGACTGAGGCAGGAGAATGGCATGAACCCGGGAAGCGGAGCTTGCAGTGAGCCGAGATTGCGCCACTGCACTCCAGCCTGGGCGACAGAGCGAGATTCCATCTCAAAAACAAACAAACAAAAAAATCAAGTGAACACCTGCAAACCCTTCAAAAGGTATTCACCAAGTAGTACCTTTTCTCCATAGCTTTCCTTATTTTTATTCACATATTATTATTATTATTATTCTCTGAGACAAGCTCTTGCTCTTTTGCTGCCCAGGCTGGAGTGCAGTGGCCTGATCTTGGCTCACTGCAGCCTCAACCTCCCCAGCTTAAGCGATCCTCCCACCTCAGCCTCCTGAGTAGCTGGAACCACAGGCACGCACTACCAAGCCTGGCTCATTTTTGTATTTTTAGTAGAGATAAGGTCTCACTAAGTTGCCCAGGCTGGCCTTGAACTCCTGCCCAGGAGGTCTCAAGTGATCCGCCCGCCTCAGCCTCTGAAAGTGCTAGGATTACAGGTGTAAGCCACCGTGCCCAGCCTAATTTTGTCTTTTGACACTCCTAAGAAAACATTTATTCAATAATATGGGCTGGTATATAACCCATAGGTAAGTGACCCCAGTTGTTTGAAAATTGTCTCCTTTTGTTTTGTTTTCTTTTGTTTTGTTTTTGAGACGGAGTTTCACTCTCTTCTCCCAGGCTGGAGTGCAATGGCATAATCTCGGCTCACCGCAACCTCCGCCTTGCGGGTTCAAGCAATTCTCCTGCCTCAGCCTCCCGAGTAGCTGAGACTACAGGCACCCGCCACCACGCCCAACTAATTTTTGTATTTTTAGTAGAGACAGGGTTTCGCCATGTTGGCCAGGCTGGTCTCGAACTCCTGATCTCAGGTGATCCACCCATCTCGGCCTCCCAAAACGCCGGGATTACAAGCATGAGCCACCGTACCCTCCCGGTGTCCATCAAATATTGATGGAATGAGTGAATGAACAAACGTATTCTTGGACAGTGGCTTAATTGGACATGGACACACTAGAGAGGTGTGTGACTTTTTTAGAAGATCAAAGGCTCTGGGCACTCATTGTGTAACCACCCAATGGGCTCACCTTGCCCGCTGCCCAGAGCCGATTGATCAAGTTAGGGGAATTGCAATGGAGAGAGCAGACTGTGAGGGAGACAGGAGTTTTACTATTACTCAAATCAGTCTCCCGGAGCATTCAGGGATCAGAGTTTTTAAAGTTAATTTTGTGGATAAGGGCTTGGGAAGTGGGGAGTGCTGATTGGTCGGGTTGGAGATGGACTCACAGGGGGTTGAAGTGAGGTTTTCTTGTTGTCTTCTGTTCCTGGGTGTGAGGGCTGAACTGGTTGAGTCAGATTACCTGAATGGGTGGTATCAGCGGATGCAGGGTCTCCAAAACATCTCAAGCACTGATCTTAAGTTTTACAATAGTGATGTTATCCCCAGGGGCAACTGGGGAGGTTCCGATTCTTGGAGCCAGAGGCTGTTTGACCCCCTAAACTGTAATTTCTAATCTTGCAGCTAATTTGTTAGTCATGCAAAGGCTGACAGGTCTCCAGGCCAGAAGGGGGTCTTTTTGGGAAAGGGCCATTATCAATTTTCTTTCAGATTCAAACCACAAACTTGTCTACAAAAAGAGTTAAACTCTGTAAAATATCTGAAGAGATTTATTCTGAGCCAAATATAAGTGACCATGGCCCGTGACACAGCCCCCAGGAGGTCCTGAGAACATGTGCCCGAGGTGGTTGGGGTACAGCTTGGTTTTATAGATTTTAGGGAGGCATGAGACGTCAATCAAATACATTTAAGAAATACATTGGTTTGGTCCAGGAAGGTGGGACATCTCAAAGCAAGTTAGGGGGGCAGGGTGGGCGGTGCCAAGCTATAGGAAAAATTTTTTTGTTTTGTTTTTTTTTTTTTTGGAGACAGAGTCTCTGTCGCCCGGGTTGGAATGCAGTGGTGCAATCTTGGGCTCACTGCAACCTCCACCTCCCTGGTTCAAGCGATTCTCCTGCCTCAGCTTCCCTAGTAGCTGGGCTTACAGCTACTACTGTGTTGCTGGAATATTGCAACCATTTGCAACCAATTGGTTGAATTTGTCTAAAGACCTGGGATCATAGAGAAAAATGTTCAGGTTAAGATAAAAGATTGTGGAGACCAAGGTTATTTTGAAGTCTTATAGTGGCTGCCCTTAGAGACAATAGATGACAAATGTTTCCTTTTCAGACCTCTAAAAGGCGCTAGACTCGCCGGGTGCGGTGGCTTATGCCTGTAATCCCAGCACTTTGGGAGGCCGAGGTGGGCAGATCACTTGAGGCCAGGAATTCGAGACCAGCCTGGCCAACATGGTGAAACAGCATCTCTACTATAATACAGTATTAGTCGTTCAGGGTGGTGCATGCCTGTAATCCCAGCTACTTGGGAGGCTGAGGCAGGAGAATTGCTTGAACCCGGGAGGCAGAGGTTGCAGTGAGCCGAGATCCCACCATTGTCCAGCCTGGGTGACAGAGCAAGACTCCATCTCAAAATAAATAAATAAAATAAAACGCGCTAGACTCTCAGTTAACCTCTTCAGGACTGAGGGGGCCTGGCAGAGAAAGATCTAGCTGTGTTGCTAGAGATTCTTCACAGATGCACATTTTCCCCCACAAAGGACGATTTGCAGGGCCATTTCAAAATATTGCAAAGAAACATGTTTTGGGATAAAATATTTTGATTTTCTTCTTTGTCACGTAATGTTATGCCAGAGTCAGATTGGAAAGTAAGTCATGATATATAAGGTTAAATAAGACCCATCGGATGAGAATTTCTGGTTTCCAGGGCATAACTCCCCAGGCCCCTTAGATAGGAATGGGCAAGAAAAAGAAAATCAGGCCGGGCGCGGTGGCTCACGCCTGTAATCCCAGCACTTTGGGAGGCCAAGGCGGGTGGATCACCTGAGGTCAGGAGTTCGAGACCAGCCTAGCCAAAATGGTGAAACCCCTGTCTCTACTAAAAATACAAAAAATTAGCTGGGCGTCGTGGCGTGTGCCTGTAATCCCAGCTACTTGAGAGGCTGAGGCAGAAGAATTGCTTGAACCCGGGAGGCGGAGGTTGCAGTGAGCTGAGATCACATCACTGCACGGCAGCCTGGGCAACAGAGCGAGAGTCCATCACAAAAAAAAAAGAAAGAAAAGAAAAAAGAAAAAAAATCAGAGTTTAGTTCTCAAACTGAATTGCTTCCCAAAGTTAGTTTGGCCTCCACCCAGGAATGAACAAGGACAGCTTAAATGTTAGAAGCAAGATGGAGTCGGTTGGGTCTGATCTCTTTCACTGTCTTAATTTCCTCTGTTATAGTTTTTGCAAAGGCGGTTTCAATTCAGTCCTGAGAAAGCGACCAGCACGGATCCCACGAAAGCAGCAGGAGGATGTGGGTCCCCAATGGAGTGGAGGCCTGGAAAGAGGGGACATGGGTGACGAGTCTTCGATACTGGAAGGGCAGCCTACCTGAGAGGAGCTGTTGAGGCCCCAGCCATGCCGCCCACAGTCGAGGGTGCCCTGCAGGCCTCTGGCCCCCAGGAAGGCAGGGCAGGAGTCCTGCATCCTTGCCCAGCATGGCGGCCAGAAAGGTGAGAGCCAGCAGCCGCGGGCAGAGCCACAGGCGCGCTGCAGAGCCCGCTCCCAGGGCTGGGTCGGGTTTTTATTCTCTTCCCTCACACTCACCTCCAGTTCACTTTCTGATTCAGAGAATTGACGACGTGCACCTGCGCTGCCCCATGCAGCTCTGCCGCCTCACTCTCCATCCCCAGAGATGCTCAGCCTTCGGCGTGGTGGCACACAGTGGGCTTCCAATTGTTAAAAGAGGTTAAAGGTCACGGCAGTAACACCCAAGCCAGGGATACATGTGCAGCGGTAGGTTGCTCATCTGGCCATTAGCTGGATGGACACACGATGTGTGCTTACTGGAGGCAGGAGGCAGTGGACACAGGCACATAGCCTGCCTCTCCGGACCGGCTCGGCGAGATGCTTTCCTCACTTTAGGGCACGTACAACTCGGGGCAGTTCACGAGAGGGAGGCTCTTTTAAGTAAATCCAGACGTAATCGATACATTTTACTGATGACTTAACAGAAATTATATCAGAAAAAATGGACATTGTTGAAATAATTCCAATTTAGGAAGGCCATACTTTATTTTTTTGGAGACAGGGCCTGATTCTGTCACCCAGGCTGGAGTGCAATGGTGCGATCATGGCTCAGCCTCAACCTCCCAGGCTCAGGTGATTCTCCCACCTCAGCTTCCTGAGTAGCTAGGACTACAGGTGTGCGCCACCACACCTGGCTAATTTTCTGTATTTTTTTTGGTAGCTAGGTTGCCCAGGCTGGTCTCAAACTCCTGGGCTCAAGCAGTCCTCCCACCTCAGCTTCCCAAAGTGCTGGGATGACAGGCATGAGCCACCGTGCCCAGCCAGGCCATACTTTAAATAAGATTTGTTAAATAAAGTTTATAGGAGGTGTCATGAGCCGTGCAAGGTTGGAGATAACCAGGTCCTTGCATGTTTTGTCTTTCCACAGTGTCGGGCTTCTACTGATGCTGCCTCAATCACAAAAACCATGAGCTCCATGGAGTTCGTAAGGAGACAGTTCTCCTCACCACTTCCTGGTGAGTCCGTGGTCAGAGACGTGGGCACACAGGCTCAAGCCTCTCCACAGATCAGTCAATGTTGCAAACTGAACACGATAGTGTACTTTTTTTCTTGTTTTTTTTTCTATTTTATTACTGTTATTTAAAAAATAGAGACAGGGTCTCACTACATTGCCCAGGCTTGTCTCAAACTCCTGGAATCAAGCAATCCTCCCGCCTCAACCTCCCAAAGTGCTGGGGTTACAGGCGTGATCCACCGCACCTGACCTGTAATAGTATACTTAATCAATATAGAAATGTTATAGGTTAAACATTCCACAACTTTTTTTTTTTTTTTTTGAGACAGAGTCTCACTCTGTGGCCCAAGCTGAAGTGCAGTGGCATGATCTCGGCTCACTGCAACCTCTGCATTTTTAGTAGAGATGGGGTTTCACAATGTTGGCCATGCTGGTCTCAAACTCCTGACCTCATGATCTGCCCACCTCGGCCTCCCAAAGTGCTGGGATTACAGGTGTGAGCCACCGTGCCTAGCCTCCACATTTAAGTAACATTTAAAATCAAGAGGAAACGGAGGACCAGGCATGCTGGCTCACACTTGTAATTCCAGCACTTCAAGAAGCTGAGGCAGGTGGATCACTTGAGGTCAGGAGTTCGAGACCAGCCTGGCAAATATTGTGAAACCCCGTCTCTACTAAAAATACAAAAATTAGCCAGGCATGGTAACATGTGCCTGTAATGCCAGCTACTTGGGAGGCTGAGGCAGGAGAATCACTTGAACCTGGGAGGTAGAGGTTGCAGTGAGCTGAGACTGCACCACTGCACTCCAGCCTGGGCCACAGAGTGAGACTCTGTCTCAAAAAAAAAAAAAAGGAAAAAGAGGCAGCTAGGCAGGGTGGCTCACATCTGTAATCCCAGCACTTTGGGAGGCTGGGGCAGGATGTTCACTTGCGCTCAGGAGTTCAAGACCAGCCTGGACAACTTAGTGAGACCCTGTCTCTTTTTAATTTTTATTTTAAAAATAAAAAGAAATAAAGAGGAGCCAGGCACAGCAGCTCGTGTCTGTAATCCCAGCACTTTGGGAGGCCGAGGCGGGTGAATCACCTGAGGTCAGGAATTTAAGACCAGCCTGGCCAACATGGTGAAACCCCAACTCTACTGAAAATACAAAAATTATCTGGTCATGGTGGTGAGCTCCTGTAATCCCAGCTACTCGGGAAGCTGAGGTAGGAGAATTGCTTGAACCCGGGAGACAGACATTGCAGTGAGCCAAGATCACGCCACTGCACTCCAGCGGGGTGATAGAGCAAGACTCAGAAAGGAAGGAAGGACAGAAAGAAGGGAGGAAGGGAGGGAGGGTGAGAGGGAGTGTTAATGAACCAGTCCACAGGGCGAGAAGACAAAAGGAGTCCTGGTCTCTGCTGGGAGTGCAGTGGCAGGATCCCAAGTAGCTGGGATTACAGGCTGGAGTGCAGCGGCGTGATCTTGGCTCACCGCAACCTCCGCCTCCTGGGTTCAAGCGATTCTCCTGCCTCAGCCTCCCGAGTAGCTGGGATTACAGGCGCCCGCCACCACGCCCAGCTAATTTTTGTATTTTTAGTAGAGACGGGGTTTCTCCATGTTGGTCAGGCTGGTCTTGAACTCCCCACCTCAGGTGATCCGCCCACCTCAGCCTCCCAAAGTGCTGGGATTACAGGCACGAGCCAGCGCACCCAGGCTTATTTATTAAGCAAAATGCCTCATCCTTGTTGGCAGAGTTCCCCATGAAATAGAAAATGGAGTCTTTTTCCAAGATGGAGTTCGTTGTTTTTGTTTTTTTGAGACAGGGTCTCGCTCTGTCACCCAGGCTGGAGTGCAGTGGCACGATCTCGGCTCGCTGCAGCCTCTGCCTCCCGGATTCAAGCAATCCTCTCACCTCAGCCTCCCGAGTAGCTGGAATTACAGGTGTGCGCCACCCCGCCTGGCTAAGTTTTGTATTTTTAGTAGAGACAAGGTTTCACTGTGTTGCTCGGGCCAGTCTCAAACTCCTCAAGTGATCCGCCTGTCTCGGCCTCCCACAGTGCTGGGATTACAGGTGTGAGCCCCCGCCTGGCTTCAAGATGGAGTTAGTTATGTCAAGGCTGCACTATACAGGAGTGCACTGGTTTGGCCTGAGCTCCTGCTCTAGGCCTGGTAGACCAGCCCAAAACACAGCCACTCATGCTAGAGTTCCACGTCACCAAGCCAAAACTAACTTGTTCATCTCACCTTCCAGGAAACCAGGAGACAGGGAATAGCCCCAAGCCAGCCAGGTCTTGCCAGCATGATGAGGAAGTCCCCTCTGCTGGAACCTTCCAAGGAAAACCTCTTGGAAATGACCAATCTGCTTTTTGTTCTGTGTCTGCCTCCTCAGCCCCTTTCTGTTTACAGAACCAACCTCCTCTACCCAGCACGCAGGAGCCCTCGTTCTGTTTTATAGAATGGGGTGTTTCCCAGTTCTAGAATTGCAAATAAAGCCAAGTTTGTGGTAATTTTGTCTCTATCAAATTGAAAACAAGGAAACTTTCATTCTTTTTAATCTGGTACTTTTCCTCACTTCAGAGTGAAATAGTTTCAAATGGAAAAATCATGGCAATGATGCCTTCCATTCATAGGAAATGCAATCATAATGCTCTCATTGTTATTCTGCCAGTGGTGACAACTGCTCCTTGTGTGCTGTTAATGGAAGGGAACAATGGCTCCCATTCTGCGGGGCCTCAGGTGATCTAGGTAAGATGAACTAACCTGAGAGGCAAGGAAACCTCTCGTGTGGCTCTCACTCCACCAAGATACCAGATTGTGGCTGCTGGACCGACTCTGCATTCCTTTCCCTTTAGATTTATAATTTCAGTATGGGTCTCAGCCTTCTCCTCCACCAGCCGTAACATCCTCACTTCCTAGGCTCCCAGCCTCATTCATTTCCCAAATATTTATGTTATTACCACAATTTATGAGTCATGACTGTGGAGTCAGACAGAGCCCTGAACCCAGTTGGAGAATCTTTAAATACCTGAAGTTCCAAAGAACTGCAAATGCATCTGAAGCTGCGGAGAAATTTAACCGCAATCTTTGGGGGATGGCGGGGCTGGCCTCCCCAGAATGGCTGGACGATCTGAGAGCCATCTCCGTGTCCCTGATCAGGTGGTGGGTGCTCCCTGGTCTCGACCAGGGGTCTTTCTGGTCACTAGAGAACCCAGGGTACTGGGACGGAAACCTCAGCCCATTCGAGTTGGAAAGCATAACTTTTCCAAGTGGAAACTGCCAGTGTCCTCCAGGGAGCATCTTCCCTTTGTTCTTCAGAACTAAGCCCTGGGTTCTAGGTTCTTGGCTGGCATTGCTTGTGGCTGGGTGTGGCCACAGAACGAGGTCAGGCCCAGGGTTGAGCGTGATGCAGCAGAGGCCCATGTTTCACTGATTCTTCCCCTCCTGCAGCCTGAAATGTACAGTTGGGTCCCGAAGCCCCGGCCCTGTGTGAGCAGGGCTGCTGCCCAAGCCTCACCTACCTCCCTGCAGCTGTCTGGGTGAGAGAGGCAGGGACCGCAGTGTTAGGTGGGCTCCTGGTACCACGGGTCTCCGCTACTCACAGGTGGCCCCGTGTGTCCTACAGTGGGAAAGACCTCGCGATGAAGGAAAGTTAGGATCGAGTGTGGAAATGACAACATGACATGAGCTCGGAAAGGGCCAGCCCCTGTGACGAGTGCTGGGCAAAGAGAATTTACAACAAGCTGTCCAGCTGGAGGGAGGAAAAGCCTGTGCTTCCTTCCACCCCTGCTGGTTCTTTGGCTGGTCTAGGAATTAAATTGACATAGAACGGATTTAACAGGTGAAAATCATTCTAATTCCACACACATGCCTGGGAGTACTGTCAGAGGCATTTCACCCAGAGCGACTCCATCTGGAACAGGGGCTGGTAAAATGAGGCTGACACCTACTGGGCTGCATTCCCAGGAGGGTCAGCATTCCAAGTCACCAGATGAGATAGGAAGTGGCACAAGATACAGGTCACAAAGGCCTTGCTGATGAAACAGGATGCGGTAAAGAAGCCACCTAAGGCCGGGCGCGGTGGCTCACGCCTGTAATCCCAGCACGTTGGGAGGCTGAGGCAAGCGGATCAACTGAGGTCGGGAGTTCGAGACCAGCCTGACCAACATGGAGAAACCCCGTCTCTACTAAAAATACAAAATTAGCCGGGCGTGGTGGCGCATGCCTGTAATCCCAGCTACTAGGGAGGCTGAGGCAGGAGAATCGCTTGAACCCGGGAGGCAGAGGTTACAGTGAGCCAAGATCGTGCCACTACACTCCAGCCTGGGCAACAGAGCGAAACTCCATCTCAAAAAAAAAAAAAAAAAAAAAAGCCATCTAAAACCCACAAATACCGAGATGAAAGTGATTTCTGGTTGTCCTCACTGCTCATTATATGCTAATTTTTTTTTTTTTTTTTTTGAGACTGTGTCTCGCTCTGTCGCCAGGCTGGAGTGCAGTGGCGCGGTCTTGACTCACTGCAACCTCCGCCTCCTAGGTTCAAGCGATTCTCCTGCCTCAGCCTCCCAAGTAGCTGGGATTACAGGCACCTGCCACCATGCCTGGCTAATTTTTGTATTTTTTTTGAGACGGAGTCTTGCTCAGTCGCCCAGGCTGGAGTGCAGTGGTGCGATCTCAGCTCACTGCAAGCTCCGCCTCCCGGGTTCATGCCATTCTCCTGCCTCAGCCTCCTGGGTAGCTGGGACTACAGACGCCCACCCACCACGCCCGGCTAATTTTTTGTATTTTTAGTAGTGACGGGGTTTCACTGTGTTAGCCAGGATGGTCTCCATCTCCTGACCTCGTGATCCGCCCGCCTCGGTACCCCAAAGTGCTGGGATTACAAGCGCGAGCCACCGCACCCAGCCTCATTTTTGTATTTGTTTTCACCATGTTGACCAGGCTGGTCTTGAACTCCTGACCTCGTGATCCACCTGCCTCGGCCTCCCAAAGTGCTGGGATTACAGGAGTGAGCCACCTCCCCAGCCCATTATATGCTAATTATAACACATTAGCTGCTAAAAACCACTCCCGCCATTGCCTTGACAGTTTACAAATGCCATGGCAACGTCAGGAAGTTACCATATATGGTCTAGAAAGGGGAGGAACCCTCAGTTCCAGGAACTGCCCACCTCTTTTGAAGAAAACTCATGAATAATCCACCCCTTTGTTTAGCACATAATCAGTAAATAACCATAAGTATTCTTACTCAGACAGCCTAAGCTGCTGCTCTGCCTATGGAGTAGCCATTCCTTTGCTTTCCTAGTAAACTTGCTTTCACTTTACTCTATAGATTCACCTCAAATTCTTTCTTGCGTGAGATCCGGGAACCCTCTTTTGGGGTCTGGATCAGGACCCCTTCCTGGTATAGTTCCGCAGAGCTATAAGAAGCAAAGAAGGGCTGGATGACGGAGGCCTGGATGGCATTCTGAGCTACAGAAAGGAAGAGGAGTTGGGGTTTCTGGGTGTGATGGAGACAAGTTTTGGGGTGGTCCAGGAAGAATGGGTCTGGTGAACAAACGTTGCCTTGTTATGCGGAAGAAAGCCTGCAGGTGATGGGAGCAGATAATTCAGAAGCAGGGGACCGAGAAACCCAAGTCTGTCCGACGAGCAGGTGAGATGCTCACACAGCTGGTGCAGCCCTCAAAGCGCAGTCAGAGGTGTGGCCGTGAAGCGGAGTGGACAAACCAGGAGGTGGAAGCTGGTTGGAGCCTCGGGCGAGGGAGAGTTCACCTAGTTAGAGTGGCGGGGCCTCCCAAAGTGCTGGGATTACAGGCATGAGCCGCCGCGCCCGGTCAGAAAGTACATTTTTAAGAAACTCCTTGGTTGTAAAATATGACATAATTGGTCTGAGGCTACTGATGGCCAGTGTGGACCTGCACACACTCTGCTGCCTACCCTCCGGAGATGGGATGGAACAGAACCATAGTATATGTGCAGAATCGACTTTTCAAAGTTTGGGAAAATTCCGAGTTCCAAAGCACATTGGGTCCCAAGAGTTTCATGAAGGAGCTGTGGCTGCACACAGCTGGTGTCTTGTTTGGCAGATGTCGGACCTGAGGCTCTGTGTGGCCCTGGCCCAACCTCCTCTCCACGTGCATTTACTGGGATGCTGACTTAGAGAGCTGTGCTGGGTTGAGCTTTCCTAGTGGATTCAAGTCCACCAGGGCTCAGCGGGACGTCTTCAGAGACAGATGGGTTTTCTTTAACCCTATATAACGTGACTTACTTTCCAATCTGACTCTGGCATAACATTACATGACAAAGAAGAAAATCAAAATATTTTACCCCAAATCATGTTTCTTTGCCATATTTTGAAATGGCCCTGCAAAGCATCCTTTGTGGGGGAAAAATGCATCTGTAAAGAGTCTCTAGTAACATAGATCTTTTTCTTCCAGGCCCTCCCAATCCTGAAGACAGTAACTGAAAGTCTAGCACCTTTTAAAGATCTGAACAGGAAACATTTGTCATCTTTTGTCTCTAAGGGCAGCCGCGATAGATTCAAAAAAACCTTGGTCTCCACGGTCTTTGTGTGTGTGTGTGTGTGTGTGTGTGTGTGTGTGTGTGTGATGGAGTCTTGCTCTCTCGCTCAGGATGGAGTGCAGTGGCACGGTCTCGGCTCACTGCAACCTCTGCCTCCCAGGTTCAAGCAATTCTCCTGCCTCAGCCCCTCCCTAGTAGTTGGAATTACAGGTGCACGCCTCCACGCCTGGCTAATTTTTGTATTTTTAGTAGAGACAGGGTTTCACCATGTTGGCCAGGCTGGTCTTGAACTCCTGACCTCAAGTGAAACTCCTGCCTCAGCTTCCTAAAGTGCTGGGATTACCGGTGTGAGCCACTGCACCCACCCAACAATCTTTTATCTTTTTTTTTTTTTTTTTTTTGAGACAGAGTTTTGCTCTTGTTGCCCAGACTGGAGTACAGTGGCACGATCTTGGCTCACTGCAACCTTCCACCTCTGAGTTCAAGCGATTCTCCTGCCTCAGCCTCCTGAGTAGATAGGATTACGGGCATGTGCCACCACATCCGGCTGATTTTATTTATTTTTATTTATTTATTTTTTGAGACAGAGTCTCACTCTGTGGCCCAGTCTGGAGTGCAGTGGCATGATCTCAGCTCACTACAACCTCCATCTCCTGGGTTCAGGTGATTCTCCTGCCTCAGCCTCTCTAGTAGCTGGGATTACAGGAATGCACCACCACGCCCGGCTAATTTTATATTTTTAGTAGAGACGGGGTTTCACCATGTTGGTCAGGCTGGTCTCGAACTCCTGGCCTCAGGTGATCCACCTGCCTCAGCCTCCCAAAGTGCTGGGATTACAGGCGTGAGCCACTGCGCCCGGCCTACAATCTTTTATGTTAACCTGAACATTTCCTTTCTGTCGATCCCAGGTCTTTAGATAAACTCAACCAATTGTCAACCAGAAAATGTTTAAACTTACCTATAGCCTGGAAGCCCCCGCTTTGAGTCGTCCCTCCTTTCTGGACCAAACCCAAGTCTCTCTCTCTCTCTCTCTCTTTCTCTCTCTCTCTTTCTTTTTTTTTAGACGGAGTTTCGCTCTTGTCACCCAGGCTGGAGTGCAGTGGCACAATCTCGGCTTGCTGCAACCTCTGCCTCTCGGGTTCAAGCGATTCTCCGGCCTTAGTCTCCTGAGTAGCTGGGATTACAGGCGCCTGCCACCACGCCCAGCTAATTTGTTTGTATTTTTAGTAGAGACGAGGGTTTCACCATGTTGGCCAGGCTGGTCTCGAACTCCTAACCTCAGGTGATCCACCCGCCTCGGCCTCCCACAGTGCTGGGATTACAGGCGTGAGCCACTGCACGCGGCCAAAGTATTTCTTAAATGCATTTGATTGATGTCTCATGCCTCTCTAAAATGTATAAAGCTGCGCCCCAACCACCTTGGTTCCATGTTCTCAGGACCTCCTGAGGGCTGTGTCATGGGCCATGGTCACTCGTATTTGGCTCAGAATAAATTTCTTCAAATATTTTACAGTTTGACTCTTTCTTTGACATTTCCTATATGTGTGTGGTTCTTGGAATTATTTTTAAACCAGTTGTAACATCTGAACGAGTTACATGAAATCTTTTAACACATGCTCATTTTATATCTGTATGAATCACGACTATATTCTTTTTAAAAGTTATCTTTTGCTGGGGTCGAGGGTGGTGGCTCCTGCCTGTAATCCCAGCACTTTTGGAGGCTGAGGCAGGAGGATTACTTGCTGCCAGGATTTCCAGACCAGCCTGGGCAATATAACGAGACCCCATCTCTACAAAAAAAATTTAAAAATTAGCTGAGTATGGTGACGCGTGCCTGTAGTCCCAGCTACTCAGGAGGCTGAGGTGGGAGAATCTCCTGAGCCCAGGAGGCTGAGGTTGTAGTGGGCCGTGAGTGCACTACTGCACTCCAGCCTGGAGACAAGGCGAGACCCTGTCTCAACTTAAAAAAAAAAAAAAGAAGTTATCTTTTACTATCTCCTAAAGTTAAATTCCTAAAACAGAATTGCCAGGAGTGTAGGATGACTGTGTGAGCCCGGGAGCTTGAGGCTGCAGTGTGTTAAATTGATTAGGTGTCCATGCTAAATTCAGCATCAATATGGTGACCTCTGGAAGCTGGGGGCCACCAGGTTGCCCAAGGTGGGGTGAACGAGCCCATGTCAGCGGGGAACAGGAGCAGGTTAAGAGCTTCTGTGCTGACCATGGCCAGTGCCCTCCAGCCTGGGCAACATCACCAGACCCATCTCTAAAATATGAAAAGCAGGCCGGGCGCAGTGACTCATGCCTGTAATCCCAGCACTTTGGGAGGCCAAGGTGGGCGGATTACAAGGTCAGGAGTTCAAGACCAGCCTGGCCAATATGGTGAAACACCGTCTCTACCAAAAATGCAAAAATGAGCCAGGTACGGTGGCACATGCCTGTAGTCCCAGCTACTCAGGAGGCTGAGGCAGAAGAATCGCTTGAACCCGGGAGGCGGAGGTTGCAGTGAACCGAGATCCCACCACTACACTCCAGCCTGGGCGACAGAGTGAGACTCTGTCTCAAAAAGAAAAAAAAAAAAGAAAGAAAGAAACCTTGGGCTATGCTGGGCACACTGTCTACGAGGAGGACCTACCCCACAAGGAGCAGTAAAACAAAACAAAAACAACAACCACCTCAGATCCATCACAGGCTCTCCCCTTCTTCCACTTTGTCCCCGTGCACCTGCCTATGTTGGACAATTCATATGAAAGGAATCCATCTCTCTTTTCCTTTGCGACTAATTTGAATGTTATTTGATACAGCAGCATCCACATAGATTTGCAATCAGTAGCATATGTCAGTGTGAGAGACGTGACAATCAATACTCAGAGGAAGACATGCATCGTCTTTGACCTAACAATTCCACTGACAGGAACGTCTGCAGATCCATTTGCAGGAGTAGACAAAGTGAAACACATTAAATATATGCCGGGACACGCTCTGCAGCCATGGTGAGAGTGGCAGAGACTGCAGCTACCCTAAGCACTAATTCCTAAGGAACTGATGAGATGGACACAGTAGGACCATGCAATGGAGACTATGCAGCAACTGAAAAGAAGGGCAGAGGCCGGGCGCGGTGGCTCATGCCTGTAATCCCAGCACTTTGGGAAGCTGAGGCGGGCGGATCACGAGGTCAGGAGATCGAGACCATCCTGGCTAACACGGTGAAACCCCGTCTCTACTAAAAATACGAAAAAATTAGCTGGGCGTGGTGGCAGGTGCCTGTAGTCCCAGCTACTCGGGAGGCTGAGGCAGGAGAATGGCCTGAATCCAGGAGGCGGAGCTTGCAGTGAGCTGAGATTGCGCCACTGCACTCCAGCCTGGGAGACAGAGGGAGACTCCGTCTCAAAACAAACAAACAAACAAACAAACAAAAAAAGAAGGGCAGATCGGCCGGGCGCAGCGGCTCGTGCCTATAATCCCAGCATTTAGGGAGACCAAGGCAGGTGGATTGCCTGAGCTCAAGATCAGCCTGGGCGACATGAGAAAAACCCATCTCTACTAAATAAAAAATAAAAAATAAAAAATACAGGGCCGGGCGTGGTGGCTCATGCCTGTAATCCCAGCACTTTGGGAGGCCGAGGCAGGCAGATCATGAGGTCAAGAGATCGAGACCATCCTGACCAACATAGTGAAACTCCACCTCTGCTAAAAATACAAAAATTAGTTGGGCATGGTGGCTCGTGCCTGTAGTCCCAGCTACTTGAGAGGCTGAGACAGGAGAATCACTTGAACCCAGAAGGCAGAGGTTACAGCGAGCCGAGATCACACCACGACACTCCAGCCTGGACGACAGAGCGACATTCAGTCTCAAAAGAAGAAGAAGAAGAAGAAGAAGATAGAGGGAGTGGCTGGGTCAGGGTTGACATGGCCTCCTCCGAGGAAGACATACTGAATGTTCCCACCAGGAGGGAGTTGGGCTCAGAAAGACAGTCGAGCCCTGGGGCTGTGCCTGGGGCTGTGCTCACCAAGCAACGCTGATGACAAGGCGGTTTCTGGGCCACCCGACACCAGGAAGTGGGCGCCTGTGCCAGGCAGCTTCCTGTGATCTGGCTGCTGTGAACTGGAACGTTGGTGGCACGGTTTACACATACTGAGTGGTTTCCCTTACTCATCTGTTTGGGGGTTTTTGTTTTCGTGTGTTTGCTCTGGTTTCCATTTCCAGTTTTTAAAATGTGTGCCTATAATAGATAAAACGCACGTTGTCAGGAAAATTCAAAGTGTGCCCTGTCTATGATGCAGACAGGCCCCTGCAATTCCACTCGAGCTACAGGTCAGTAGCCTGAACATACACATGGGAACATACAGTTTAGACGCCCCCAGAACGGCTCTTTCACTCACTAAGGCCTCGTGGACAACCTTCCAGGCAGAACAGAAGGATCTACCGTTCTTTTTTTTTTTTTTTTTTTTTTTTTTTGAGACAGAGTCTTCCTCTGTCGCCCAGGCTGGAGTGAAGTGGCGCAATCTTGGCTGACTGCAACCTCCGCCTCCCGGGTTCAAGCGATGCGATTCTCCTGTCTTCTCCTTCTTTTGACAGATTTTTGAACTTTTCCCCAGAGGCCCTGTTATGGGCAAAACAGTGCTCTCCAAGCCCTGTGTTCAAGCCCAACTCCCAGTACCCAGAATGTGACTGTACCTGGAGACAGGGTCTCCCGAGAGATCATTAAGCCAAAAGGAGGCCATTAGGGTGGGCCCTCTTCCAATCCGATTGGGGTCCTTACCAGAAGAGATCAGGATGCAGACGTGCACAGAAGGGCCACCCTGTGAGGACACAGAGGGCCAAGGGCCATCGATCAGCAAAGGGAAGTAGCCTGGGACACAGTCGTCCTGCAGAGCCACTGAGGAACCAGCCCTGCCTACACCTTGACCTTGGCCTTCCAGACTGCAGAGTGCGAGACGCTCAATCTCTTGTTTAAGCTGCCCAGTCTGTGGGATGTTGTTCTGGCAGCCCTGCGAAAGGAATTCAGACCCTCTTAGCCAAGGGGAATAAATGCTCTAAGGTTTCATATTATATATTGGAGTCATACATTTTGTTCTTGCCATCGTATATTCAGCTGTGTTGTCTTTAAATCAACATGATCTGAATTACTTGCTAGATATATGTATGTATTTTGAGACAGGATCACTGTTACCCAGGCTGGAGTGCAGTGGTGTAATAATAGCTCTCCACACACTGCAGCCTCGAACATGGGCTCCAGCGATCTTCCTGCCCCAAGTAGCTGGGAATACAGGCATTCACCACAATGCCAGGCTAGTTTTTTGTTTGTTTGTTTGTTTTTTGACAGTTTCACTCCTGTCACCCAGGCTGGAGTGTAGTGGCGTGAACACGGCTCACTGCAGCCTTGACTTCCAGGGCTCAGGTGATCCTCCCACCGTAGCCTCCTGAGCAGCTACTTTTTTGTATTTTTTAGTAGAGATGGGTTTCACCATGTTGCCCAGGCTGGTCCCAAACTCCTGGGTTCAAGCAATTTGCCAGCCCCAAAGTGCTGGGATTACAGGCGTGAGCCACTGTTCCCGGCCTTTTTTTTTTCTTGTAGAGATGAGATCTTGCTTTGTTGTCTGGGCTGGTCTCAAACTCATGGCCTCAAGTGATCCTCCTTCCCTTGTTTGTCTTTTGCAACCCTCCATAGATGTAAAAGCCATTCTTGGTTCCAGGGCCGTGACTGCTTTCAGCCTGACAGAGGCAGGACTAATGGCATTTTTATTTCCGAACAATGCAGTGGGATGTTGGTGAGTGAATACCATGTCTTTAGACCACCAGGGAAAGTGACACGGGAGCGTGTGCAACACCGGCGTGCGCTCTCCTCCCACCGCGGGTGTTTTCTCACCAGGGTTCCTGTGCAGGAGCCTCCGCGCAGGTGGACGGAGAGAAGCTGTGTGGGGGACCCCGGCCTCCCGCTCCCCTGCAGAGCAGGCCACGTGCTGGACGCTGGGGAGCCGGCCTTCCTGGGAGGTGGACCTGGGCTCCCTGACACACGTGGGAGAATTCTGCATGCGTGTGAGAGGTTCGCATCGCTGTGCTGAGGCCTCTCCCAGGGAGAGCTGCGTCTTCTCCTTTCCACACAGGCTCTGGTGCAGCTCCGGAGAGCAGGCTGGACACGTGGCGGGCGGGCTGGACGCGTCCTCCCCTTGGGACAGGAGTCCTACTCACGTTGTCGTCCAACCAAACAGCAAACAAAGCAAAACAAAAAACAGCTGGAACCTTACGGGGCCCCTAAAATGGCAGCAGAGACTCGTAGAAGCCGATCATCTGAGTCATTCCTCATTTCTCTAAGGGGTGCTTGCCCATGGAACGATGCCACCCTGAGTGAGTTGCCACATCAGCGCATCCTGGCAGGTTCCAGAGCCGTGCACGCCGCGCCCTGCAGAGCCCTGCTCAGGAATGCGCGTGGCAGGCGGTTCGCAGGGCTGCAGACTGGAGGCGGCTGAGCCTGGAATCTTCCTCCGTCCCGAGGAGCAAACCCCGGGCTCCCCCGCCCCGGACTCCTGGCCCCCGCCACGCTCAAGGCAGCCTCTGGGGCCTCGGCTGTGTGGGAAGCCACCCCCAAAGGCGACCTGCGGCCTGATGCCACTCACAGAGCACAGCGGAAATGACAGAATCTCAGACGTGGAGGGCGGCGCCGCCGGCAGGGTTAGAGCAGGGCGGAGGGTCCCACGTGGGGAGGGTCCCACGTGGGGAGGGGTGCTGGGTGCAGGGCGGGGCGGAGCCGCTCCTGTAGAGGGAGCTTGTGAGCACCCATGGGTGGTGGAGTCGTAGAGAACTAGAAGCCTCTGCACACACCACACACCACACACCACACACACCGCACAACACACACACCACACACCATACACACAGCACAACACACCACACACACCGCACAATACAAACCACACACACCACACACATCACACACCACACACCACACACACCACACAACACACCGCACACACCACACAACACACCACACACACCATACACCACACCACACACACCACACACCACACACACCACACACACCACACCACACACACAACACACCACACACCACACACACCACACCACACACCACACACACCACACACCAGACAACGCACACCGCACACCACACACCACACACACACCACATACCATGCACACACCACACACCACCCAGCATATCACACACTACCCATGACACGCCACACAGCACACACACACCACATGCCACCCAGCACACACAAACATACACAACACATGACACACCACACATAGCATACACACATCATATCACACACACCACACACAACACACCACTCCACACACACCACACACACAGCACACCACACATCACACACCAGCCAGCACACAAACACAACACGCCACACACAACACAACACACATTACACAGCACACACACACCAGGCAACACCACACACCACCACACAACACACACCACACAACACAATACACCACACACTACACACCACACACACCACACACATATCACACCCACACACACCATACACCACAGAACACACACACACCACACACCACGCAGCATTATACACCACATACCACACACTACCCAGCATGCCACACACCACACACACCACACACATATGCCACACACCACACCATACCACACCACATCACACCACATACACACACCACACCACACATACATAGAGACACATACGCAGCACACACAAGTACAAGAAACACCAGGAGGCCTGACAAGAGGCGTGGCTGTGTCTCTGTGGCCGTGCTGGCGGGAACGCCATGCGGTGATTCCGCACGACGCCACCGTGGAGGGGCCTGGGCAAAGGGCTCCGTGTGCTTTCTAGCAACCGCATGTGGACTCTTTCAATGAAAGGCTAAGAGCACAGGACCACTGTATGCGTTTCCCAGGCGGCTGTAAAATCACTGCACGTGGCTCCAAACAACAGAGGTTCCTCCTCTCACAGTCTTGGAGGCTGGGAGTGAAATTAGCGTCAGCAGAAGTGCCTCCTCCTGGAGGAAGCCTGTTCTGTGGGCGCCTCTGGCCTCTGGGGGGCGCTGGAAACCCTCGGCCCTCCCCGCTTGTGGACGCAGCCGTCCCCTCTCTGCCTGTTGTCACAGAGCCTCCTCCCTGTCCCTGTGTCTCAATTCCCTCTTCTTCTTCTTTTTTTTTTTTTTTTTTTTTTTTTTTTTTTGAGACGGAGTCTCACTCTGTTGCCCAGGCTGGAGTGCAGTGGTACAATCTCAGCTCACTGCAACCTCCACCTCCCGGGTTCAAGTGATTCTCTTGCCTCAGCCTCCTGAGTAGCTGGGATTACAGGTGCCCGCCACCACGCCTGGCTAATTTTCGTATTTTTAGTAGAGATGGGGTTTTGTCATGTTGGTTAGGCTGGTCTCAAACTCCTGACCTCATGATCTGCCCGCCTCCGGCTCCCAAAGTGCTGGGATTACAGGTGTGAGCCACCGCACCCAGCCATTTCCTTCTTCTTCTAAGAACACGATTTGGGGCCCACCCTAATCCAATACAACCTCTTCTTAACTAATTACACAGACACCAACCCTGCTTCCTAAAACGCAGAGGCACTGGGCCTTCGGCGCATCTTTTGGGGGACAATTTAACGCACAACAACCCATGTGAAGCTCATCTGCACCCACAGGGTGGCCCACGGCCCTTCAAGGCTGTCTGAACGCATCCCCACCCTGGCACCTGCAGCTGAGGGGCTCCTCACAGCGGACCTCAGCCCCTGGACGTGGCTGCCTCACTCTAAGATTTGGAAGTTCCTGAACACAGCAAGCCTTGTGGGTGAACAACAGGAGTCCTCCAAGGTAAGAAATGAAATATACGGGCTGTTCAAATGAATGAGACACAAGCTCCTGTAAATGTTCCTGAATTTATAGTGGTTTTGGAGTCCCTCAGAATTTTCTCTTTCAATAAATAACAAAATTATAACCATGACCAGTTGAGAGGACATGATAATCTCTTGATGTTAAACGTGGTTCTCGTACTCAAAATATGGAACTACCATGTTGACTGTATCTAACACCTTCAAAGGTTAAATACGATGTATGCTATAAACATCTTAGCAGGATGACCGGGCATTTGGAGGTGGGGTCTGAGGGCCTGGAGCCCATGACCGTGACCTATGACCCATCCAACCCACCATCATGGCCTTCGCTTGCCAGGCAGTGACCTCGGACCGACGGTACCTCTTCAGCCTGAGCATCTGGACAAGAAACCCTGATGGATCAGATGACACAGATCTTACATAACACAGGGAGTTTCTTCCTTAATCAAATACCCCGCCAGGAAGAGGTGCGTGTGTCCAAATCACCGGGGATATTCTCGCCCGTCAGAGCCACAGGAGGCTTTCCGCTGGATTATGTGTCTTTGTTTTTGGCTTATCAGAAACTTCCTCTGAAATCACTGGGGAATTCAGAGCCTAGGATGGGAGACGGAGAAACAGTGTTCCCCTAGGGGAATTCCCTGAGATTGGGTTATCCCCTCCTGAGAGCAGCATGGCAATCGATAACCTGAATTAGTGAAAGAAATGAACGGAAAATAAAGATCTGCTGTTCAGGCGGGGCGCAGTGGCTCACGCCTGTAATCCCAGCACTTTGGGAGGCCGAGGCGGGTGGATCACTTGAGGTCAGGAGTTCGAGACCAGCCTGGCCAAAAAGGTGAAACCTCCACTAAAAATACAAAAACTTAGCCAGACATAGTGGCAGGCGCCTGTAGTCCCAGCTACTCAGGAGGCTGAGGCAGGAGGATCACTTAAGCCCGGGAGGCGGAGGTTGCAGTGAGCTGAGATTACACCACTGCACTCCAGCCTGGGTGACAAAAAATAAAATAAAATAAAATAAAATAAAATCCGCTGTTCTCCCAAGGAGGGAAACACAAGGTGAAAGTGGTTGGGGGAGGCCAGGCGTGGTGGTTCACGCCTGTGATCCCAGCACTGTGGGAAGCTGAAGTGGGCGGATCACCTGAGGTTGGGAGTTCGAGATCACCCTGACTAACATGGAGAAACCCCCGTCTCTACTAAAAGTACAAAATTAGTCAGGCATGGTGGCGCATGCCTGTCATCCCAGCTACTTGGGAGGCTGAGGCAGGAGAATCGCTTGAATCCAAGAGGCAGAGGTTGCAGTGAGCTGAGATCGCGCCACTGCACTCCAGCCTGGGCAACAAGAGTGAAACTCCGTTTCCAAAAAAAAAAAAAAAGAAAGAAAGAAAGAAAAAGGCCAGGCGTGGTGGCTCAGGTCTGCAATCCCAGCACTTTGGGAAGCTGAGGCAAGTCGATCACATAAGGAGTTCAAGACCAGCCTGGCCAAGATGGTGAAACCCCGTCTGTACTAAAAATACAAAAATTAGCCGGGTGTGGTGGCGCATGTCTGTAATCCCAGCTACTCTGGAGGCTGAGGCAGGAGAATCACTTGAACCTGGGAGGTGGAGGTTGCAGTGAGCCAAGACCGTGCCACTGCCCTCCAGCCTGGGCAACAGAGTGAGACTCCATCTCAAAAAAAAAAAAAAAAAAAAAAAAGGCAGGGGGTTGGAAGAAGACAGCGTGGGGTAGGGAGGACGGTGGAGTCCAGGACCCCGTTCCAGCCCCAGCTGCAGGGAGGACGGTGGAGTCCAGGACCCCGTTCCAGCCCCAGCTGCAGGGAGGACGGTGGAGTCCAGGACCCCGTTCCAGCTCTGGCCGCAATCCTCGAGGCTGGGTGATATTCACATCCTTCACTCTCTCTTCACCTCAAGTCTTTGTTGTAAACTGAGAATAACCCTTTACTCATTTCACAGATATTTTTCTTGGGACTTTCACTGTGCAGGGCTTCCATAGGGATGTTGGGGTTCAATGGTTCACCAGGTGCCCACCACGGTCTCGCAGGCTGGAGGGACTCTTGAAGACTGAGTTAAGGGAAGTGGGAGTCCTGCACCCGCCCCAGAACTGGAAGGGTTCCCACTGGCTCTGGTTATGTTGTCTTAAAGCAATGGTGGCAGAGCTCTCTGAGGGCTCCGGGAGACGGGGCTCTGTTGGGAGGCTCTCCTCTCCTGAAGTGAAGGCAGATGCTGGCCGGGGCTCCCCCAGGATACCCGCTCGCAGGCCTGGCACTGGCTGCTGGGGGCCGGGCTGGCATCACATGCCTCCCCGGATGACTGGGGCTTCTCCCACCATAAGGGCTGGGCTCTAGGGGAGGGTCACCGCTGTTCAGAATCTGGTCCTCAGCTTAAAATACCCTCAGACTCCACTGTGTGGGGCAGGGCTCCCAGAAGAAAGCAGGCGTCCCCGCTTCCCTAGCCAGGGAGTCTGAGCCACTCTCGGCCACCACAGTCCAAGAATCACGGTGTCCTTGCTCTTCCTCACAGGCTGCTCCCTCTGCCTGGGGTCCCCTCCCTCCCTTCCCACCACGGCCTGTCTGTCCCCCCATTACCACTCCCTGGCTAAACCCCTCTACTTTTTCAGAGTTCAGTCTAAATAATGATCATTTCTGTAGGTTGGGTTCATCCTCATGGCACGCTGAAACCCATGCATCTCCTGCGTGGCATTCCCACGATGGCGACTGAACCCTGCTTGTGGCACTCCAGGCTCAGTGGCTGGCAGCCGTGCAGGTCCAAGCCTGGGTCCCGTATCAGCTGTGCAACTCAGACAGTCGCTGGCACACAGCAGGTGCTCAGCACAGGCTTGTCTGCTGGAAAAGAATGAAGGTACAACCACACAAGTGAGTAGGGGCTAATCGAGTCACCCTGGAGGCTCCTCTACAAGCCAGAGACCATCGCTAAGCTTACAACTGGCAAGAGAAATTGCAGCCAAGGCCAGGTGAGGTGGCTCATGCCTGTAATCCCAGCCCTTCGGGAGGCCAAAGCGGGAGGATAACCTGAGGTCCGGAGTTCAAGACCAGCCTGGCCAACGTGGTGAGACCCCCGTCTCTACTAAAAATACAAAAAAAAATTAGCCTGGCATGGTGGCAGGCGCCTATAGTCCCAGCTACTCAGGAGGCTGAGGCAGGACAATCACTTGAACCTGGGAGGCGGAAGTTGCAGTGAGCTGAGATCATACCACTGCACTCTAGCCTGGGCAACAGGGTGAGACTCTGGCAAAAAAAAAAAAAAAAAAAAAAAGGCAGCCAAATGAAAGATTTTTTTTTTTTTTTAATTTTGAGATGGAATCTCACCCTGTCACCCAGGCGGGAGTGCAGTGGCACAATCTCAGCTCACTGCAACCTCCGCCTCCTGGGTTCAAGTGATTCTCCTGCCTTAGCCTCCTGAGTAGCTGGGATTACAGGCGTGCTCCACTGCATCTGGCTAATTTCTGCATTTTTAGTAGAGATGGGGTCTCACCACATTGGCTAGGCTGTTCTCGAACTCCTGGCCTCAGGTGATCTGCCCGCCTCGGTCTCCCAAAGTGCTGGGATTACAGGCGTGAGCCACTGTGCCCAGCCACAATTGAAAGTTTTTGTTTTTGTTTTTGTTTTTTTGAGATGGAGTTTCACTCTCGTCACCCAGGCTGGAGTGCAATGGCGCGATCTTGGCTCACCACAATCTCTGCCTCCCTGGTTCAAGCGATTCTCCTTCCTCAGCCTCCCAAGTAGCTGGGATTACAGGCATGCACCACCACGCCGGGCTAATTTTGTATTTTTAGTAGAGATGGTGTTTCACCACGTTGGTCAAGCTGGTCTTGAACTCCTGACCTCAGGTGATCCGCCTGCCTCGGCCTCCCGAAGTGCTGGGACTACAGGCGTGAGCCACCGCGCCCGGCCCCAGTTGAATGGTCTTAATGGCTCTTTTTGCAATTCTAGAACCAGGCACAGATCATTCTATAAAACAGAACGAGGGCTCTGGCGTGCTGGGTAGAGGAGGTTGGTTTTGTAGACAGAAAGGGGCTGAGGAAGCAGACACAGAACAAAAAGCAGATCGGTCATTTCCAAGAGGTTTTCCTTGGAAGGTTCCAGCAGAGGGGACTTCCTCATCATGCCGGCAAGACCTGGCTTGTTTGGGGCTATTCTCTGTCTCCTGGTTTCCTGGAAGGTGAGATGAACAAGTTAGTTTTGGCTTGATGACGTGGAGCTCTAGCACGAGTGGCTGCGTTTTGGTCTGTTCTGCCAGGCCTCCTGCAGGAGCTCAGGCCAGACCAGTGGCCTCCTACGAATTTTATCAAACGCGACTCAGACGATGCCGTTCAGGTGAGTGGAACGTGCACAGCGCTGCTCCCCAACTCCCTGTCCGACTTCTAAATCTCTGCACTTTCAGCCTAAACGTCTGGAGATCCGGAGAACAAGTCCTCCAAGGCGGGGTCTCCCTGAGATGGCCCCTGCAGCTGGGCAAAAGGTCCCTCCAGACCACGTGGCCCTTGTGTTGGGAGCGGAGACTCATCAGGGCGGGGAGGGCCTGAGACCGTGGGAGCAGAGGCTCGGCCGGGCAGCAGCTCTCCCTGCCCTCAGGGGGCCATGAGCTCCGCAGGCCCCAGAGCCCTGTGTGCACTTTTCACGCTTTTTCTCAGGCAAGGTTGAGAACCAAGCCCAGCACTGCCTGGTCCAGCCCCTGGGAAGGAAGGCAGGGCCGGGAGCCCCTCCTGCCGCCAGCAGCGACCCTGTCTCGGAAGGTACGTGCATCCTCCGTCCCCGCCGAGGATCTTTAGGTCTCACCTGGGGCCTCACCGGGCGCTGGGAGGGGCTGGGCCCTGGGCCTGCAGCCAGCAAAAGGTGGGGTTTGGGCTGGAACTGGGAATCCCCGTGGGCGGCCGCGCCCTGTCTGCCCCTTCACGCTGAGTCAGGGCCGGGAAGGCCAGGCCCACCCAGGGACGGGCTGTCTACGGCTCCCCTGTCCGCCCCAGCCCTCGCTGCCCTGATAGGGTGAGGCTGTGTCCTGGAGCCTGACCCAGTTCCGCCTGCCCCCGGCCTCTTCACTGGAGAGGATCAGGGTCAGGGTGCCTGGCCCACAGAAGCATGTCCAGCTCCACGCGGACACACGGGCCCTTGGTGCCCCCTCTAGAACTCCACGGTCCTGGCCTCCCCCAGGACCAGGCGAGGCCAGGCCCACTGCAGAGCTGCGTGTGCACACACCAACACACACATACATGTGTAACACATCCACACACATTCACACAGATACACACACCCTCCCGCACATATACATATACACACACGTGTAACACACCCACTCACACACCCACACACATTCACACAGATACACACACCCTCCCACACATATACATACACACACACAACACACATATTCGCACAGATACATACACCTACATTACATGTACATACATACACATGTACACACATACATACGCACAAGCAACGCTCACAGGTGCACAGGTGCACACGCTCAGTGAGCTCTCCCGGTGCTGTTGTTCACTAAAGGTTTGGGAAGGAGAAGTCTGGGTGGCAGCAAGGAAGGGACCTTAAACTGCGACACGATTTCTCCGAGGTCCTTGAGAACAGAACAGTCAGCAGGACAGGGGAGCCCTTCAGGGCCCAGGCAGCCGAGGCAATGGTCACTCATCTGTCTTTTTGGAAGCGCTCTCTGCCTCTACATGGACACGAGGAATCCATCCTTTCCTTCTTGACCCACACGGAGCCAAGGAGGGGTCTCCCTGAGTTGGTCCCCTGTAGCTGGGCCAAAGGTCCCTCCAGACCACATGACCCTTATGTTGGGAGTGGAGAATCATCGGGGCGGGGAGAGCCTGAGACTGCGCTGCTGCTGGCATTGCTGTGCTATGTGACGCCAGCCCGGGGCCCTCCCGGGTCTGCAGGCTCCAGCCTCTTGCGTGGAGACCACACTCTGCTTGTCCTGCCACGGCGGGTGGGAGGCCACTGGCCTTTGTCTTTGCTCCCAGAGCCCAGCTGGTAACACCCTTGACTTGCTCTTGGAGCCCACGTTTGCACTTTAGTGTTGAGTGATGCCAAACGCTCCTCCAGGCGCGCGGTCTCTGAAGGCCTGGCTGGAGCCCCCATCCTCCCCCATCTGCCCTGCGACCCCCCTCTGCACCCTGGCGCCCAGGTGAACACACGGCCCCCACACGCAGCCTCAGACACTGCCCTGGCCTCCTCCCCACCGCCCTCCTGCCACACCCCTGCTGGCAGGCCCCTCTGTGACCTCGGGCGGCCCGTCCCCCGGCTGGGATTCCTCCTCTGCAGAGCAGGGGCGCAGTGTCCTCCGCGGCAGTCCAGCTTCCGGCCAAGGCCCCCCGGAGTGGATTTCCAAAGCGAAATTGCCCTCCTCCTCCCCTGCCCTCCACTGGCCTCACCCCCTCCTCCGATTTTTTTTTTTTTTTTTTGAGACGGAGTCTCGCTCTGTCGCCCAGGCTGGACTGCAGTGGCGTGATCTCGGCTCACTGCAAGCTCCGCCTCCCGGGTTCACGCCATTCTCCTGCCTCAGCCTCCTGAGTAGCTGGGACTACAGGCGCCCGCCACCGCGCCCGGCTAATTTTTTGTATTTTTAGTAGAGACTGGGTTTCACCGTGTTAGCCAGGATGGTCTCGATCTCCTGACCTCGTGATCTGCCCGCCTCGGCCTCCCAAAGTGCTGGGATTACAGGCGTGAGCCACTGCGCCCGGCCCCCTCCTCCGATTTTCATCTGCTTTCACTTGGGGATCATGGTCTAAATTTTCACTTCTTGATTTTTTAAAAAATTGTGGTAAAGTTCATCTAACATAACATAAAATGCACCATCTCAGCCGTCTTCAAGCGCACAGTTCGGTGGCATGGAGCACGTTCGCACTGATGTGCAGCCATCACCTCCATCGTCCGCAGAACTTTCCATCTTCCCAAGCTGAATCTCTGTCCCCATGAAACGCTGACTCCTGTCCCCCGGCACCCCCACTCTTCTTCCTGTCTCCAGGGGTCTGAGAACTCTAGGAGCCGCATACACGGGGTCCTGCAGCGCCTGTCCCTCTGTGCCCGGCATTAGGTCCTCAAGGTGCGCCAGTGGTGGAGCAGGGACGGGGTTTCCTTCCTGCTGAGGCGGAACGATTCAGAATCTGTTCTAACTCTTCTTCCTCTGTCATTTTTCTGGACCTTGAATGGCAGAACCGCACCCCCTGGAAGGGCCCCCGGCACCCCTGCGCCTCCCCATCCCCATGCAGGCGACTGGTTCTTCCCCCAGGCTCCAGGGCTGTGAAACCAGCGCAGAGCTCCTGCTCTCAGGCTGTGTGCGTGGCCAAGAGTAACTGGGAAGCAACCGGAGCTGCACGGGTCACCCACTCGCTGCACTGGGCCGTGCAGGGATCGCCGTGTCCTAGGGGCAAAGCCTTGGCCCCACTCACAGGTGCATGGACGGTCCCCAGGACCTTTCCCTCTTCCTTCACCTGGAGGGGCCTTGGGCCACTGTGCTCACTTCCAGCCACCTGGGGGTGGCCCCAGCCCCCCCCCAGCCCCCGCAATCCTCCCAGCGCCCCCAGTCCTCTCCCCTGCCCCGAGTCTCCATGCAGCCTTGAGGCCCTGCCTCCCGGCCCAGGTGAGCACAGTCTGTGCTGTTCCTTCCCAGAACACATTTGCATGGTGCCCTGGGCACCAAAGCCCTGGGGAAGGCAGATGACTCCAGGAGGGGCTGGTGGTGCTGTTTGCAGCCACGGAAGGGTCAGATGCGGCCCCAGATGAGGCAGCGTCGGGGACAGAGGCAGCCCTGGCTTGAAAAGCTGAGCTGCAGAGTGTGCACCCCCCCCCACCCCCAAACACACACACACGCTTGTCCTGGGCCTGCCTCCTGACGCACCAGGCAAGCCTGACTGCCCCGCCTGACTCACTCCCTTCCCCTTAGGCCTCCACCTGGCTCCTGCCTTCCCACACACAGGCCCACACTGTGCTTGAGCCCCTTCCTCGGTCATCCCTGGGTGCCCCCATGCCCCCTGGGCAGGGCTAGAGCAGGCAGGTGCCTCCACCCAACCCCAGCCCCTGAGAAACGTCTCCCAGTCCCCTGGAGAAAACCGTCCTGACAGACCCAGCCCGCCCTCTGATCCCTCCTCTGCCCCAAGAGGCTCTCGTCATTCAGTCATTTACATGTGAGTGCGAACGAGCTGACCTTGCCATCTTGCTGAGACAGAGCCGCCTGTTCAGGGAAAGGCAGGTCCCCGGAGCAGGGAGGGAGGAGCTGGCATTTCCAGGAGAACCAGTCTGGGTGGGGCTCTGGGTGGAGGCCTCAGATCTTCCAGAGAAGCCCCAGGAGGTGACAGGCAGAGTGACAGGGATGGACGGGGCTGCCACGGGACGCCCCTGCTCCTTATGACTCTTGACTCTGCCGGGGTCTGGCTTTTTCCAGGGCTTTGCAAGCAGCAGCAGAGGCTACTCTCACTCTTGTCCCCGTGCCCCTGCGGATGGCAGTCGTGGGGAGGGACCCCAGCCAGTGCTTCTCTGAGATGTCTGTGTGAACTGAGGGAAGTCGGCTCTGTCCTGCCCCAGGCCAGCACTGACCACTCCTGGGCCTTGCTTCCAAATGTCTCCCCCAGTCCACTGCCTAACAAAAAGCTCCTCTGTAATCCAGCTCCACAGTGGAAGCCCAGTGGATCCTCTGGCTGGGAGGTGACTCTCCCTGGGCCTCTGGTATTTCTGTGTAGTTCTGACCAGAGCCTTTGTTTCAGGTTGTCTTTTCAGGGACGCTTGTACAGCAGACAGCCTTGGAAGAAAGAGAGAGAGTCTCACTCAGGAGCTCAGGACAGGTATGCTTACTGCCTGTTATAAAAGATTCGGGTTCTCTAACAACAGGGTCATCTCCTGCAATGCACACCGCTGCTTGCAGGGGTACCTCACCCTCTTCACATCCCCCCACAGGAGCTGGGGCTCAGGAGCCATGGTGCACGGACATGCTGGCCCTGACTCTGCACTACTGGGGGGTGATAAAGACCTTTGTATCTGACCCAGGAGTCTCGTGTCCTCTGCCTGCATTCATGAAACTGTGGGTGGCTACCTCGTTCATTCGCAAGGACCTGTGAAAGGAAAATAAATCTTGGGACCGCAAAGTCACTAAGCCAAAGGGAAAAGTCACACTGGGAACTGTCAGGCGAGCCTGCTCCCATTTTATTCCCAAATAAGACAGATACAGAGATTAAAAAAACAAAAAAGCCACACACCTCCCTCACAATTTGTGCACAAGGAAATTCCCCGTGGGGCTCAAGATCTTTACCCTAGAGCAGTTGTGTGGGATTTCACCCTGGCAATGTCAGTGGACAGCTTACCTTCACAGGTGCAGATGAAGGACAGAACTCAAAGCCATCCCTCTGCTCCCCTGAGACAAACGCATATCTGACTGCTTCCTCGGCCCTGTTGTCTCACTGAGCCAGACTAAGGCACACGTGGCCCTTCCCCTACCCCCTCTCACATGTGGATTGTGTATTCAGTGAAAGGCTGATCAGAGACTCATAGAATGCAACCATCTATTGCTTATCAACATTAACTGGAAGCCGCTGCTTCGAGTTGTCTCAAGTTGTCCTGCCTTTCTAGACCAAACCAATGTACATCTTACATATGTATATATTTTAATATTTATTTATTTATTTTGAGTTGGAGTCTTGCTCTGTTGCCCAGGCTGGAGTGCAATGGTGTGATCTTGGCTCACTACAACCTCCATCTCCCAGGTTCAAGCGATTCTCCTGCCTCAGCCTCCCAAATAACTGGGATTACAGGCACCTGCCGCCGCACCTAGCTGATTTTTGCATTTTTAGTAGAGACTGGGTTTCTCCATGTTGGCCGGGCTGGTCTGGAACTCTTGACCCCAGGTGATCTGCCCACCTCGGCCTCCCAAAGTGCTGGGATTACAGGCGTGAGCTCCTGCGCCCAGCCATCGTACGTGTGTTGATGATGTGTCTTGTTTCCCTGAAATGTATGAGAAGAAGCTGCGCCCTGACTACTTTGGGCGTGTGTCATCAGGACCTCCTGAGGACGTGTCACAGGCACACCTCAACCTGGGCAAAATATGCTTTCTAAATCGATTGAGGCTTGTCTCAGATACTTTTGGGTTCACGGACCACAAAAACTCAGGCCTTTCCCAAGACTCGACCCCCTTGGGGTGCACAATGTTCTCCCATGGGTTTTCTCTTTAGCATGTGGGCATGTACAGGAGGGCCTCACGCACACTTCATTCCAAGGTGCCAGTGAGTTATTGCCTCCTGAGCCAGCTGGACAAGAGCTGAGTGCTGGGTGTCTGTCTGGGGAAAGGGTCAGGGGTTCCAGAAGAGGACATGGAGGCCAGGGCACCAAGGAGACAGCTTCTGCCTCACGGTCTCGCTGACGGTCAGTGGACCCCACCCCACGGCCCTTCACCAAGACAAAAAGGAGAACTGGCCGGGCGTGGGGGCTCACGCCTGTAATCCCAGCACTTTGGGAGGCCGAGGCAGGCAGATCGTTTGAGGGTCAGGAGTTTGAGACCAGCCTGGCCAACATGGTGAAACCCCATTTCTACTTAAAATACAAAAATTAGCTGCGCGTGGTGGTGGGCACCTGTAATCCCAGCTACTCGGGAGGCTGAGGCAGGAGAATCGCTTGAACCCAGGAGGTTGAGGTTGCAGTGAGGCGAGATGGTGCCACTGCACTCCAGCCTGGGCGACAGAGCAAGACTCCATCTCAAAACAAACATACAAACAAAGGAGGAGAACGGCTCCTGCTGGACAAGCCTCTTGGGCTCCAGTAGGGAGGACGCTGTGGTTCGGAGCCCTGAGGTGGGCACAGCCCCTGGTGCCAGCCTTGCCTACAGGGGTGAGCACCACGGTACTGGACGTTACCCTGGAGCCCATACGCCATTTTCTAGTGCTTGAGTGTTTGCTACAAGCTATCTATCCTTGGAAATGCTGCTAAAACTTGATGTCCTCATTAAGCACAACTTCTTAGATCTCATAATGGTGAATAAACAGCTGGTAAATGCTGGAAATATTTTAAGAAAGATAAAGGCAATCCAGGGGCTCATGGCCAGATCTGTTTTATATACTGTTTATTATTTTTATTTTATTTTTATTACCTGTAAGAAACCTGTACATATACAGATCTGTTTTAAATAACACTGAACCACAGATTTATTATGAAATCTTTTTTTGTAAACAGAAAAGCCCCAAAAAGTTTAGTATGATTCCATCACAGAAAATGATTGACTCTTATCATGATGGTCAGTCAATATTACTTAAAAACATGAAAAGAACATGTTATAGGACAAATACAGACTAACGTATGATTGTGAGAATTTCTGATAATTCCCGGGAATTCTGATTTCTCCTTCCCCAATCCTGAGGGTGGAGCTGTGAGGAATCTGGGCTGACTGCAGGGTCCCACCTGCCAGGAACAAGAACAGCTCCTTCCCGAGGCCCGGTCGTCACTGTTTCCTGATCACCCGAAAGTGAACACCCAAAGCATGCAAGGAACACCTTTTGTTCCCAACAGGCCTGGAAAGAGCCCTGCCCGGCCTGCTGGGGAGGCGAGCTGTTCCTGCAACAGCTTGTAAGCAAAGCGTCTCAGTAAAACAAAAGCTCACTTCATATAGCTTCCCGTGTGGACAGCTACATCTTTGTTTGGTTCGTTTGTTTGTTTGGTTGATTGGTTTTGAGATAGGGTCTTGCTGTGTTGCCCAGGCTGGAATGCAGTGGTGTGATCAGAGTTCACTGTAGCCTCCAACTCCTGGGCTCAAGTGATCCTCCCACCTCAGCTTTCCGAGTTAGCTGGGGCCACAGGCACATGCCACCAAGCCCAGCTAATTTTTATAATTTTTAGTAGAGATGGGAGTCTCACTACATTGCCCAGGCTGGTTTCAAATTCCTGGCCTCAAGCAATCCTCCCACCTCGCTGGGCCTCCCGAAGTGCTGGGATTACAGGCAGGAGCCACCACACCGGGCCTGTAGCTGCATCTTTGAAGAACAAGCATTCCTGCCTTTCATCAGCCTCTGCCTCGAGCCCTGCCTTGGTGGGACCTGCAGGGAACCCCCGCCCAGAGACACCAGCCTGCAGAGCTGCACACCAGGAGTCTCCAGGTGTTTTGCACCAGACACTCCATTTATTTATTTATTTATTTATTTATTTATTTATTTATTTATTTATGACAGAGTTTTGCTCTTGTCACCCAGGCTGGAGTGCAGTGGCACAATTTCGGCTCACTGCAACTTCCACCTCCCAGGTTCAAGTGATTCTCCTGCCTCAGCCTCCTGAGTAGCTGGGACCACAGGCACCTGCCAGCATACCCGGCTAGTTTTTTGTATTTTTAATAGAGACATGGTTTCACCATGTTGGCCAGGCTGGTTTCTTTTTTTTAATTTTCATTTTTTGAGACAAACTTTTGCTCTTTCGCCCAGGCTGGAGTGCAATGGTGAGATCTTGGCTCACTGCAAGCTCCACCCCCAGGGTTCAAGTGATTCGCCTGCCTCAGCCTCCCGAGTAGCTAGGACTACAGGAATGTGCCACCACGCCAGGCTAATTTTTGTATCTTCAGTAGAGACGGGGTTTCACCATGTTCGCCGGCTGGTCTCGAACTCCTGACCTCAGGTGATCTACCCGCCTTGGCTTCCCAAAGTGCTGGGATTACAGGTGTGAGCCACCGCACCCAGCCCAGACACCCCTTTTAATAACAGTGCTTGCTTCTACACCGTGTGTGCAAAACCTCAGCCATGGCAAGGTTCTAACAAAGCACAGTGACTCCAAAATGTCCGCAGAAGTACTGCCCCCAAATTGGGAATTAATGTGCTAATAAAAACCCTAATTTATATAAAAAATCTATACTATGGTCAGGCCATATAGTAAATATTGATTAAAGAGGTCTCTGGGCTGGGAGGTACTGGGTGCACAGTTTGTCTGGTCTCTGCCGTTTGCGTGAATGCACACAGACACGGACGAGCCCCACAAGCGGCTCATCACCATGGGCCTCACCGGTCTCACCAGCTCGGCTGCTCTCCATGATGCTTTCCTGCAGAACTTCCTTCCTAGCCTTTCCCAGGAAGTAGATATAATTTTCTGAACCGAGAAAAATCAATGGAGAAATTCGTAAAACAGGAACAAGGAGTATAATTTTGCGAGAATTAGAACATAACAACTGCCGGCCATGGTGGCTCACAGTGTAATTCCAGCACTTGGAGAGGCTGAGGTAGGAGGACTGTTTCAGCCCAGGAGTTCAAGACCAGCCCTGGCAACACAGCACGACCCTGTCTCTACAAAGATTTCTAAAGATTAGCCAAGCATGGCAGAGTGTGGCCGAGTGGTTATGGCCTGCCTGTAATCCCAGCTACTCAGGAGGCCGAGGTGGGAGGATCCCTTGAGCCAACAAGGTCGAGGCTGCAATGAGCTGTGATTGCACCATTGCACTCCAGCCTGGGTGACAGAGTGAGACCCTGTCTCAAAGAAAAAAAAAACCCCCGTAACAACTAGCACAACATATATTGCTGTTGGAGTACTCCAGGGTGTCCAGTCAGGAGCTGGAGCAGGAAACGAGGCATGTGAGGTCAACATTTTGGGGTGGGAAGAGATGCTGCAGCAATCGGCCAGCCTGGCTCCAGGCTGTTGTCGGGGTGTATGTGTGCGATCCTGTGTCTGGTGCTAATGATGAGACCAAGTGCCATTGGCACCAGGGAGCCTGCATGCCTCCTGTAATGTCAGCACCAGGGACTCCTCACACCTCCTACGCTGTCCTCACCCTGTGTTCGAGGCTGCCTGCTCGGAGCCCTCAGGTGGGCGCTTCCAGCCCCTGGTGCCAGCCTTGCCTGTGGGAGTGAGCACCGTGGTACTGGACGTTACCCCGAAGCCTGTACGCCGTTTTCTAGTGCTCGAGTGTTTGCTACAAGCTACCTATCTTTGGAAATGCTGCTAAAACTTAATGTCCTTATTAAGCAAAACTTCTCAGATCTCCATAATCGTGAATAAAGAGCTTGATAAACATCGGAAGTATTTTAAGAAAGATAAAGGCAATCCAGTGGCTCATAGCCAGATCTGTTTTATTTATTTATTATTTTATTTTATTTATTTTAATTTTAATTTTTTTTTTGAGATGGAGTCTTGCTCTGTCACCCAGGCTGGAGTGCAGTGGCCCCATCTCAACTCACTGCAACCTCCGCCTCCCAGGTTCAAGCAATTCTCCTGCCTCAGCCTCCTGAGTAGCTGGGACTACAGGCGTGAGTCACTGCACCCAGCTAATTTTTGTATTTTTAGTAGAGACAGTATTTCACCATGTTGGTCTGGCTGGTCTGGAACTCCTGACCTCATGATCTGCCCACCTTGACCTCCCAAAGTGCTGGGATTGTAGGCGTGAGCCACCGTGCCTCGCCTATTTATTGTTTATTATTTTTATTTTATTTTTATTACCTATAAGAAACCTGCACGTGTACAGATCTGGTTTTTTTTTTGTTTTTTTTTTTGTTTTTGAGATGGAGTCTCACCCTGTTGCCCAGGCTGGAGTGCAGCGGCGTGATCTTGGCTCACTGCAACCTCTGCCTCCTGGGTTCAAGTGATTCTCCTGCCTCAGCTTCCTGAGTAGCTGGGATTACAGGCACATGCCACCACGCCTTGCTAATTTTTGTATTTTTAGTAGAGATGGGGTTTCACCATGTTGGCCAGGCTGGTCTCCAACTCCCGACCTCAGGTGATCCACCTGCCTCCACCTCCAAAAGTGCTGGGATTACAGGCTTGAGCCACCGCGCCCGGCCTCCAGATCTGTTTTAAATCACACTGAACCACACATTTATTATTAAATCTTCTTAAAATAGAAAAGCCCCGAAAAGTTTAGTATGATTCTATCACAGAAAATCGTTTACTCTTATCATGATGGCCAGTCAATATTACATAAAAACATGAAAATAACATGTTATAGGGCGAATACAGACTAACGTATGATTGTAAGAATTTCTGATAATTCCCAGGAATTCTGATTTCTCCTTCCCCAATCCTGAGGGTGGAGCCGTGAGGAATCTGGGCTGACTGCAGGGTCCCACCTGCTGGGAGTAACCACGGCTCCTTCCCGAGGCCCGGTCATCACTGTTTCCTGCTGATCACCCACCCCCCCAGCCCCGCCCCGGCTGTATTAGCCTCCTTGTTCATTCAACAAACATTTATTGCTGCTGGGTGAGGCCCTGACGTGCAGAGTGGGTGAGACTCGGGCCCTGCCTTCCAGGGGGACACGCAGGTGGGGCTGACAGGTGGGTACCGACAGCCGAGTGGAAGGGGTCAGGCGGGTTATCCGCCATGGCCCACGCAGCCCGGGGAACGCACCGAGGAAATCAGCCTTAAAGACAGGGAGGGGGTTCCCTGAGTGTGGGGTGGGGCAGGGATGAGGCCAGAGGGGAGACTCGTGCCTGGGGGAGGGTGTGCCTGGCATCGGTTCACAAACAGCCTCCGTGTGGCCAGGCCACCTCCCTGTGGGCCGCGTCCAGGCAGCACCGCAGAAGCTGCAGAAAATATTGAGACAGTTCCATTAGGTCACAGAGCCTGAGGCCCAGGCCGGGCTGCAGCCCTGATTCACCAGGGGCAGGTGCCAGGAGGAACCTTCAGGATGAGCAGCCGCCAGTCCCCTGGCCCAGCCCTAGCCCTAGCCCTGCAAATGCCAGGCGGCCAGCCTCTCCAGGTGAGTGGGGTCCTCGGGGTCCTCCCTGCAGGGCTACCACAGCTTTGGCCCAGATTCACCATCACAAATCCTCACAACAAACCTCCCATCTCCATGTCACAGAGGGGAAACTGAGGCACAGGAAGGGCTGAGGACAGCGTGCCCAAGATCAGGGAGTGATGAGCTGGGGGTCTCCTGGTTCCCAGCGGGGGGTTTCTGCCATTCCTCCCTGAACCCTCATGCTGTGGGGGCCCTGGGCCACCCAGCCCTGTGGCCAGAGGCTGATAGTCAGATCTTTGGCCTTCAGTGCCCGCAGAGGGGCCCGTCGGTTCCTGACTGCAGCTCACCTCTCCAGCCTCCCCGGAGGGGCCACACCCCTCGACGGTGCCACGGATCAAGGCCCAGCTAGGAATGTTCTAGAACCCACACGGCTTTTTGGTCCCCGCCTTTGTCCCCACCCTGGCCTCCCCTCCTGCATCCCTGAGATCCACAGAAGGCTGGACCTTTTGCTTTTTTTGAGGCTGCCTCTGGTGCCTCGGGCAGGAGTGGGTGGAGGGAGCGGTTTCAATCCCTTCCTGTTCTTCTCTGCCTCCCGCATGTTCCCAAGGCACACCACACTCAGGACCCGGAGGACTCTGCTGCCTGAGAAGCCGGCAGGACCCCTTGGTGCCCACAGCCTGGGCTGCCCGAGGGCCGCGTGAGCAGGTGAGGCAGAGGCTGCCAAGGAGGTTGGGGCCCGGAGCCGCTGGCAGGTGAGCCAACCCCGGCCTGCACCTCTGAACCATCTGCCCTCTGTCTCTGCAGTTCCTCAGAGGCTGGATGAGGCTGCATGACGCACTACCACACCGGCTATTTTTTTTTTTTTTTGAGTCTCACTCTGTGGCCCAGGCTGGAGTGCTGTGGTGCAATCTCGGCTCACTGAAACCTCCACCTCCTGGGTTCAAGTGGTTCTCCTGCCTCAGCCTCCTGAGTAGCTGGGAATACAGGTGCACACCACCACGCCCGGCTAATTTTTTACATTTTTAGTAGAGATGGGGTTTCACCACGTCAGCCAGGCTGGTCTTGAACTCCTGACCTCATGATCTGCCTGCCACGACCTCCCAAAGTGAGCCACCACTCCTGGCCCAATTTTTTTATTTTTGTGGAGACAGGGTCTTGCTGTGCTGTCCGGCTGGTCTTGAACTTGAGGCCCCAGGCCATCCTCCGGCCTTGGTCTCCTAACGTACTGGGATTAGAGGCCTGAGCACCTGACCCCTGGTGTTTTTGTGTGCCGGCCTTTTCTCGGGGGTCAGGCCTAAGTCCTTCGGGACAAGAGCGGGTTCTCTTCATCAGCACAGAGCTGAGTGCGGAGTCGGCACCCACCAAGGGCACAATGGGCACTCACCCTGTGCCCTGCAGCACCTGGACACCGACCCCCCGCCCGGCAGAAGTGCCCCCCACAAATCCCGGGTCCACGGGCAGGGCTCCTCTGCAGCTGATCGCCAGCAGGGTGACCCCGTGCAGAGCCTCTCTGGAGCACTGCCTCTCCCCGTCAGTCCCCAACTCCGCCTCAGGAGACTGTGCCTTCCTCCCTCCTGCCTGCCCGGCCGGGCCTCACCCAGCTGAGACTGCAGAGAAACCCCTGCCTGGCCTGGGCAGCCTTGAGGGACAGGGCTACGCTAAAACCTGCAGAGCTGGACCCCCAGCTCCCATCCTCCCATCAGGGGGAGCAGCTCCTCCCTCCGGGGTCCGGAGCTTCGCCCCAGTGACACCAAGCATCACGTCCTCCTGACCAAGGCCTTGGCCTTACACCCTGGGAGCGTCCCCCAGCTCTGGCGGCCACCACCTCTGCCTGTGCCAGGCACCTGGAGTGGTCACAGTGCTGTCACTGAAGGACTGAGCACGCCGGAACACCTTCCCGGGCGGCTCCCCCTTTCTGGAAGGGACACTCCTGGCTGAAGGTGTCCATGACCAGGCCCTGTGCTCATGGTACCAAGGAGGCCACGGAGACAGAGGAGGGCCCACCTCAGCCCCCGCCGGGTGTGCACCTGTCGGGGAGGTGGGGCGAGCTGAGGACCTGCTCAGCTCCTTCCTGAGGACACCCCCGAGGACCCTCGTGCATCTCTCATCGTCAGGGCGCTTTCCCGACAGCCTCCATGGCCGGCAGCTCCTTTCTCAGCCAAGCTGGAAGCATGCAGGGCGGAACCTTCTGGTACCCTGTGCCCCCTGCGGTCAGCGCTCTGAAGTCCTTGTCGGGTGGGACTGGACGGCGGCGGCCGCTCCCAGGTCAGGGCAGGAGTGGGGGCGGGGCGGGGGGCCCGGAGCAGCCGGCGTGGGGGCGACACCCACGGGCGTCCTCTGCCATCCGCGCGGCACCGTCCCGCGCAGGCCTCGCCTCCCTCCTCCGACCTCCGGCCCCCGGTGGGGACCCCCGAGGACTCTCGGGACCGCGGCTCTGGAGGGCCCGGAGGGCTGCGGGCTGGAGCGGGCGGGGAGGAGCCTTGGCTGCGGGAGCCCCGGTCCTCCCTCCGCGGACCCGTTTTCTAGGAGAGCGGCCGCCAGGCCCCCAGGGTGGCCGAGTCCGAAGCGTCCTTTGCGCGGTTCCAAGTCTCTGGAACGTGGCGGGGCCGGGCGTGGCTCTCCTTCCTTCCTGGGAGCGGCGCGGGGCCGCCTCTCGGCTCGACCCCTGGCCCCGGGGCCGTCCCAGGCCCTCCCGAATCACCTCCTGGACTCCGAGCCCTGGGCCCCGGGTCTCCTGCAGGCCTCGGGCGTCCGCCGGCCCAGCGCGGGAAATGCAAATCCCGACCCCGCACCCACAACCGCTCCCGCGGCCCTGGAGTCCCCAGAGGCTCTCCTGGGACTTCCGCCTCCCACGCCCCCTCCCGCGTCCCCGGGCCGCGCCCCTCAGGCCTGTCCGTCCAGCCCGTCCCGGAAGCCCGGGCCCCGCAGGGATTTGCGCGTTCTCACTGTTTACTGGGCGAGCGGACGAATACGGAAATGAAGTGGGCCTCGTGCTGGGTTCGGTGTGGGCACGGGTGACCCAGGTATACAGCCAGCGCATACTGTCCGTGTGTCCGAGGGGTCAGGCCCTGGGAGGATCTGAGCCCAGGGTCCCACGGAGGAAACTCGCCCACAGCAGCCAGCCCCGTGGCTCAGCCTCACTCCCAGCACGTGGGGAGGCTGAGGCAGGAGGTGGCTCAAGGCCAGTTCAACACCAGTCTGGGCAACACAGCCAGACCCCGTCTCTACAAAAAAAGAAAAGAGAACAGCCCAGGTCAGCTGCTGCTGGACCAGCGGGGCTCCGTGGCATCACCGAGGAAGCAGAGGGCAGGCTCACAGGCGAGGGGGGTGGGGCGATGCAGACCCAGCCAAGGCCTATTGCACCCCAGGAGCGGGACCAGGGGAGGAGGGTCCCCGAGCCCCTGAGGGGCTTTGCTCCAGCGATGCTGACATTGAACTTTGGCCTCCAGAACTGGGACACAGTGTGTTTCTGTGTTGTCGGCCTCCAGAGCCCAGCCTTGGCTGCTAGCATCTCTCAAACACGTGTCGAAGAACCAGACCCTCCTTCCGCTCTACAGATCTCCTGAGCTCAATGGGTCCTCCTGCCTTGGCCTCCCAAAGTGTTGAGATTACAGGCGTGAGCCACTGTGCCCAGCTGCAATCTCCATTCTAAAGGAACAGGAGCTTCCACCCACACGAGGGTTCCCTGCTTCCCCTGGAGGGGGGGCGGGCATCTGAGTTGGATGGGAGCTGACAGCGTCAAGATGGGCCCAGGCTGCCCATCTGGGGGTGGCCTGGCTGTGGGGCTAGGGTGGTGGCCCTGGTGTGGTGCCCACCTGTGGGCCTGTCTGTCTGGGACAGAGCCTCTGACATCCCTGCAGATCCCTTGCACTGTCTGAGGGTGCGCCCCCACCCTAGGCTCTGCCCTTCCCTGAATGAGACTCCAGGCACCCACCTGAGGGTAAGCAGCTTCCCCAGGTGACCTAAGCCAGTGACAGCCCTCATTCAAGGGTCCCCTAAGGCAAGTGTTTTGTCCTTGTCTCCTGTCCCCAAAGGCTCCTGCACACTGGAAGCCCATGGCAGCTCAAGGGGTGACCTGGGGAGGGGGACACCATCGCCCCTCACCCTTTCAGGAGTAAATCAAGTCCCCATCCCCCTGTGAAAAGCAATTCCAGGCCCCTAGAAACCTCCTTGAAAAGAAGTCACTTCGGCTCAGTATGGTGGCTCACACCTGTCATCCCAACACTTTGGGAGGCCAAGGCGGGCAGATCACTTGAGGTCAGGAGTTCAAGACCAGCCTGGGCAACATGGTGAAACCCCGTCTCTACAAAAAATGCAAAAATTAGCTGGGCACGGTGACACGCACCTGTCATCCCAGCTATTCGGGGGGCGGAGACAGGAACATCGCTTGAGTCCAGGAGATGGAGGTTGCAGTGAGCCCAGATCGCACCACTGCACTCCAGACTGGGCGACAGAGGGAGACCCTGTGTCAAAAAATAAAACAAAATAAAAATAAAGGAGGTCACTTAACACATTCCTTGGGGGGCCACCAAGCACTGGGCAGAGCGAAAGTCCAGCGGTCTCGCTGCTCTGTATGTGGCAACCTGCACTCAACACTCATCACTAGAAAATGAAATGAAAAAACTCAGACACACAGCACAGATGCCCAGATCTTTTGATATTAGATTCAACAGACATGGAATTACTGAGCATGACAGACGCTCACTTTCCATTCTGTGCAGACGATGGCACAGATGGGCAGCCGGCCAAGGACTGCCCCCAGCAGCCCGGCAAGGGGAGGGGAGAGGAGACACAGCCTCTTCCTCAATGTGTGTGCCTTCCGGGGATCCAGGGCCCAGAGCCGGCCATGAGTGGCTGCAGGAGGTGGGGGGTGGGCAGCGCCTGCGAAGGAGCCCACACCCGGGGGAAGGACAGGCACCAGGAGGACACACGGGAGCCTGGCTGGAGGAACGGGAGCGCCGGTGTGGGGAGACGCAGAAAGGAGTTGCTCAGAAACTGAGGCCATTAGGACCATCCGAAGTCAACAGACTCTGCCCGGTTCTCCCCTGCTTGCCTCAGAGGCTGAGGCCCCAGACTGAACGGGGGACGGTCTCCCCAGTAGACAGGGGTGATTCCTGCAGTGGGTGATGCTGCCCCGTTAGACAAATGGTCCCCCCAGTAGACGGGGGATAGCCCTGAAGCAGGGAGTGGATGGCCCCACACTGCTACAGCGAAACAGTCCCCCCAGTAGACAGGGGAGGCTCCCTCCAGGGGGACTTCTCTCCTGTGAGTTTTCAGTGTTGACTTCATTGTATCCAGGAAGCAATGACCACATTCTGAGTGAATTTATCAGGCACTTCCTGCCTCATCAGTCCTTGTTGTGACCAGCCTTCCTTTCATGGTGTCTTAGGTGGCTGTCTTAGTAATGTTGGGACTCTGAAGATGGATCAAGGTGTCTTTCCTCCTTGAATGATAGTCCAAGATGTTGGATGGGTCTTAGGTGAGGAGCTGGCTGGGTGTCAGGGCACAGGGTGGTAAGGGTGGCTGGGAGTCCTGGCCTTGCCCTTGTCACCCCATTTAGGAGCCTCAGCAAGACCAGGCGGGGGCAATAGAGAGGGGGCAGGAGGCCTTGGACCTGGGCCTGTCTGTTCATCCCTTACTTGGTGCAGAACATCTGCTGGGGCCCCTCACATCTGTGGGGTCTGGATGTGAACATAATGTGTGAACCTTACCTGGCCGCGGGCACCACAGTCTGAGCTGCAGGTGACAGCCCCAGATGCGGCGGATCAGGAAACAGGTCCCACACTGGGGTCCCAGCTGGGCAGGTGGAGAACCGGCTCCCTCTGCCTGCCCCGCAGTGGCCAGGGCCTGTGCTCACACACACATCATTGCTGCACGGGGACTGTGCAAGGACGCCTTCTGCTGCAGAACAGGAAACTGCCCCCTGAATCTGCAGACCCTGGCAAGGCCCCTACGGCCACCGCGGTCAGCCCCGGAGAGAGGAGAGGGGCCTCGGTGGCAGCACAGGCCCACCAGGGTGTCCCTAGGGCTGAGGTCTCTGGTCCCAGGGGCCCCTGAGTAGGGGAGGGGGGCGAGGGTGCTGCAGGGAGGGGAGGCCCCTGCAGATCCATGTGGGCCCCACCTCAAAGGAAGGGATCCTTCGACTGGGGGTCCTGGGGGAAGATAAAGACCGCCCCAGGCCCATTCTTTCTGAACTGGAAGCCTCAGCAAAGGTAAGAATGAAATAAGGTAAATACACCCCCAAATTAGAAAATTCCAAGCTTCTTCAAATGGGTTTGACAGAATTTCCAACTCCAGTCTTTCCTCTGAACTAGGCAGTGTTCCCCAAAAATGTAACTCGGCCTGCTGGTGACCAGAAGCCTAACCAACTGGTGACATCAACAGTGGTTAGCACATGGTTTCTATGTTACGTATCATATGCTGTATTCTTACAATAAAGTGGGCTAGAGGAGGAAGGGCAGGCGGAAGGCGAGGTGAGAGGCTGGCCTCTCAATAGAGGGCAGCTTTCATGGAAAACCACCCATGTAGCCGGGCGCGGTGGCTCCCGCCTGTAATCCCAGCACTTTGGGAGGCCGAGACGGGTGGATCACAAGGTCAGGAGATCGAGACCATCCTGGCTAACACGGTGAAACCCCGTCTCTACTAAAAATACAAAAAAATTAGCCAGGCGTGGTGGTGGGCGCCTGCAGTCCCAGCTACTCGGGAGGCTGGGACTCCATCTCAAAAAAAAAAAAAAAAAAAAAAAGAAAAAGAAAAAAAAAGAAACCCACCCACGCTTTGGTGGACCTGCACAGCTCAGACCGTGTTACGCAAGGGCCAGCTGTGTACAGTTTCCTATTTCTAAGTATATTCACAAGATTGTGCAGCCACCACCACCAATTCCAGAACATTCTCGTCAGCCCCCAAAGAAGCCCTGTACCCATCAGCTGTCAGTGCCCGTCTCTTCCCTCCTAAGCCCTAACAAGCACCAGTCTGCACCCCGCCTCTGGGGATGTGCCTGTGCTGGACACTTCAGGTCAAGGAGTCACCCAGCATGTGTCCTTTTGTATCTAACGTCCCTGAGGCGCACCCATGCTGCTGTGTATCACACTTCCTTTTACTTACTATTATTATTATTTTTGAGACAGAGTCTCAATCTGTCGCCCAGGCTCGAGTGCAGTGGCGCAATCTCGGTTCACTGCAAGCTCCGCCTCCTGGGTTCACACCATTCTCCTGCCTCAGCCTCCTGAGTAGCTGGGGCTACAGGCGCCCGCCACCACGCCCGGCTAATTGTTTTTGTATTTTTAGTAGAGACGGGGTTTCACCGTGTTAGCCAGGATGGTCTTGATCTCCTGACCTCGTGATCTGCCCGCCTCGGCCTCCAAAAGTGCTGGGATTACAGGCGTGAGCCACCGCGCCTGGCCCACACTTCTTTTTACGACCAAGTCCTATTCCACTGCACAGAGGGACCACATAATGTTTATTCCTTCCTCAGCTGATGAACACTTGTGTGTTTCCATCCTTTGGCGATCGTGAATAAGGCAGCTATGAACATTTGTGTACAAGTCTGTGTGTGGACAAAGGTTTTCACTTTTCTTTGAGACAGAGTTTCACACTGTGGCCGGTTGGAGTGCAGTGGTGCCATTCATAGCTCACTGCAGCCTCGACCTCCTGGGTTCAAGCGATCCTCCTGCCTCTGCCTCCAGAGTAGCTGAGACCACAGGCGTGCACCAACCATGCCCTGCTAACCTTTTTATTTTTTGTAGAGATGGGGTTTTGCCATGTTGCCCAGGCTGGTCTCAAACTCCTGGCCTCAAGCGATCCACCTGCCTTGGCCTCCCAAAGTGCTGGGATTACAGACATGAGCTCGGGTGCCTGGCCAGGTTTCCCTTCTCTACTGTAAACCTAGTAGAAACTGCTGGCTTGCTGCTGTGTGTGTAACATTTGAGGAACTAAGGCAATGGGATGTTAAACTTTAACATTTCTGCTGGGCACAGTGGCTCACGCCTGTAATCCCAGCACTTCGGGAGGCCAAGGTGGGCGGATCGCCTGAGGTCAGGAGTTTGGGACCACCCTGGCCAACATGGCAAAATCCTGTCTCTATTAAAAATACAAAATTAGCTGGGCGTGGTGGCGGGTGCCTGTAATCCCAGCTATGTGGGAGGCTGAGGCAGGAGAATTGCTTGAACCCAGGAAGCAGAGGTTGCAGTGATCCAAGATTGCACCACCGCACTCCAGCCTGGGCAACAAGAGGGAAACTCCATCTCAAAAACTTTAACATTTCTCTTAAAAGGTCAGCTTTATATTGCTATTTTATTAGCCACTTCCTGATGAGGAGACACAAGCAGTGCAAGCCTGCTGACTCTGGTTGCGGGGGCAGGCACCCGGGTGAAGATCACCTTCCAGAGCGCCGGGCGCCCTTCCACACGCAGTGCCCACTCCTGACCACCAGATGGAGCCCACGCACTGCCCAGGACCACGAAGCCGACCCGGGGTCTGGAGCAGGCCAGGCAGGCACTTGCTGGACACGTGGGCAGCTGCCCGCAGTGGGACCACCAGAAAGGCGGTGCCTGGGCGGCCTGCACCGGGCGCCCACTCCTACCCTGAGCTAGGGCCGGCTGGCAGCCGCAGGGAGGCTCTCGTGAGAAAAATGGGGGTCCAAGAATTGAGGGTAGGAACCATACAGGGGCTAACTTGAAATTTACCTTAGTTAGCAAGACTGTTCTCCATAGATGTAGCAAATCCATGCACTCAACCAGTATTTACTGAGCATCTGCTGTGTGCAAGGCGTTATTCTACATGCTTGGTAAACAGCAGTTTACTAACCTCCCACCCTCCATGAAACTTACATGGTGGGGGAGAAAGGAAGTAATAGGTGAGTGAAGTACATGGTGTATTAGATGAAAATCAGCACTCTAGAGAAAGATACCAATAAGAGAGGATGGATGTGCTGAGGTCAGGGGGGCTGTGTTTTAAATAGGGTGTGGCAGGGGAGGTGGCACTGGGCAATAAACTGCTGTACAACACGAGATCAGCCATGCGCCACAGCACAGCACACATCCCAGGGCCCCAAGCCGGGGAGGGGCGCGGTCTGATGGCACCAGGGGCGAATGACAGGGTCTCAGCTCTCCCTGAGCTGGGGACACACTGGAAGGTCTTGCCCAGAGTGTCATGAACTGACTTGAGGTCAGGGTCACTTTGGCAGTGGGCAGGAACTGAGGACGGAGGACACTTTGCTGCAATTCTAAGCCAATGGCTTGGGACAGGGAGGGGCAGAGAAAGCGGCAGGAAGGCCTCAGGTGTTGTTGGGAGGGTCTGTGATGCAGTGGTAGGTGTTGAGTGGGAGAAGGCCAGGCTGACCTGAGGAGGGCCAGGTGCCTAGGGACAGCCCGCGTGTCGGGAACATAGAACGCAGTCCGGACTGGAGTCTCACGTCTGGCTCCGGGCTGCAATTAGCCTCTAGAACCCATCATTAGCTTATAACTGAGGGCCTTATTTTATGTTCAAAATACTGAGCTGAAGATCTCTTGACACCAGTTTTACGGTTCAGATAGGAGCTCCCAGCACCAGCCTCATCTTCCCTGACCCCCGACTGGGCAAAAGCAAACGTAGAGGCTCGAAGGGCTGTGGGCCAGGCCACAGCCGAGCAGTCGGCAGCTGTGCCACAGACCATCCTCCATGGAGCCTGGATGGCACGTACAGCTGGAGGTTCCGGCCCAGGTGCTGCGGGTATCAGGACTCCCTGGAGCACCAGAAATGAACTCCAGGCAAATCAGCTGGAATGCCCTGCAACTCCCAACCTAGAAGTTTTTAACATTGAAAGGATTTTTTGAGACTGTCTAATTGTTTTCCAGAAATCACCTGTGAAGGATTATCCAGGACACTATAAAAAATACAGACTGCTAAGCCCCAACCCCTAGAGACACAATGGCCTTCAGGAAGGGCCGGGAACACTGATCTCATGCACCGCTCGTTTTACTGAGTCAAAGGAAAGGCTTGTTTGCGTCTGCGTGGGCAACAGCCAAGTACAACCAGAACACGTTTCGAAATCCCCACGGGTCTACCTACCACACTTAAATCAACACAGCCAGAATGGGGCTGCCCAAAGAAACAGGCCACGTCCTGACTCCAGGACATGTGTACATACATGGCCTTATTTGGAAAAAGTCTTTGCAGATGTAATTGAGGATCTTGAGATGAAGTCATCCTGGATTACAGGGGTGTCTATAGGAAAAAGGCAGGACACTGGAGACAGGGGGAGAAGACACCAGATACCAGAAGCTGGAGGAGACAAAGGGTTCCTCCCTGAGGCTGTGAGGCCTCCTGATCCCTGGAGGAGAGAAATGCTGCTGCTTTAAGCCACCTGATTTGTGGTAATTTGCTACAGCAGCCACAGGGAGCTGATGACCATGAACACGATACCATTTTAAGAAAGACTACCCCCCTCACACTTGAATGAGCTCTAACAGCTCTGGTCCTGTCAAGTCTGTGGATGCAAGCACGACAGCATCCATTCAGTCATCACCTCAAACTCATCAGTCCATCGGCGCCATCCCATTACCTAGCACGGTGCGTACGTGGAGTGACGCTGGCCAGTTCACATGCGGGTCCTGAGCTGTGAAGGCGTGGAGCACCCATCGTGGAGGCGGACTTCTGTCTGCAATCCTGGCAGTTCAAGGAGACGCATGGACCTTGTGCTATCCACAAATCTAAGAAACATTGCCAGCAATTGAATTCTTTGGGTGACTCAGTATGTGAACACCCTCCACGATAAATTCAAGACTGACACCAGGCTGCTTCCATGACATAAGATCACCTTAATGAGCACAACAGGTGTGCCTTTCTTTATTCTGGATCGTGCAGAAAGAAAAACCCAGTGACTTCTGCCGTATTTGCCTCTCTAGGCAGCCCCAGTTGGCTGGCTATGGTTCCCTCCTGTGACACCCTTCGAGCCTCTATGTTTGCTTTTGCCCACTCCAGGGTCAGGGAAGACGAGGCTGGTGGTGGGAGCTCCTATCTGAACGGTAAAATTGGTGTCAAGAGTCTTCAGCTCAGTATTTTGAACATAAATAAGGCCCTCAGTTATAAGCTAATGACGGACACTGCCTCCTGTCAACATTTAGAAGTGCGCAATCGATGAATCCAAACCACAGCAATCCATCTCAGTAATCAGAACGTGAACCATCCTCTTAAAGCAAAAGTGGGGCCGGGCGCGGTGGCTCACGCCTGTAATCCCAGCTACTCGGGAGGCTGAGGCAGGACGATCGCTTGAACCCGGGAGGCGGAGCTTGCAGTGAGCCCAGATAGTACTACTGCACTCTGGCCAGGGCAAATGAGCGAGACTCTGTCTCAAAAAAAGAAAAATGCACATAAAAAGAGAACAGCATTTAAAGAGATTACCGTTTTCTGCCTACCTCTGCAGAAGAAAAAGTAGTAGTAACGTTGCCTTTATACAGCAATATTTTTATTGTTAAGACCTTGGCCAAAACTATTGTAACCTTGTAGGCTGTTAGGGCAGACTTTTGAAGATGTGATGTTTGCAACCTGTGACACCAACCGCCTAGGGAGACAAATTAAAACGTGGTTTACAGTATGTGAAAGTCAAAAGCCTGTCTACAATGCTCATGGCATCTCCAGAATGCTCCTGTGAAACCCAAGCCTCCAGACTGTCCCTGTTTCACAGATAAATCAGTCGAGGCACAAAGCACTTGGGCTCAAGAACTTACCCTCAGAATTTTCTGGAAGCAGAGACCTTTGTGTAGTCAGTGCCTTTTCCCACCTGGACATGCTGGTCACCAGTCTCTTCAGGTCACCAACTTTGACCACCATCCAAGCACCAGGAAAAGCCCTCTGGGTTGATCCCAGCATGCCACAGTGTAGCACTCCAGCATTCAGCCCGTGTTTGGGAAGTCTAGGTAATTTCTCATTAGAAAAACCTCCAGGTGAACCTGCTGTTCTGTGAGGGATGCACAGGGTGGCTGCGTCACTTCCTAGACTACCCTGCTAGTTGTGATGCTTGCTGACCCGGAGCAGGTGGATCTGAAAGAGCTGAGCATGCCCTGAATTTCTATTTGAGTTACCATATGCCTTTGGCTGTTTATTTCTTTCAAGTATGAGAAAGCTTACGTATTCAATTATTTCAGGTTCACCACTCACCTCCTCAGGAAGTTCCTGGAAGGAGTCATTAACCCCACCACAGCCTTTCCCGTGCTCCCAGTTCCACCACTGGAGGCCTGCATGTCAACGGCAGGGATACATAGAGTGTAGACTGCAGGCTCACGATGGGCAGGGATGCAGTATCTGGTTTCCCACACTCCGCAAAAGCACACACCATCCTGTAAACCACTGCAATCGATAAAGCTGCCTTAACGAGCTCAGGATACCAAAACAAAGATCTCTCTGCAGATAACACCTCATGAGAAGTATCTGCAATAACCCCAAGTCAACATTTAGGTTTGTGTACAAAATTACCAGAAAGCAGAAAGTAGGACAGAACGTAGAAAAGGGCAAACAAAACAAAGAACAAAGAATCTTCCTCCAGAAATTTTTCAAGAACTAATGCCAGACCCAATGGGAGACTCGGGAAGCCAACACCCGTGGCTGGTCGGATAGGAGCACACCGGCCGCCGGCCTGGGAGCCACGCTCGGCCCACCCCTGATGACAGGCATCCTCCCGAGGACCTCTGATTCTCAGTGAGTGTAGGCCATCTTACTATACTCCATTAGCTGGTGACATGCAAACACCTGTGATAAAACTAGTAACATTCAGAAGCTGTGCTAATCACAATGATTTGGGGTAGGACTCCAACACAATCTTGGGAAAAAAAACATTTAATGTAAATGTTTAGCCATTAGAACATACAAATAAATAAATAAGCTCAGAATAGCTGAGAAAAAAACCACAAATAAGTGAATTGTCAATTTCTCTTCAGTCTCAGATATGCTATTTCCAAAATACTAATAAAATATACAAATTAACTAATAAGATATAGAACATTCAACATAAAACAACCTAAAATAAAAAAGACCAACCCTAATTATTTTATTTCTGTATATCAAGACTACAAATAGCATTTAAACGCTTAATTTATTATTCAAATTAAGAAATTATACATTTTGTTTTGATAATGTTCATTGTCTTAAAAGTGTCATTCAGCTTTCCCACTTTAAAAGTATATTGCTAATTATGGTCAATTAACTATGACAGCCCACAGAGCCTCCAGTGACAGTAAAATACGAGACATAGAAGAGATAAATGAGGATTTAGATCCCCTCCCCCCAGCATCAGCAAAGGGTCACTCTGCTCCCACAGCTGACGCTTTGAAACGCTTTCTGTTTGTAGAGACTAAAATCACCCAGCAACAGGTCAGGTCCTGATAAAGTGCCTACTGCAAGAACTACCGACACTCCTCTTCCCTGGATGTGCACCAGGGACTGTCCCGTCTTCGAGTCAGAGCAGCACCAGGAAGCAGAGGGTGCCAAGCATGGCGAGTCACCCCCAAATATCCAGGAAGACAAGTGGGCGCAGCCCAGGGGAAAGGAGGGCGAGCGGATGATGGGAGACCGGCACGGCTAGCATCGGGACAAAGATGCAGCCGCCACTTTGGTTCAAACAACTTTAATGACACCACAGTGTCTGTCCTCCCCCAAGTAACTGGGTATAGTGGGTGACAGATGTTGCAGTAGCTTGGCAGACCCTCCTCCTCCACCTCCCCTGAAAGCTCTCCAGGCACAAAGTGGAGATAGAAATAGGACAATGAATGAAGTCCCCACCTCACATCCACAGACAGTATCTCCAAACCATCATGAGGCAGGCCACGGTATACTGAAAACAAGCATGCTAGTCCCATTTGGGGAAATGGCTTAAAAAGCACAAATAAAATATTACCATCATCATCTCTTTTCCAAACCTAACCACTTTGGGAAAGGCAGCAGAAAAAAAAAATGCCTTCAGTTTTAATAATGAGGCTTGTAAACAATCCAACCACATAAGCAGCAGCGGCCCCATGGCGTCTCAGCCCTCAGACCCTGTATCTCTGCCGCCTGTGCAGCCCTGTCTGAACCCTGGAGTGGCGCTGCCTGCTCAGGAGGGCTCTGATCTCACCAGCAAAGCCAAAGCTTCATCTTTGGTTAATTTCACTGAGATGCCACTAGTGTAAAAACTGTGCTCTTCTTGGCAATATTACTAAAGTAGCCACATGGCACATAACGTGTTATTTTAAGTTATTTGAAAAGCAATGTCCATCTAAATAAGTGACCACACCGTAATAAAAATCATTTAAAAAAGGAAGGGAGGGAGGAATGGCAGAATGAAAGAAGGAGCTTAGGAGAGCCTCAGGCGTGCAGTGTGAGTATCCTCGTGGGTCTGGGGAGGCGCTGCTGACGAAGGAAGCACTGGTTCTCTGTAGGGGTCTGACCCCAGCATCAGCTTCAGCTCAGCTCAAAGCCAGCGGCACATTCAATCGCATAGAGAAGTTTACTTCGCAAAAGTGTCTCGTCATAGAACTCGGGGAGCTTCAGCAGGTTCATGCAGGTGCTGGCTGTGGGGAGCCGCTCAAGGTCGGAGCCTCCGTTGTGAATACAAAATGCGGGATACAACTCCTGAAAAACAGCATGTGTGCAAGATGTCACTGTAACAAGCATGGCATTACATGAGTTTTAATACAAAGTACACAAAATGTGCCTGCTCCAATCAGTAAAGTTACCATTGCAGTCACATTTTCCCGAAACCACATTTGCTTTGTTGTTGTTGTTTGTTTTCTTTGAGATGGAGTCTAGCTCTGTCGCCCAGGCTGGAGGGCAATGGCGCCATCTCAGCTCACTGCAACCTCTGCCTCCCAGGTTCAAGCGATTCTCCTGCCTCAGTCTCCCAAGTAGCTGGGATTACAGGTGCCTGCCACCATGCCTGGCTAATTTTTGGATTTTTCCTAGATAAGGGGTTTCACCACGTTGGCCAGGATGGTCTTGAACTCCTGACTTTGTGATCTGCCCACCTCTGCCTCCCAAAGTGCTGGGATTACAGGCGTGAGCCACCGTGCCTGGCCCACATTTGCTTTTTTAAAAAATTACATTGATGGCTTAGTTCTAACTTACATAAAAGATTATGCACTGTGCTTCAGGCATAAAAAGGGATAAATAACATTCCAGGCCAGGCGCATAGCTCACACCTGTAGTCCCAGCACTTTGGGAGGCCTAGCTGGGGGATGGCTTGAGCTTAGGAGTTCGAGACCAGCCTGGGCAACATAACGAGACCTCATTTCCACTAAAAATAAAAATCAAAACAATTAGCCAGGTGTGGTGGTCTGCCCCTATACTCCCAGCTACTTGGGAGGCTGAGGTGAAAAGATGTCTTGAGCCCAGGAGGTCGAGGTTAGTGAGGTATGATCACACCACTGCACTCCAGCCTGGGCAACACACAGTGAGACCCTGTCTATAAAAATTTTTTAAAAAGGATCAAGATTTATTCTATCTTTCCTGTACAAGCTATTACTCGGGTTAACCAAATCATTGGTGAGAAGAAACAAAGCTGTTTTTAAATAGAAAATTCCAGCTAATAAATTATACAATTATGTAATTAGAACACGGCTGTTTTAGAAGCACATTAAACAATGGATCTAGGCAGTGATAAGTGACCACTAAAATCAAGAGGAATTCTGACGCAGAGATCGATCCCAGCATTGTGGGGAGATGACTCACGAGAAGTGGATCTCCACGATGATTAAGGGAATGGGAAGCATACGACATTACCTATGTGATGTTATTGCCAAAAAAAGAAAAATTCAAATTTAGAATCTGATGAGACCTCTATCAGTTTTCAAGAGATACAAAGAAGCAACCCAGTTACCCTATTATTTTTATTTATTTATTTTTTTGAGACGGAGTCTTGCTCTGTCACCCAGGCTGGAGTGCAGTGGTGCAATCTCGGCTTACTGCAACATCCGCCTCCCGGGTTCACGCCATTCTCCTGCCTCAGCCTCCCGCATAGCTTGGACTACAGGCTCCCGCCACCACGCCCGGCTAATTTTTTGTATTTTTAGTAGAGACGGGGTTTCACCATGTTAGCCAGGATGATCTCGATCTCCTGACCTCGTGATCCACCCGCCTCAGCCTCCCAAAGTGCTGGGATTACAGGCGTGAGCCACCGTGCCCGGCCCCAGTTCCCCTATTCATTAAATTACAAGACGAAATTGAGGGAGGTAGAACATCTATAGACCAAATGCATGATGAAAAGTGGCTTGCTTGTGCCAGAATTTAAATAATTGTTAACAAAAAAGAAAGATGATCAGGGAAATTTGAATATTGTTTTTCAGATGTGTTCATGACGTTCTGGTATTTAAAGGTACAGTGTGAAAATTCTCATCCCTGTATCACAGATACCCAGTTCCCATTCCCACTGGCAACCAACGCTTCAGCGTCTTAAGTGCTCCCAGAGATGAAATGCACGCATGAGAAAATGTTCTCCCTCCTTTAGGTTTAAAATTGAGACGGTGAGCACATTGGACACAGTATTCCGTGCCGTGCTTTTCTCATCTGATAATGGGTCTCGCTCATCTTGCCTATTAATGGTGAGGCTATATGGTGTTCCATGCACACGCGCGGCACGACGTGTTGCTGGGCACTTCTCTCAGCTTTTTACAAAAAATGATGCAATGAATACGTACCTGGTTTTCACAGTTGTGCAAATGTATCTGTAGGCAAAAACCGTGTTAGGGATTGCTCAACGCAGACTTAATGCATGAGACCTATGGGCGTGTCGGTCCTCTGATGGCCACGAAGAACCGGTGACTCCACCTTCCTCGTATACACAAACACCATTAGCTATTTGCCTCACATTTGAGATACGTGATTTATGTGTTCTCTTCCAACAGGAAGACAATAAGGCACAGATCGCCCTCAGTCTGCTCACTGTCGCAGCCTGTGCAGATTTAGTATCTGGCACGGGTTTCAGAGACCTAGCTAGGTCAGCCCTTCCCTGCACACGTGTACACGAAACTCTCTGAGAGGTGGGCCTGGCAGCAGGAGCAGGGGCTTCACCCACATTCACAACTCCTGGGACTGTACTCTAAGAAATAATTAGAGATGCACATGATAATTTATGCACAAGAGGTTCACAGCATCACAACGAAGGAAGAGCTGTAAACAACTAAAAAACAGAAAGTAAACTGGTAAATCACATGATGGGACACTACAAGCCCATTAAAAATATCTCAAAGAATAACATGAGGAAAAATGATCCTGATGTAATGTTGAGTGAAAAAGGTAGCCTAGAAAACTGAACACAAGATACAGCTAAAATTATATTTAAAAATTACGTGACCAGGAGCAGTGGCTCATGACTGTAATCCCAGCATTTTGGGAGGCCACAACGGGTGGATCACCTGAGGTCAGGATTTCTGAGACCAGCCTGACCAACATGGCGAAACCCCATCTCTACTAAAAATAAAAAATTAGCCGGCTGTAGTGGTGCATGCCTGTAATAATTCCAATTACTCGGGAGGCTGAGGCAGGAGGCAGAGGTTGCAGGCTGCAGTGAGACGAGATCACGCATTGCACTCCAGCCTGGGCAATAAGAGTGAAACTCTGTCTTAAAAATATATATGTTTGTGTGTGTGTAACAGGCTGAGCATGTTGGCTCACACCTGTAATACCAGGTGTGTGTGTGTGTGTGTAACAGGCCGAGCATGTTGGCGCACACCTGTAGTACCAGGTGTGTGTGTGTGTGTAACAGGCCGAGCATGTTGGCTCACACCTGTAGTACCAGGTGTGTGTGTGTGTGTGTAACAGGCCGAGCATGTTGACTCACACCTGTAGTACCAGGTGTGTGTGTGTAACAGGCCGAGCATGTTGGCTCACACCTGTAATACCAGGTGTGTGTGTGTGTGTGTGTGTAACAGGCCAAGCATGTTGGCTTACACCTGTAGTACCAGGTGTGTGTGTGTGTGTGTGTAACAGGCCGAGCATGTTGGCGCACCCCTGTAATACCAGGTGTGTGTCTCTGTGCTTAACAGGCCGAACATGTTGGCTCACACCTGTAATACCAGGTGTGTGTGTGTGCACGTAACAGGCTGAGCATGTTGGCTCACACCTGTAATACCAGGTGTGTGTGTGTGTAACAGGCCGAGCATGTTGGCTCACACCTGTAGTACCAGTGCTTTGGGAGGCTGGTGTGGGAGATCACTCAAGGCCAGGAGTTTCTGACAGCCTGGGCAACAGAGCAAGACCCTACCTCTACCAAAAACAGAAAAAATTATGCATATCTACATTAACACACACTCATGTAGGTAGATAAAACACATACTAATTAAAGGAAGGAAACATAAAAAAATAATGGTTAGAATGGGAGGAAATATAGGTTTCTTATACTTGATCACAATTTCCAATTTTCTATAATGAAAACATTACTTTTACTGAAAGGTAAAAAAAAAAAAAAAAAATCCAATATAAAAAAAGTGCTTTCGGTGCCAACAGCGCTCCCACAAAGTGAATGTTCCTAATACTTGCTAGACTTTTTTTTTTTTTTTTGAGTTGGCGTCTTGCTCTCTCAACAAGGCTGGTGTACAATGGCACAATCTCGGCTCACTGCAACCTCTGCCTCCCAGGTTCAAGCAATTCTCTTGCCTCAACCTCCCGAGTAGCTGGGACTATATGTGCCCATCATCACACCTAGCTAATTTTTGTATTTTTAGTAGAGATGGGGTTTCGCCATGTTGGCCAGGCTGGTCGAGAACTCCTGAACTCAGGTGATCCGCCCGCCTCAGCCTCCCAAAGTGCGTGAGCCACCACACCCGGCCCCCGTTCGACTTTCTGTAAGTGTGGCAAGCCCACAAAGCGACACGGCACAAAAGGGCACGGATTCTCTGTATGCCCGGGAAGGTGGCGTTAGGACAGGCGCCCGGGGAAGGTGGCGTTACGACAGGTGCCTGGGAAGGTGGCGTTAGGACAGGTGCCCGGGGAAGGTGGTGTTAGGACACGAAGCATAGCGGCTACGGTGGGCAGACTAAGCTGATTTTCCGGGAAAAGGCTAGAACTACGAAGAAGCTTGTGCTGAGGCTTGAGTGCGTTGAGCATAGGTGCAGATGTAAGAGGATGCTGGATATAAAGAGATGTGAGCATTCTGAACTGGGAGGACAGAAGAGGAGGAAGGGCCAAGACATCCAATTCTAAGTGTCATCTTTTGTTTTATTATGAAGACAATACAATCTTGAGTTTATGTTCAAAAAAATTTAAAAAATAGAAAAGGTAATTACCTTCTAACCATTGTAGTCAAATGTGAATCAAACTAGAGCAATGTCCCATTCTGCAGGAACCTTTGGAAGCACTGAAGCTGTCACAAAGCACAACAGGCACCCAACTGGCCACACCCACATTTCAGTTGGATTTTGTTTCAATTATATGTTGAGTTTAGCATATAATTTATGTTAAGGGTAAAACTAGTAAGAGCACAGCCCACAAAATGCTATGAAGAGGATGGGCGCGGTGGCTCATGCCTGTAATCCCAGCACTTTGGGAGGCTGAGGTGGGTGGATCACCGGAGGTCAGGAGTTCGAGACCAGCCTGGCCAACATGGTGAAATCCTGCCTCTACTAAAAATGCAAAAAAATTAGCTGGGGGTGGTGGTAGGTGCCTGTAATCCCACCTACTCGGGAGGCTGCGGCAGGAGAATCACTTGAACCCAGGAGGCAGAGGTTGCAGCGAGCTGAGATGGGCCATTGTACTCCAGCCTGGGCAACAGGAGCGAAACTCTATCTCAAAAAAAAAAAAAAAAAAAAAAAAAAAGCCTATGAAGAGACTTACATGATTCTTATTACTGATCTTTGTAGGTCTCTTTACTGTTAAATGTAAACTTCATTAAAAAATATATATGTGGCATATAATATGTGCTAAAATCCATTGTCTTTTTTTTTCTAATTATAGTTTATTTGCTCCTTTAAATCTCTCATAAAAATGTTAGAATGAGAACCAAAGGAGAACCAGAAATAACATTTATTACACTTATTATTCAGCATTCTGAGTACATGAGGGCAATAATTTTCACAAATGCTTGAATATACTAAAAAGGAAGCATTGCATTTTTGAAACAGAAAAGGATCTCTGAATGAAGGGGTCAGTGACTGCTGGCAAAGTCACTGGATAAATGAAAAGCTTAAAATATATTTTGCAATTAAATGCCACATTTTAGTGTTTCTTTCATAACGCTAATTGAATTTCCTACTTGGAGACTTAAAAGTAAAAAAATGAAGTTCTTCACTGAAATCTGAGTCAAGGGCACCATTTTGTGCATAATTAAATACAGTACAACGGGAATTTGCATTAATTCAGAGTGAGAAAAATCATTAATTTATTATGTGGCCTGATGGTAACTTAACAATTTTCTACAGCACTTTAATGATTTTTTGTCTGTAACAATCACATTTATTAAACATATTAAACTTTAATTAGCTTTAGCAGATGTTATTCTTCTCCAATAATCTGGCACTAAGGAGTTTCATAACTTTAAAATTATGCCTGCCTGCCTTTGCTATTTATAGTACTTCAACTGAAAGACATTCTCTTCCTTTAAGTCTACATTAATTCTGCAGCCCTGGCAAATCCAGGCATACTAAGCTAACCGGAAAGCCTAAATATTAAGATGATTTTTCCAAACTGGATGTCTAACATATAACAACTTCAAAAACACTTATCATGGAAAAATCAATTAAATTTCACATATGTTAGAACATTGAGAAAAATAAAAAAAACAGTAAGACCGTCTCATGGATGCTCAAAGTGTTTTCCACGGTATAACTCAATTATGATTGTGCGGGGTCTTGACTGGGGTAGGATTTTCCCTTTTAGTCTATTTGGGATTTTTTTTTTTTTTTTTTTTTTTTTTTTTTTTTCAGACAGAGTTTTGCTCTTGTTGCCCAGGCTGGAGTGCAATGGTGCAATCTTGGTTCACTGCAACCTCCACCTTCCGGGTTCAAGCCATTCTCCTGCCTCAGCCTCCCAAGTAGCTGGGACTACAGGCATGCACCACCATGCCCGGCTGATTTTTTTTTTGTATTTAGTAGAGGCGGGGTTTCATCATGTTGGTCAGGTTCGTCTTGAACTCCTGGCCTCAGGGGATCCACCCGCCTTGGCCTCCCAAAGTGCTGGGATTACAGGTGTGAGCCACCGCACCTGGCCAGTCTATTTGGGATTTTAAAAGCTCATGTAAATCCCTCTACTTCTGTTCCCCTAAACCTACGACGCTCACGCAGCACAAGTGGCCATGCACGAACCCGGAGGCATCACGGAGGTGGAGAAGGCTCTCGCACTCCTAGGCACACGTTATTGCTGGCTCTTTAGTTGGCTGTCAGAATGTCTAGAACCTACGTCTGGCAGGACTTCGAATTTTTATTGCTACTCACATGATTAGCATTATCTAATTAGCCAGGAGCTGACAAAAGTCTCTGCATCTTCCAGTGTTTTGATGGGAGCAGGTCCTCCAAACTTCCTTTTATGAAACTAGATGAGATGCATAATTTTCTTATCTCTAGCTTTGGAACAAACCAGTTTTGAAACAAAGATACTAGAAGCCTTGTCTATCATAATAAATGTTAATGACAAAATTACCAAATGGCATTAAAATCTTTACCGATAAAAAGTCGTCTGCACGCCTCACCTGCAGTCCTCCTGCTCTTTAGTCCCCAGCACAGCAAGCCCTCCAGACTCTGCCACCACACAGGCAGCACCCAGCTTTCCCTGCGCTCGAGAGATTCTCCTATCTGGTCACATGGGTCATGCTTCAAACTCTGAAGGGGACCCATCTATTTCTTCACACACGAACCTGGACGTGCCACTAAACCCTTCTGGGTCACTCCGTTTAGGTGTGTTGCTTGTAGGCGGCAGCGTTTTCCTGGCCCTGTCTCAAAGTCTTTTTCTTTCATTACGTCAGTTTCTCCGCACTCACTGTTGTAACATTCAGGCTTCTCTCATTCTATGTTTTCTATTTTACGATTCTGAATGTTACTTCCCACCCCCACCCCCCATATCTGGTAAACAGAGTTGGTTCTGTTTGTCCTGTTTTATTTGCATGGTTATTTTTTCTCTCCAACAATTTGGAAGATTATCATTTCTACTGATATCATTGAGTGATGGTATTCACTAACACGTTTAAGTTTATACGTCTTTATTATTCATTACTTCCAGAACATAACGGCGTCGATGATTGACCTATTTGAAACAAACTCACTGCACTTAGGCCTCACTTCTTTCCACCTCTCTACTGGGTCCCAACTCCAGTTCTGAGGGCACTAACTGAGATGCTGTGTTAGTTTATAGTCAATTTTTAAGAACAGCTTAATTGAGGTGTACTTGACTTACTATAAGATTATCCCTTTAAATGTACAATCCAATGATTTTAGCAAATTTACAGAGTTCCGCAGCGACCCCCACAATCCGGTTTTGGGTCGCTCCACTTCTCCGAAGCTCCCGCTGCCACCTCCAGCCCTGTGCAGCCCCTGACCCGCTCTGTGTCTCTAAATGTGCCTTTCAAAGGACAGTTTATCCGAGTGGAATTACATATAATAATACGTAGTCTTGTGTCTTGCTTCGTTCACTTAGCACAGTGTTTTCAATGTTCATACACAGTGTAGTAGATATCATTTATTCCTTTTAAATTCTAAATATCTCTTAATCTATAGTATTTACTAGCAGTTCATGTACTGTGAATTATTTCGTTTTTGGCCATTATGAAGGCTTGCTCTGAACATTCATAAACACACTGTGTGAAAATATGTTGCCATCTGTACACTCCCAACGGTGGGGCTGCGACATCACATTGACGAACATTCTCAAGATAACTTGCCTGCACCCCTTGAAAATGGGGGTACAGAAGAAAGGAAACTAAAGAGCACGCCAATTAAATGCAACGTGTGGTCCTGGATCAGATTCTATGAAGGACGCGAAGGGACAACCGGCCTAACACCTGAAGAGCTGGTCACAACGTGACTGCGGGGCTCCGCTCCCACTGAGCGCTGACTCAGGTCTGAGTGGGGCCTGAAAATGTTCATTTTTAACATGTGCTCAAGTGATGCTGCAGCTGCTGGTCCCAGGACCACACTGTGCAGCCAGTGGATTCGATAAGGTAAGTGCCGTATGTCAGAGTTCAATTTCCTGACTTGTAATAATTTAATTGTGGCCGTTTCAAAACTGTCTCTGTTCTTAGGAAGTATGTGCTGAGATATTTAGGGAAGACCTCATGTCTTCAACCTATTCTCAAATGATTCAGGAAAGAAATGCATGAAAAGAATGATAAAGTAAATGTAGCAAAATGTTAACAATTGGTCAGTGCGGGTTTAGAAGTTATTTGGTCAATTCTCACAACTTTTCTATACATTTAAAATAGTTTCGAAGTAAAAAGTTAAAGAATAGCTTCACTCAGAAATATAAAAAAATACTTGGGGGGCCGGGCATGATGGCTCATACCTGTAATCCCAGCACTTTGGGAGGCTGAGGTAGGTGGATCACCTGAGGTCAGGAGTTTGAGACCAGCCTGGCCAACATGGTGAAACCCCGTCTCTACTAAAAATACAAAAATTAGCCGGGCATGGAGGCGCACGCCTGTAATCACAGCTATTCAGGAGGCTGAGGCAGGAGAATTGCTTGACCCTGTGAGGCAGAGGTTGCAGTGAGCGGAAATCACGCCATTGCCCTCTGCACTCCAGCCTGGGCGACAGAGTAAAACTCCGTCTCAAAAACAAAGAAACAAACAAAACAGCAACAACAACAACAAAGCAAAAAACCTTAACATTACTTTTTCCCCCTTGAGACAGGATCTCGCTACTACATTGCCCAGGTTGGTCTTAAACTCCTGGGCTCAACTAATCCTCCTACCTCAGCCTCAAGAGTAGCTGGGACTACATGAGTGTGCAGGAACTCTTTCTGATTGAAGGTTATTTGAAGGTGAATGCCAGCTGGGCATGGTGTGGTGGCTCACACCTGTCATCCCAGCACCTTGGGAGGCTGAAGTGAGAGGATTTCTTGGGCCCAGGAGTTGGAGGCCAGCCTGGGGAATACAGTGAAACCCTTCTCTACAAAAAATCAAAATGTCAGCCAGGCATGGTGGTACATGCCTGTAGTCACAGCTACTTGGGAGGCTGAGGTGGGCAGATTGCTTCAGCCTGGGTGGCTGCGGCTGCAGTGAGCCGTGATCACACCACTGCACTCCAGCCTGGGTGATACAGCGAGTGCTCATCTTACTTAAAAAAAAAAAAAAAGAAAAAAGGAAAAAAGAAAGTGAATGCCTATGAAGTTTCATAAGCACAAATCACATACAGTACTTATCTAATTATATATTATTCTATAATATATATACCACTGTGTGCATTTTTAAATGTTAATATGGCTTTATTTTAATTTACAGTGAATACAGGAATTATGATTAGACGTTCCTGAGGCAATTTTTTTTTTTTTTTTTTTTTGGAGACAGGGTCTCACTCTGTCACCCAGGCTGGAGTGCAGTGCAGTGGCGCGATCTCGGCTCACTGCAACCTCCACCTCCTGGGTTCAAGCAATTCTCGTGCCTCAGCCTCCCAAGTAACTGGGATTACAGGCACAGGGCACCATGCCTGGCTCATTTTTCTGTATTTTTAGCAAAGACAGGGTTTCATCATGTTGACCAGGCTGGTCTCGAACTCCTGACTTCAAATGATCCATCTGCCTGAGGCAATTTTAATTGCTAAAAATAAGCCAAATTACGTAAGATCAACATTAATTTCCAGAAGTGGTAAAATAAGGCTCAGTAGCATATACACTCCATCAACATCTCTACGTTGTACCTGCTTCAGTTCAGTAGCAAAAAGCCCAAGATGTGTTACAGATTTATGAGACATTATTAATATTGCAAATAGTCCCTCCAAATGTACGGTTTGTTCACAGGCAATCATAACCACAATGTGTAACTATCATATGACTAGGTTATTGTGAACAAACAAAAAAAGCAACCCCAAATAAAACTAGCACCAAAATATATACATCATAACCAGTACTTAATTAAAAATCTAGCTGAAGATAAAAACAAAAGTGTATGTAAAAGGACTTCATTTAACCCTACTGAATGTTCTGCTGCCTTTCTTATTATGAAGTGGTCTTTAAAGCAAATGTCATGAAAGTTGTGTACCTTAAACCCCAAGAGAGGGGGTCGAGAGCAGCTTGTTACAAACTTCAGCAGTTTGCGCTTTTCTTCATCAGTGAACCCTTCCACAACTCTCCAGAAGACCTTAATAACAGGATGGTCTGCAGAATAGCCTCCTATGGCAAAATGAACACATGCTTTATGAAATGCAAAGCACACCCACCCTTCAGGACCCACAGGGATTGGTCCAGACACCCACGGAAACTAAAGTCCATGGATCCTCAAGTCCCTTCTCTAAAACGGCGTGGCATGTGTGTATCACCTGTGTACGTGCTGTGCACTTCCATGATCTCTAGAGCACTGGTACAATCCCATCTCATGCCGAGGCTGTGTAAATGGCTGTGACACTATATTGCTTAGCACACATTCAGTGCAGACACAACCATTGCTTTTTCCTCAAATATTTAAAATCTGCAATTGGTTGAAGCCATGGATGTGGACAGAACCCACAGATATGAAGGACCGATTGTAAATGCAAAAGCGGAATTCTCTGCCTCCCCCCGCCCCCACCCCACCCACCGCCAATTATGTGGAGGCGATGGGCAAAGTACGAGAAGGGGAGAGCAACTTAAGGAGGGTCAAAGCAGGGCCAGGCACAGTGGCTCACACCTGTAATCCCAGCACTTTGGGAGGCCCGGGCTGGCGGATCACTTGAGGTCGGGAGTTCGAGAGCAGCCTGGCCAACATGGTGAAACCCTGTCTCTACCAAATGTACAAAAATTCGCTGGATGTTGTGGCGCGCACCCATAATCTCAGCTTCTTGGGAGGCTGAGGTGGGAGAATTGCTTGAACCCAGAAGGCAGAGGCTGCAGTGAGCTGAGATTGCATCACTGCACTCCAGCCTGGGTGACAGGGTGAGATTCGCCCTCAAAATAAATAAATAAATACATAAAAAGCTAGAATAAGGATCACCCTGTAACTATAAAGATGAATGCAGGCACCAAGAACTACTGCAGAGGAGCCTTATTTTGAAGAACCGTGCTGCAGTTCAAAGCCGCCGCTGAACAGACGGCAGAGAAGGGGCTTGCACGTGGCCACAGATCTAACATGACAGACAATGGGTGTCTAGTACTAACACAGCTGGGTGTTTTCCCAGCATGATTTGGTGGCTAAATTAATTTTATCATCTTTCCTTCTAACTTATTATCATTCTGATATTAATACCATGGCTAACAACCAATCTCACTATATGATGAGACCACTATTCTGAAATGTAATGTCTGCCACTTACAGCTTTTAATCTAGTAAAGTGCTCCCTAAACCTAAAATAATTGCTGTATATTGTTCCCTCATTGTTAATATACTACAGAAATAACACCAATAAAATGTCTTAAGTGCATTAATTGGCACCAAAATGAATATAATATTTTAAACCTATTTACTGGCATAGCTGAGATTATTAAAGGTGCAAGCCCTCAGTGCAGATGGGTAATGAAAACAACCGAAGACAATCTCTTGGCAAAGGAAAGGTCAGACTGATTTCATTTCCTTAAACTTATGACCCGATCATGGGGACAACGTGACCTTAGGCATTATTTGCTTTTACATAAAGATTAGACTTCAGATGTAGGACAATGCAAACTACAGATAAGAGATACATACGCATGGATACACACAGGTTATATGTAAAAATGATTTTTTGTAAGTTTAGAGTTTTGCAACCATCAGCACAATCCAGTTTTAGAACATTTCCATTTCCTCAAAAAGCTCTCACTTGCACCAGTAGACAGCTAGTGGGTATGTGGGGTTATCTCATTTGGATGTAAGTGGCATTTTTCTATAATGACTAATGATGCTGAACATCGTTATTGTGTGCTTATTTGCTTACTGGCCATTTATCTATCTTCTATGTTAAACATCTGGTTTTTTTTGCCCATGTACGTTGTGTATGTATATATTTATCTATTTAGAGACAGGGTTTCACTCCTGTCGCCCAGGCTGGAGTGCAGTGGCATGATCTCGGCTCACTGAGATCTCACGACCTCCGTCTCCCACCTCCAGTGATTCTCCTGCCTCAGCACCCGACGTAGATGGGACTGCAGGTGTACGCCACCACGCCGGGACTGCAGGTGTACGCCACCACGCCGGGACTGCAGGTGTACGCCACCACGCTGGGACTGCAGGTGTATGCCACCACGCCCAGCTAATTTTTAGTAGAGATGGGATTTCGCCACATTGCCCAGGCTGGTTTCAAACTCCTGAGCTCAAGTGATCCACCTGCCCCGGCCTCCCAAAGGCTGGGATTACAGGCGTGAGCCACTGCACTCAGCCATCTGGTTTTTGAACCATGTACATTACCCCTACAAAAGAGTACAATAAAAATTACTTTGAGGCCAGGCATGGTGGCTCACGCCCATAATCCTGGCACTTTGGGGAGGCTGAGGGGGGTGGATCACTTGAGCTCAGGAGTTTGAAACCAGCCTGGCCAACATGGCAAAACCCTGTCTCTACTCAAAGTACAAAAATTAGTTGGGCCTGGTGGCAGGTGCCTGTAATCCCAGCTATTCGGGAGGCTGAGGCAGGAGAATTGCTTGAACCCGGGAGGCAAAGGTTTCAGTGAGCTGGGATCGCGCCACTGCACTCCAGCCTGGGCGACAAGAGTGAAACTCAGTCTGAAAAAAAAAAAATAAATAAATTAATTAAAATAAAATAAAAATTACTTTGGAAATATGACCACCTGCAACATTTTCAGAAACAATAACTAGCAGTGATAACATACCTGAATAGTTTGTAAAGGATTTTAGGTCCTCTAGGCTTATGGGAACTTGTGCACCAGAAATTAATACCTAAGGAAAAAAGTTCAAATAATAACATTTGAGGTAAATTTTAAGAAAGCCTGTTCATTTCCTGTGACAAGCGTGTCCCAGAAAGTCAGCAGGTAGGGTACCTGAATTTCTTGCTGATCAAACATTCGGAGCCACTCGAGGCTGACGACATTGGCAAGGCCCTGGCGGAAAGCCAGGCAGTGCTGGCGGATCTGCCTGTTCAGCCTGTAGTCTGCCACCAAGTGGATGTACGCAATCCGGTTGGCGCTGGTGACAGGGATGTCTTTCCCACCGAATTTTAGTTCAACTACCTGGGAATACAAAACGTAAGGATCTCAAAATCCTCAAAGTATGATAATAGGTTAAAAAAAAAAGCAAGAAACAAATGTTTTAAGGAAATAGGACTTGATGCTTTGTGAACAAGAATCTAAATACGAAATAGTACCCGAGTATGCACAGCATTGTGCAGATGCCAAGATGCACCTCCAGGAAGAGTCTCCGAAGCCCAGCACCTTACTCTGTCTTTAAGATCACTAACCATCCATGTTTCCTCCGAAGCACTAGGGAATTGTGCAGCAATGTCACCATGGCAATTTTACTTAAACAAAAATGAGAAATCACAGAGGGCAAAGACATGAAGCAAACAATCACCGTTAAGTCAGAAGAGAAAAAGCGACTCATTCTGGAGGAAACGCAAAGGCTGTAGTAAAGTGATTTCTCATTTTCATCCATATAAGCAGCACACACTTACCTGTGTGCTTCCACAATGCCATTACTATAAAGCACTTTAATTACGATACAAAGGGTGGTGGTAACGATCAGTGATAACAGATCAGCCAATTTCTTATGTATATAAACAGAGTGAGTAAGAACACTTTTTATTAGTACGTGGCTATACTCACAGAATTTGCAGGTATAACGTGGAGCTCCCATAAACACCACAAGAGTGCTCATGAGAAAAGCAACACAGCGGAAACACAGACCTGGGTCTTACTGTCCCCCACTTGTATGACAGACAAGTCACTTTACACCTTGAAACTTTTGGCCATTAATAAAATGGTGATATTTGTTTGTCTGACTTGGAATTGCTGTGATTACATGATTATATGAATTCATAAATACAAAACAGTACACGAGCAAAATACAATATAAACATGTAATCATAATTTATAAAGAGTGTATTTTAAATAAAAAAATTTTTAAAAAGTATTTATTAAGAAAACCAAAAAAACAGGCCGGGTATAGTGGCTCACGCCTCTAATCCCAGCACTGTGGGAGGCCAAGGCAAGAGGATCCCTTAAGCCCAGGAGTTTGAGATAAAGCAAGACCCCCACCTGTATTTCTAAAACAAAACAAAAAAACAACAAAAACACCCCAACTGCATTCCTGGGGTTAGATGAGGGCAACCTATACTGTGGACAATGAAAATATAAAATAAGCCCAAAATAAATGAACAAAGACATTTCAACTTCCCTACCTTTCCATTCTTTTCTTTTCACAGCCTTCAGTTTTCCTGGTAGCTTTAATATTCCCAGAGTAACAGACAAGACTGCTGCCTCTGGGCAATGGCACTGATGTCCCAGTCTCTTACCATTTACAGAAAGATTGTTTCACAAATGTGCTAGAGAGCCTGACTTAAGTCATCCTACAGCTGATGGTTATAGGAGACTCGTTTGCTGGTTCTCATTTTATACAGAATGTTCAAATTGAACTTGAACGTTCAACTTACCAGATCTGCTTCTTTTAACGTTTCACATTTTAAAGGATGATACAATTATTCTCAATAATTCACTTCCTAAGGTTTGGAACCATCAAGCCTAAGAATGGGCTTTCAATTCCATTGTCTTCATTCTGATTAAAGATTGTGTTCATTATCTTAATTCCTTTGCTTGTACTCAGCTGACAGTCCATCTGTTAACCAAGCCTCAGGAGGCTAGCTATTATATTTCAATGTATAAAATACCACCCCTTCCTTTAAATGGATTAGAGGCAGGTAATAAATGATGATGTACTTGTATGATTTGGAAGACAAAGGACCAGTGAAGTTATCAGTTAAAGGAACTTCCAAGGCTCCCAATTACCTTGCCTGATCAGAGAAAACTGACATTTCTATAACTTTTTTTTTTTTTGAGACAAGGTCTCACTCTGTCACCCACACTGGAGTGCAGTGGAGCAATCTTGGCTCAGTGCAACCTCCACCATCTGGGTTCAAGAGATTCTTGTGCTTCAGCCTCCCGAGTAGCTGGGATTACAGGTGCACATCACCACGCCCGGCTCAGTTTTTTGTATTTTTAGTAGAGACAGGGTTTCACCATGTTGGCCAGGCTGGTCTGAACTCCTGACCTCAAATGATCTGCCTGCCTTGGCCTCCCAAAGTGCTGGGATTACAGCCGTGAGCCACTGCGCCCAGCCCCTCTAATAACTTTTAAACGGTTACACTACTTTTAATTTAAAATTCTCTCTCAGGCTAAGCCTAAACAACTATGTGTACTTAAAAATCATGTCACATAAGTGCTAAATTTCAGATCTGAGGGACATATTTAAAATTTCCTCTAAATACAAATATATTTAACTGGAGCAGTTCTCAGGACAGCAAGATACCAAGAGCTGTCCTTTCTGCTCCTCCAGAAAGTCTATTTTCACTTGGAATCCATAAAGCCCCACAAGACACCACCATACATGACCTACTTCCATTAGCTCATTTCATCCTCCGGCACTCACACCCGTCTGAGATGAGGAAGGGGTCTTGTGACTTCCTTAAGCCTCACAGAAAAGCGGCCAAACCAGGACCTGAACCAAGGTGTCGTGACTCAAGTCCAATCTTTTCTACCTAACAGATGATTATTTGTGGGTCCTTCTTAAACCCTTAGCATTTTCTGCTAGAAAGAGTTCTATGTAAATTAGTCGTCTAAAATTTCATGGTCACTATTAAACAGATTAACAGCCAAATTGATTACACTGAAAAAAACAAATTTGAGAGCAGCACCATATTTTAAAAGGGATGATTAATTAACATAACCTGCTGACACAATAAAGTATTTGCATATTACAAGTCTTTAAATCATACTTTATAAACTTAAAAACTTGTAAGGAGGACTACCTATTTATTTCTACAGAAATCCTTAAGATCTCCCTCTAAATTAGGTGCTTCACTAGTGAATTTCTTAATTTTTCTCATTAGGCTCTTTAGTATAATTATTCTCATACATTATCTATAATTTTTTAACTCAGTGGGAATCTCTATGAATAACTGGAACATCTTAACTTCACACTTTTGCTTTTAACAGATTCCAGTATTATCGGCAGTGCTTTAATGGAATTCTTGCATATGCGACGTTTCACTATTAACATTTATTTCAGAAGGAAAAATGGGAAATACTCGCATTAGCAAAGGCCTCAGGCAGGTCACCACAACACTCACCGTCCGAAGGCTTTTATGCCATTTAGAAATCAGGCCACTAGGTGGTGCAAGACCTAGCAGCAAGCGACATCACTGGATGTCGAGTACTTCCTAATGACAGTAACAGCCCCCCCGCCAAATTATCTAAATTTTGCATTGGTGAAAATTCAGCTCTATGGTATGGAAAAATATGCAGAAACAAAAGCAACTAAATAAGTTGTAACCAAATAAATATGGCTCTTGGACAGGCATGGTGGCTTGCATCTGTAATCCCAGCACTTTGGGAGGCTGAGGCAGGAGGATCACTTGAGCCCAGGACTTTGAGACCAGCCTGGACAACATAGGGAGACACCCATGTCTATAAAAAACACAAAAATTAGCCAGGAATGGTGGCTCATGCCTGTAATCCCAGCACTTTGGGAGGTTGAGGCAGGAGGATCGCTTGAGCTCAGGAATTTGAGATCAACCTGGGTAACACAGGGCAACACTATCTCTACAAAAAACACAAAAATTAGCCAGGTTTGGTGGTGTACGCCTGTAATCCCAGCTACTCAGGAGGCTGAGGGTGCAGTGAACCGAGATGCCATCACTAGACTCCTCCAGCCTGGGTGACAGAGTGAAACCCCGTCTCAAAACAATACAACAACAACAACAAAGCCCCATATGCTAAAGTAGACAGAACAGTGTATGAGCTCCCAACCCCACACAGCCAGTTCATCAGGCATCACACCTCCCGGCCAGTCTCTGGAACTGATAGCCCCACTTCCTGCCCCTGTTCTCACCACACAGGGTCAGTATCCCTTATCTGAGTGAAATACTTGGGCCAGAAGTGTTTGGATTTGTATTTTTTCCCCCCAAATTTTGGAATATTTGCATTATACTTATCAGTAAGAGTCCTTAATCCAAAAACCTGAAATGGTCCAATCAGCATTTCCTTTGAGCTTCATGTTGGCACTCAGAAAGTTTTGGATTTTGGAACATTTTGGATTTTCAGATTATGGATGCACAGAGTGTATTTGAAGCAAATCCCAGATGTTACTAACTCATTAATAATTATTTTAGTATGCTGTATGTGGATGTTTATAACAGTAATATTCTTATTAGCCCAAACATAGGAACAACCCAAATGTCCATCAACCAGTAAAGACCTTGTGGTATATCCATATAATGGAATATCATTTGGCCAGAAAAGGAATGAAGTCCTGATCCATGCAACTACAAGTGAAGGAAGACCACGTAAAAGGCTCTGTCGTGCCGGCCACGGTGGCTCACGCCTGTAATCCCAGCACTTCAGGAGGCCAAGGCAGGCAGATCACCTGAGGTCGGGAGTTCGAGACCAGCCTGACCAACATGGAGAAACCCCATCTCTACTAAAAATACAAAAATTAGCTGGGCGTGGTGGCGCATTGTAATCCCAGCTACTCGGGAAGCTGGGGCAGGAGAATCACTTGAACCCGGGAGGTGGAGGTTGTGGTGAGCCGAGATTGCGCCACTGCACTCCAGCCTGGGCAACAAGAGTGAAACTCCATCTCAAAAAAAAAAAAGACTCTATCGATGTGAAGTGTCCACAGCAGGCCCATGCAGAGACAGAGTGGACTGGTGGCTGCCTGCGGGAGGTGGGGGAGCCTGCTAATGGGTGCACGGTTGCTCTGTAGACCGAGGAAAATGTGCTAACATTGGCTAGGGTGATGATGGCTGCACACCTCTACGAATATACTAAAAACCACTCAATCATGTACTAAAAAGGGCAGATTTTATGGTATGTGAGTTACATGTTGATAAAGCTGTTATTAAGAAAATCAGTTTGAATCTCTAATATAGACCTTTCTTTTTTCTTTTTTAAAAAGGATATAAGTAACAAAAGTAACCAGATGGGTAATGAACACACCCCCTAGACAGTGCTGGAGCAGCTGAGGTGGCTCTGAGCGGGCAAGGAGTGAGGACTAAGCAAGGGGTCCTGCCGGGAAGCTGCTGAACGGCCACCCCCAGCACCGGGAAGAGCCAGACAAGCAGCAAGCCTGGGCCGCAGCCTCGAGAGTGGAGCTCCGCAGGAGGGGCTGCCGGGCAGGAACAGGCTTCATGCGTGGGAGCAGGAACTGCACTCAGCTCAGACGCCAGGGCTAAGGTGCTTTGGAGCTATATGCTTCGACGTCTAACTCACAGCCACAGTCATTCTAACTAAAATGTGCGGAAGTCAAACGCTGTAACACAAATGGACTTCCACACACAAGGAGATGCTGCTACTTGCTATACAGGTATGTGAATCCTCCTCCTGACCCCTCACCTGCGCCTCTCCCAGGTCATTGTTCACCACAGTGAAGTTCAGCCCAAGCTCCTCCACATCGTCTTCGTAGCTCTTCAGAAAGAGCAAATTCTTATACACCTCAGGGTCTAGGGAGGCGAGGTGGTGAATGTCCACGTCGGCACTGGTTCCAAGCAACTTGGAAAGAAAGAAGCCTGCAAAGGGCAGCTCCACCAGCATGTTCTCATAGAGAGCCTTCAAAAGAGAACAGTGACAACGTTAGCATCGAATATACAAGCCTTCTACAAACAAAGAGCCATATGCTCAACTTGATATTAAACCCAATCCTAAGAGAGCAGGTATTTTCTCCTCATAGTACCGAAGATGGAAGCTGATATTCAGTGGGCAGGTACTGTGCTCCAGGATCCCGTGCAGGCATTCAATGCACGCACTAAGCATGCAGAGAACTCTGGAACAGACCACCTAGGAGCGAAATCGTGGAATTATGAAGAGACAGATCCTTCTTGTGAGACAGAAGCCAACAAATGCTCCTCCTCAACAGAAGGATGGTGAATCCTTCAGGAACTGCAGGTTTGTTAGTCTCCCAAGGTGGCTACGGCAAATGATCACACACTGCGAGACTGAAAACCACATGAACTCACGCCTCGCAGCTATTGGACCCTATTTCCAAACAAGGCCTCGCAGCTATTGGACCCTATTTCCAAACAAGGCCGTGCCCACAGGATGGGGTATTAGGATTTGAGCACAGTTTTGGGGGGTCCCAGTTCATAACCGCATATGCCACTCTGCCCTGCAGCACAAAAGCAGCCATGGACAATGTGTCAATGAGTGAGGGTGGCTATGTTCCAAATTTGGGTTTCATGTGATTTTCACATGTCAAGAAATATTACTTATGCTCTTTTTTTTTTTGGAGACGGAGTCTTGCTCTGTTGCCCAGGCTGGAGTGCAGCCGCGCGATCTCAGCTCACTGCAACCTCCGCCTCCCAGGTTCAAGCGATTCTCCTGCCTCAGCCTCCCCAGTAGCTGGGATTACAGGCATCCACCACCATGCCCAGCTAATTTTTGTATATTTAGTAGAGACGGGGTTTTGCCATATTGGCCAGGCTTTTCTCAAACTCCTGAGCTCAGGTGATCCACCCACTTCGGCCTCCCAGAGTGCTGGGATTATAGGTGTGAGCCATCCTGCCCGGCCAAAAGTTTTCTAATAAAGACAATAGAGACAACAGTTACCATTCCTTGAGCACTTACTAGGTACTAGGTGCCAGGCACTGTGCTAGACATGCAGTTAGACATTAATTATCTTGTTTCCATGTGGTCCATCTGGACAATTTTTTAACTTAAGGTAAAGGAATGGAAGTAAACAAGAAATCTCAATTTCCTCTACAAAAGCCATTCGTGTTAGAATATATCTAGTCAGGCCAGGTGCGGTGGCTCACGCCTGTAATCCCAGCACTTTGGGAGGCTGAGGCGGCTGGATCACCTGAGGTCAGGAGTTCCAGACCAACCGACATGGTGAAACCCCGTCTCTACTAAATAAAAAAAAATTAGCTACGTGTGGTGGCATATGCCTATAATCCCAGCTACTTGGGAGGCTGAGGCAGGAGAATCGCTTGAACCCGGGAGGTGGAGGTTGCAGTGAGCCGAGATTGTGCCACTGCACTCCAGTCTGGGCAACAAGAGCAAAAACTCCGTCTCAAAAAAAGAGAAAATATCCAGTCTTCAGAGAGATGTGTATTTACAGTGATCCTATTTTCCCAGGTCAAACAGAGGTAGTCTAATTACCCCCGGGGGTGTGGAGAACAGGTGGAGAACAGTTTTAGAGAAAGAAACCCTCTCAACAGAGGCAGTCACGGGCCTTCCTACTGTCTGGAGGTGCAGCACTGGAATTTTTGCCCGAGAATGAGGGACGGCAGGAAGGACAGAGAGAGGGAAGGTGAAGGCTGGACTAACCATACCTTGCAAATGACTACTATGAGCTGTGCTGCAGGAGATGCTGTGATAGACCCAGACCCTCTTTATCCTACTGTTTTAAGATTCAAGTGCTATGGTGCTACCCAGGGAATACCAAAATCAAAACAAAACTTTATGGGGTAGTCATTCATCCATGAGACAGTCAACTCAGAAGTCACCCTTCCAACCTAGAGGCCATCACCCAACCATATCATGCACTGTAAATATTAGAGCGATCTGTGTGAATTAATAACATGGGAGTAAGTAGCTTCCAGAGAGCCGGGACTGTGCTTCTGCAAGCTTCCAGCAAAGGAGAAACGTTTCAACTGTGAGCCACTGCTCCTGTGGGGAGTGAGTCCTTTGCTTAGTCACAGCTTCCAACCAGTTACCGTATTTAGTAATAATCTACTTCGTATGTGTAGTCTATAAAATGCGCATCCTTAAATAAGTATTCCAGAACTTATACACTCCAACAGGGCATGCTCAGACACCCCTTGAGATTCACATTTTAAGGACTCGTCCACTGATACGACTGGAGAAAATGAGAAAATAGCTGTTGAGGTTTTCCCAAAAGCAAACATCTAGAGTACCACTGGCTTTTTGTTTCAGAAAATGACAGACATTGTGAAGAACACTGTTTTTTTTTTTTTTTTTTTTTTGAGACGGAGTCTCCCTCTGTTGCCCGGGCTGGAGTGTGCAGTGGCACGATCTCGGCTCACTGCAGCCTCCGCCTCCCGAGTTCAAGCGATTCTCCTGTCTCAGTTTCCTGAGTAGCTGGGACTACAGGCGTGCACCACCAGGCCCAGCTAATTTTTGTATTTTTAGTAGAGATGGAGTTTCACCATATTGGCCAGGCTGGTCTCGAACTCCTGACTGAAGAATGCTGTTTTTTAAGTAGCTCAGGCACATGTCTGATAACTAGAGCCGGCATAACATCCCCTCCAGGAAGACTGCGGCTGGCCTCTGCCAGGTAAACCAAAGTATTATGTCCTTGTGCTTTTATTTCTGATTTGAGGACTAATGATTACCCAATTAATTTTGAAAAGATAGCAAAAAAGGGTTTCTTAATGAGAGAATGAATAAAATGGCAACAGGCACATAGTCATCATCTCCTGATAATGTAAAGAAAGTTGTGTTGAAAAGTCACAGTTTGTTTAAAGTTAAGGATGGTTAATACTATTAACCTGGAGCACTGATAAACGGCATCACTTCGAAATGAATGACGAGTTCAAAGCCAAGGGGAACATTCTGCATACAACTACATGATTGATTCCAGGTGCTGAAGAAAAGCCCTCATTTGTACAGTGGACTTTAAAAGTAAACTGGAAGTGTAAATCATTTGATGTTCAATATATAAGGTCACTGTTTGCCATTTCTGCATTAGTAACAATAAACCAGTGAAACTAGTTAAATATATCAGAACTACCTGAATTTTAAACAGAAATCCCACTGTGACTCATAAAATGTAAATGCATAGGTACCATTTTTTACATGAGGCAGGTTTAAACCTTCAGAGCATTTAATATACAAGCACTAATAAATGATGGCACTAAAAACTATGATTGCATCAGCTAAATGGATTATAAATTAAATTTCCATAATGTATGCAACTGAGATACAAATGTAAGCATAAATCAAGGTATTTTCTAAACACAGGTTAATTATACAACTTCAAAAACTGCCTATTTTTTATGCAAAATAATCCACTTAGCATTTTTCACACTGGCCTTCTCAGCCAGCTGTACCACGCTTGTTCCTAGAAGCATATCAATAACTACTTGTCATGAAAAAAATAGCAATAGGTATATGGAAAAGACCTGTAACGAATTTTTCAACTGTCTGTCTTTTATGAATGTTTATAGCTAGAAATTGTGCCAAAATGATTTGAAATAAAAAGGATTAATTATAGTAGAAGCCTTTTAATATAAGTGAGTGCAGTCGCGACGCAATTAATGCAAATTGTGGCTCTATCAGAATAAATGTGAACCACATCACAGACCATTTCTGTTTGCCGCCAAATAACTTCAGTAATTTACTACATTAAGAATCAATAAAAAAATAATGCTTTTCAAATGCATCTCTATCAATCTTCAGGCAGCTCTAAAGTGAACATTTATAACTTAATCTAAAAACTATATAAGAGATGATGTCTTGCTTTAAAGCCATCCTAACTGAGCAAGCAGATAATTTTAATTATTTCATATCATATTAACCATATAATTTAAAAAACAAAAAAGAAACATAAAATAAGAATGTATACTAATAGCAACACGCTATTTAATAATTGTGCTTCAGAATTAGTAAGTTGGAATTGAAAAACAAAGTCCCTTCAGTCACTGGGACCACTAGGGGCTTGTGTAACTAACTCTAAACTCCTAGGGGGCAGGAGATATACCTCATCTTTCTTTCTTTTTTTTCGAGACGGAGTTTCACTCTATCGCCCAGGCTGGAGCGCAATGAATGGCACGATCTCAGCTCACTGCAACCTCCGCCTCCTGGGTTCAAGCGATTCTCCTGCCTCAGCCTCGCGAGCAGCTGGGATTACAAGTGCGCATACCATGCCCAGCAAATTTTTGTATTTTTAGTAGAGACAGGGTTTCCCCACGTTGGCCAGGATTGTCTTGAACTCCTGACCTCAGGTGATCACCCGCCTCGGCCTCCCAAAGTGCTGGGATTACAGGTGTGAGCCACCGCGCCTGGCAACATACCTCATCTTTAATGCAAGAGTCCAAATACAACATATGGTGCCCATTCATGTAACAAACATTTATTAAGTGCCAACTATATGTCAGGGACCACATTACATACTGGAATTCTGCATTCATGAATCTGTTTGCAAAAAAACCCTTTCATTCTTGTGTTAAGAGTTTTCGGATTGTGGGTTTCAGGTTATGTATACGTCAACACCCATTTCAAGTCCTAGATCTTCACAATCCTATTCCAGAGAGCTTTCTACACCATCAACTCCCGCAACACTTGGTCTACACAGCTACCCTGGCACTAAAAAATCCGTGTTGTCCCAGTGTCCCCTGCGCCTCACATGCAGGAACAGCAGCAGGAGGACACCAAGCTCCCTGGGAGGGGCCAGGCCGTGGGCCTCACTCTAATACTCCACTGGCAGGTGCCCTAAAGCCAATCTCTAAACGTGAGCTGAGGTGAACTCACTCCTCATTCAGCAGATGTCTACCACGGATAACTGAGCAGAGCCCACTAGCTGTTACTCAGAGAAAAAGAGCAACTCTGCCTTGCAAATCCTGAACCACCACACCAGGACACGGGTGCTGCACTCTTACTTCTCTACAGAGGCTGCCCAAATCCCCAGCATGCAGAGCTGCCGAGGCCTCACAGTGCTCGTACCTTTTCTTCCTTGAGACCCTGGCACTCCATAAAGACAAGGAAAGCCTGCAGAGATTGCCCTTCTCATCTCCAACTCGGCTTTCACTTCGGAAGCCCTGCAGGGCACAGAGGATGGGGGATGGGGACCGTGGAGGACACGTGCACATCTCCTGTCCTATTTTCCTCATAGTGGCTTCCAGCGATCGAGCCACAATATGATACATTTTGAGCAGCTTGGAGTTGACGCTTCCTTTTTTTTTTGAGATGGAGTTTCCCTCTTTCACCCAGGCTGGAGAGCAGTGGCACAATCTTGGCTCACCATAATCTCTGCCTTCCGGTTTCAAGCGATTTTCCTACCTCAGCCTCCCAAGTAGCTGGAATTAGAGGCAACCACCACCACGCCCAGCTTATTTTTGTATTTTGAGTAGAGACGGGGTTTCACCATGTTGGTCAGGCTGGTCTAGAACTCCTGACCTCGTGATTCTCCCGCCTTGGCCTCCCAAAGTGCTGGGATTACAGGCTTGAGCCACCAGACCTGGCTCGACCCTTCCTTTTTTTCCTCGACTTCTAGTTCTATGGCTTCCAGGTTCAGGCTCCAAAACACAGAAACCCCTGACCCTGCTCACCAAAATATTTCTAGAAGATAAAAAACATCTTCATGAACAAGGAAGTTCGCTAAAGTAGCAAACCCATATTCCCACTTCCACTGACAAGAAGCAAACATCTGAGCATCTGAGGACAGTTTTACACTCCTGCTTCTGAAAGACAGTAGGAATTTAAAAAAAAAAAAAAAAAAAAAAACAACTCAGGCTCAGTCTCAAGGTACCCCACATAACCAAGAACTATTTTCAACAATTAGAAGAAAACATCTTTCAAGTTTCAAAATTCTACTTTTGCCATATAGGAGAATAAAATATCAGACTAGAAATCTGTCGAGCCACCTCTTGAGAAATTTGAGGACAATGATGCCTTCGATGATAACAGATTTCGTTACCATCAGGTACTATGTTTCCCTAACAACAGCTCATGCTCTAATCACTATACTCCTTCCAGCTTTAGAACGAAAGCATCCATGAACTCCGATTGATACTGACTGCTGCTTTCTCTAACTTCTGTGACACTGGCTCTCTCAGTCACCACGTTACCTACCGCACGATTCCTTTGTAACAGCTTTACTGGGATATCACCCACATAACTTACATTCAAAGGTTTTATTATATTCGTAAAGTTGTATGACCATCGCCACAATCAATTTCTGAAGATTTTCATTATTCTAAAAAGAAACTCCACATCCCTCAGCTGCCACTCCTGGTTCCTCCCAGCCCTGGCGATCACTCACCCACCTTCTGTCTCTAGATTTTCCTGTTTTGGACATTTCATATAAATGGAACCATGTCTTTGGTGATCTCTGCATCTGCTCTCACCGGGCAGAACATTCTCAAGGCACATCCATGTGTGCCATGTGTCAGTGCTTTACCCCTTTTTACGGCCCAGTAATAGTCCACTGTATGGATGAACCGTATTCTGTTTACCCGTTTGTCAGCTGATGGGCCTTTGAGTCATTTCCATCTTTTAGCTATTAGGAATAATGCTGTTGTGAGAATTTGTGTGCAAGTTTTTGGGTAAATATGTTTGCTGGGTCCAAAGGTAATTAACCTTTTGAGGAACTGCTAAACTTTTCCAAAGTGGCTGCACCATTTTATCTTCCCATTGGCAATGCATGAGGACTGATTCCTCCACATCCTCACCAACCCTGCGGTTCCTGGTTTGATTCCCGCCGTACTCGCGGGTGTGCGCGGCAGCCTGTGGCTATGCTTTGCCCTTCCTTGATGACTAGTGATGCTGGCCATCTTTGCACGAACCAATGGCCCATTTGCTTGCTGCCAGTCCCTGGAGAGATGTCCAATTGGATCCTTCGCCCATTTTTATCATGGAGTCCTTCATATATATGCCACAAGTATCTTCTCTTTCAGTGTGTTGTATTTTCAGTTTCTTGATGGTGTCTTTTGAAGCATAAACATTTTTAAGTCCAGTTCATTTTTCCTTTTGTTTTTTGTGCTCCTGGTCTCACAGCTAAGACGGGATTTTTTCCTGACTATGCTGCGACACTCAGCAGTCCATTTTCCCACATGCCCTGCAGCGCTCTGTGATCCTCAGAGCACTCTGCGTGAGTAGCTGTGGTCTCTTTTGCACCCTTGAACCACCGGGCACAGAAGGGAGGTAGGCCCCCTGTGCTCCTTACTGCCACTTCCAGACCATCCTTCCCTTCCCTCCCGCTAAAATCCCTGGCTTTCAATCTCATGCACTGGGCTTGCGCATCCATTACCTCTCCCGGGTTCAGTCACTGCCCCTTAATTCAAGATTTTAGCTCCTGAGAGTCCAACACACTCTGGTGATAATTTTTGGTGACATCTGTAGCACACAGTTGACTGTCATTCTACCATCCTGGCTGTCCCTCAACTCCACCTTAGCTACCAGTTCCTTCAGCTCTGTCCTCCAAGTGGCATTACCGGTAACTAAGCCCCTCTGATCTTAGCTCTAACCACCGCTACACTGACTCCCTGAAGGACCTCGACTCCACAGGTCTCCTCTCCTGTCCAGCTTCCCTTGCCCTCAAATCTCCATTCACGGATTAATTTCCTCTCTAAACAGCCTAGATTCAAAGGCAGGCTCTTGTAACCACTCTGAACTTGCAACCAATTCACCCTTTATTATAGTCACTTGGCAAAAAACCCCACCCCTGGTTAAATCTGACTCTACATCCTAGTCAGACCCACACAGCCGTTTACGGGTGTAGAAAAAGTAACCCACACGGCTGGTCTCACTTCACTTTATGATATTAACGTCAAGTGGGCCCTACACTAACTGGCAATCCTATTGTATTTCCATTGTCCAGTAATTCTCAAATTTCAGCATGCATCAGAGTCACACTTATTAATTGAAGCCTATTCACAGCTTGCTGGCCGGGTGCTATGGCTCACACCCATAATCCCAGCACTTTGGGAGGCTGAGGTGGGCGGATCACTTGAGGCCAGGAATTCGAGACCAGCCTGGCCAACATGGCGAAACCCCATCTCTACAAAAAACACAAAAATTAGCCGGGCGTGGTGGTGGGTGTCCGTAGTCCCAGTTACTTGGGAGGCTGAGGCACGAGAATTGCTTGAACCAGGAGGCAGAGGTTGCAGTGAGCCATGCCAAGAGCAAGACTCTGTCTCAAAAAACCCCAAAAAACCAAAAACCAAAACACACAGCTTGCTGAGCCCTAGCCCTAGAGTTCCAGATTCAGAAGGTCTGGGGTGGAGCCCAAGAATTTGCATTTTTAATAGATCCCCCGGTGATGCAGATGTGGCTGGTCTGGGAACACTGCTCTTCCCATCCTTGCTCTCTGCTGCATCACCCAGAAAGCAGCAACAGTGGGATGCAGTCAGAATGAGCTCCTGCTCCCCAGCTCATGCAGCTGCACCCAGTGTTCCTCTACCTCTTCTTGGACACGCAGCCTGTGGCGCCCCCTGCTTCAGCACCAGACCCCACACCCTCACTTTGCAGGGTGTGGTTCCTCTCTCCCTCAGCAATTCCACTGACTTATTTCCAGCAGCAAATACACATGCTGTTATTTCTCCCATCTTTAGAACACAGCTTTCCTAGCCCCATATCCCTTAAGCGGCTGCTCAAGTTTTCTTGATAACCAGTCCCCCAATTCTTCTCCGATCCTTCCTCTTGTAACTGCTCTGAAGTCTACTGCTGCAGAGTGCCCTAATCACAAGCCTGTGGTTCCATCCATTTTTACCCAGTGAACACACTTATGGAAAAGCACTTAGTCCACAGCGCAGAAAATGCCTAGCACCTTGGAAGCCCCCTGCACCCCCTTCCAGTGTTACCCTCCCAGGAGCATCAGGATCCTGCCTTCCAAAAACTGCAAGGAGCTTTGCTTGTTTCTGAACTTCCATAAATGAAATCTGACAAAATGTACTTTTGTGTGTCTGGATTCTTCAACTCAATGTTAGGTCTGTGCCGTTCACTCATACCATTTTGAGTAGCTGTAGTCTGTTCATTCAGTAAGTCTTGTGAATATCCTACAATTTATTTATTATCATTATGCTTTCGAAGGACATTTTTGTAGTTTCCAGTTTAGGGGCTATACAGTGTTACCATAAACATTCTTTCACATGTATTCTAATTAATAGGTACACATTTCTCTTGTGATATGATGTGGATATTTTCAGCTTTAATATGATGCTTTAGGAAGATAATCCTGACATTCTTTTCAGCCCATCTGCTGAGGTTTTTGCCTTCACCACGCCACAGAAATCACTTGTCCAGAGTGCTAAATGACATGGCCACTTCTCAGTGCTAAACCTTACTTGGTCTAACAGTACCATCACACAATACCCACCTTTCTCTTCCTTTCAAACACTGTCTTTATTTGGCACCTGAAATCCCACTTCTCTGGTTTTCTCCCTTCCTTTCCAGCTTCATCTCCTGAACTTCTATTAGTCAATTCTCTACTCTCTGGACTCTAAACCTTGGAGAGCCCTGGGGCTCAGTTCTTCATCTCTTCTCTTCTCCAGTGACACCTACACCCTGGGTGATCTAATTCAGGCTAATGACCTTAAGGACCCTGGGAATGCTGATGGCTCAGCCCAGATACTGCCTCTAACTTGAGGCCCCTATCCTCAACTGCCCCTCACTAAGCCTCCATAAGAATGCCTCCCTCTCCACACCTGCTCCTGCCCGCACCTTTCCCAGCTTAGTCAGCATGACCTCCATCCTTCTAGTTCTCATAACAGAACCCAGGTGGTTCCCTTACCTTCTCCTGTCCTCACACATCCCAACATCTCATTCATCAGCAAATCTCCTTGAATATGATGACTTCTTACCAGCACTACCACCGGGACATGGGCAGCAGCATCACTCCACCTGAACGATGTGACACTCCATCCGGTCTCCCAGCTTGAGTGCTTGACCAATGCTAGCTACTTACACCAAAGCCAAGGAGGCCCACGACAACACAGGCCGGATTCTGCTGCCCTCTGCTGGTGACGCCAGGAGTCCCCACTGGCCTGTCTTACTCCAGAGCGTGACCTCCACCACTCTACTTACTGCCGCCTCTCAAAGCTGATTTTAAGTTTAGAAACAATAAAATTAACACCATATACCTTCATTTGGCTTTTATTTCATAAAGTTACATTTGCTAAATCTAAATCTAAATTAAATTGAATATTTAAATGTTTAAAAGGATTTACATGGGCCCTATTTTATTATTATTTTGAGACAGGGTCTCTGTCACCCAGGCTGGAGTGTGGTGGTGCCATCACTGCTCACTGCAGCCTCTACATTTCAGGCTCAAGCAATCCTCCCACCTCAGCCTCCCAAGTAGCTGGGACTACAGACACACACCACCATGCCTGGCTACTTTTTTTTTTTTTTTAGTGGTAGAGACCAGGTCTCCCTATGTATGCCTAGGATGGTCTTGAACTCCTGGGCTTAAGTGTTCTTCCCACCTCGGCCTCCCAAAGTGCTGGGACTACAGGTATGAGCTACTGCACCCAACACTATTTTTTAGATTATTTGTTGTCTTTATTGCACAAATAAGAGCCAAAGATAAACAGCAGACTTTAAGTGGGGCCAGCAAGAGTGTGTGCTTCTAATCTTCATGGTGACAAATTAACATGGCCCAGAAAAAACAGAATGGTCTCAATACCATACTGATCCATTCTTCTCATGAATTTCAGATGTTTAACTATTGCTTGGGCGTGATGAGAAAAATAAAAAGGAAGGAATAACTCAATAGTAAGCAAGACCTACTTAATCCAAGGGCAGAAAGAATTTACCTTGTGGTGCTAAACCTACAGTGAGAAATCTTTTCTTTTTTTTTGAGACGGAGTCTCGCTCTGTCGCCCAGGCTGGAGTGCAGTGGCGCAATCTCGGCTCACTGCAAGCTCCGCCTCCCGGGTTCACGCCATTCTCCTGCCTCAGCCTCCTGAGTAGCTGGGACTACAGGCGCCCGCCACCACGCCCGGCTAATTTTTTGTATTTTTAGTAGAGATGGGGTTTCACCGTGTTAGCCAGGATGGTCTCGATCTCCTGACCTGGTGATCTGCCCACCTCGGCCTCCCAAAGTGTTGGGATTACAGGCATGAGCCACTGCACCCAGCCGAGAAATCTTATTTAGGTGCAGCAATCAACTGAATTCAGGAATACATCTCCCATTTTAACTGTAGAATCTAAACCACTTGTATTTCATGGTTAATTCTGAAGAAATAAACTTACATAGAAAACTGTCTTGCCGGGTGTGCTGGCTCACGCCTGTAATGCCAGCACTTTGGAAGGCTGAGATGGGCAGATCACCTGAGGTCAGGATTTCGAGACCAGCTTGGCCAACATGATGAAACCCCGTCTCTACTAAAAATACAAAAATTAGCCGGGCATGGTGGTGGATACCTGTAATCCCAGCTACTCGGGAGGCTGAGGCAGGAGAATCGCTTGAACCCGGGAGGTGGAGGTTGCAGTGAGCCAAGATCGCACCACTGCACTCCAGCCTGGGCAACAGAGTGAGACTCCATCTCAAAAAAAGAGAAAAAAAAAAGAGTTTAGGGTTCAAAACAAGGTATTATACAAGAGAAGCTCTGCCCCTTTAAGGACTAAGGCAACCAAAATGACTAGTATTCACCTCAATTTAGATGTTTAAAGCCTCAGCAAATTCAGTGAGCATTTTACAAAAGGATGCTAATGATGGAGAAAAAGAAACTTTCCAACTTTTGAAAATCTCAAGATAAACTGTTAAGTGCCAATATTACACTACAGAATACATTAAATGCACACTGAATTCTACCGCGATAAAAAATTATAAACCACGCCAAAGTTATACAATCTAATTGAAATTTTCAAATATATAACCAAGATCATATCAAATAATCTGATTTATAGGCATGCCATCCCAATTAAATCAATATCCTAAAGCAAGAAAAAAAGCCATTTTCAAATAGAATTCAAATATGATAAAGGATTAACCTCAATAAATATTCTGAACTTAATTGGCTTAAATGGACCTAGGTGCTTCTATCTGTAAAAAAAAGTTCAAGATGACATTACCACATCCTTGGGCTGTTTATTTATTCCCTGTCTGCAGCCTGACTTACAGGCGACAAAATGCAATCATGACCCACACCAGAAGCAAGAATCATTTGCTAATGGAACTTTTAATTGAGAAGTGACCAGTGACATGAGGTAATTCTTCCTCTGCAGGATCACTCTTGAAGACCTCTTTGCACTTTATCACAGTAAACAATCACTAACATATGCATTAAAGAAAATTTAAATACATTATGACCCAATAAATATCACAATCAATCAATATACAGTTTTCTTCTCTTGAAGATGTAATGTTCAGGTGCCACACTATCAGCTGCTGTACTATGACACTTACTTAGATCCGAGCAATGGTTAGCACATTAGCACAAAGTTTAACTCTGTAATCAGATGGTCATCAGATATGTTTTGGAAGTTAGTAACCCCTTAGGAATTTCCACACAGAGAGTAATGTAAGGGAAGTCTTAAATATGTGAAACTAAGTTAACTACCATCCTCAAATTACTCTTAGTTTTGTTATTGGTCTAAACTTTATTATTTTAAACAGCCTTAATAAGATATAACTTACATAAACTTCATTTGTGGGAGAAAGGTTTAAAATCACAAATTCTCTTCCCTGGATCTTCTGTAAATATATACATATTCCAAAGTACAGAACTGTACAATGACATCATCTTCAGAATAATTTCAATTATAAGCAATATGTCAATAAACAGAGGAGAAATGAGTTTATCCTCACCAGACTTACATAACTATTAGCTTCTACATTAATCAAGACTGGATGATTTATACATTCAGGAAGAAAAAGTAATATATAATCTTAAGATTTAATTCATGCAGGTAAAATTATTGCTCTATCTTCTGTGACTGTACTGTGTAAAAACCACCAAGTTTAGAGTATTTCAGGTTAGTCTAGCAGAACACTCACCTTTATTTTCACATATATATTAAGTTAGAAGGTTCTTGGGCTCACTTTAACAGAAAGAACTAAGGGATTTCATTGTAAAGATTTTCTTTTCTTTTCTTTTTTTTAATTTGAGACAGAGTTTTGCTCTTGTTGCCAGGCTGGAGTGCAATGGTAAGGCCTTGGCTCACCACAACCTCCGCCTCCAGGTTCAAGCCATTATCCTGCCTCAGCCTCTGGAGTAGCTGGGATTAAAGGCATGCACCACCACGCCCAGCTAATTTTGTATTTTTAGTAGAGACGGGGTTTCTCCATGTTGGTCAGGCTGGTCTCGAGCTCCCGACCTCAGGTGATCCGCCTGCCTAGGCCTCCCAAAGTGCTGGGATTACAGGTGTGATCCACCATGCCTGGCCCATTGTAAAGATTTTCATACAATGAATTATGAAATGTACATCCTCCAGGGGAAGCTGAAACTGAGAAGTAGGCTGTGTGACCATCAACAAAGAGAGAGATGCTATCTGAAAACTGCCACCAAAGCCAACTCACAAATCAACATCAAATCAACACCTGAAATCTGCCACCTGAAATACGGTGAGCCTGAAGATGATGATATAACACATACCGTTACGGTAGTGAAGTCAGGTTGGAGCCCTTTCTCAAACCTGAAGAGCACTTAAAATCACTGGGAGTCTGAACAAAGAAATAACTGGGGCTACGACAATGCATTTCAAAGAGACACAAATAAAGGGGAATTATTCTATATCCAGGATAGACTGATTCCTTCCCATTATCCCTGCTTAACAAGGCTGCGGTTCTACTCCCATCTGCTATTAATAAATCCACACACCCCATACTGCAAAGCTACAGTAATCAAGACCATACTGCATAAGGGCAGACCCAGAGTGTTACGTGTACGGTCAACTAATTTTCAACAAGGGTGCCAAGAATATGAGGATGCCTAACTCATACAATCTACAAAAATTAACTCAAAAAGGATCAAAGACCAAAATGTAAGAGCTAAAACTACAACACCGTCAGAAGAACATACAGGTGTAAATCTTTGTGATTTTAGGTCAGGGAATGGATAAGACATCAAAAACAAGCAATAAAAGAAAAAAACACGTTAGACTTCAAAATTAAAAATGTTCGTTCTTCAAAGGAAATCATCATGAAAGTGAAGAGACAATCCAGAGAAGAAAATACTTGCAAATCATTTATCTGACAATGTTTCAGCTTCCTCAGAGAATATAAATTTCATAATTCATTGCATTGCAGGGACTTAATAATAAAAGACAATCCAATAAAAAAATAGGCAATGGACTTGAATAGACATTTCTCAACAGAAGTCATGAAGCACATGAAAAGATGGTCAACATTATTAGTCACCAGGGAAATTAAAACCACAATGAGATACCAATTCCCACCCACTAGAATGGCTGTAATGAAAAAGACAACACTAAGTAAGTGCTGACAACGATGTGGAGTCACTGAAACCTTCACAAATTGTTGGTGGGATTGTAAAAGGTTGCAGACACTTTGACGTGGAGTACTGTATGACCTAACACTTCCATGTCTAGGTATATGCCCAAGAAAAACAAAAAACCTATGTCCAAATAACAGCTTGTATACAAATGTTTGCAGTAACATTATTCACAATAGCTAAAAGGTGGAAACAATGCAAATTCCCAATGCAAATGCACCACTGCACTCCAGCCTGGGATGAGTAAGTAAACAAAATGCGGTGACTGGGTGTGGTGGCTCACACCTGTAATTCTAGCCTTTTGAGAGGTTGAGGCAGGAGGATTGCTTGACGCCAGGAGTTCAAGACCAGCCTGGGCAACATGGCAAGACCCTGCCTCTACGATAAAATGAAATAATTAGCCAGGTGTGGTAGCAAGCAACGGTGGTCCCAGCTACTCGGGAGGCTGAAAGCAGGAGGCCTCCTTAAGCGCAGGACTGAGCCGTGTTTGTAGCAGTGCACTCCAGCCTAGGTGGCAGAGAAAGACCTGTTTCAAAATGAAAAAAACAAACCCCAAAGTGTGGTATATCCATACAATGAAATAAGATTTGGCCCTTCAAATGAGTGAAGCTCTGACATACTACGACATGAATGAAACCTGAAAACATGCTAAATCAAAGAAGCCAATCACAAAAGGTCACAAATTTATAGTTGATATAACAAATGATTCCACTTATATGAAATGTCTAGAAAAAAAAAAATCCATACAGACTGAAAGTAGACTAGTGGTTGGCCAGGGCTGGGGGAGGAAGGGCAGGATAGGGAGTGACTACCTAGCGTTTCCTTTTTGGGATGATGACATTGCTTCCAAGTTTGATATTGGTGATGGTCACATAACACAGTGAATATATTAAAAACCACTGAACTGTACACTTTAAAAGGTTCAATTTTCCATAATGTGAGTTATATTTTAATAAAACTGTTATGTAAAAGAAGTCCTAAAAGCACCACCTGTTTTGCAGGCACTGATTTTTCAATTAAGCTGCTTCTCAAAACAGGCGACTCCATGCACTATGCTTCTCGGAAAACAGAACCACCAATGAGACAAAGAAATTTTATTACAAAGTTGAAAATGATTATAGCTCTGATTCTTACAGAAATTAATCACAATAGCAACATTAATTTCTAATTTATTTAAGAATGCGAATAACAGGCCAGGTGCAGTGGCTCACGCTTGTAATCCCAGCACTTTGGTAGGACAAGGCAGGTGGACCACTTGAGGTCAGGAGTTAAAGACCATTCTGGACAACATGGTGGAAACCCCCATCTCTTCTAAAAATAGAAAAATTAGCTGGGCGTGGTGGTGCACACCTGTTGTTCAGGAGGCTGATGCAGGACAATCCCTTGAACCTGAGAGGTGGAGTTTGCAGTGAGCAGAGATGGCGCCACAGCACTCCAGCCTGGGCAACAGAGCAAGGAGAGACTCCGTCTCAAACAAACAAACAAACAAACTAATAACAATTCCTGAATACTCAACTTTATAAATGTCACCCTAACAGGTAGAGCTGTGTCCCCCCAAAAGACAAATTCAAATCCTAATCTGTGAATATAACCTTCTTTGGAAATGAGGTATTTGCAGATAACCAAATTAAGATGAAGTTACACTGGATCAGGGAAGACCCCAATACAATGACAGGTGTCCTTATTAAAAAAAATAAGGCAATGTTGGACAGAGACACTCAGGGAGAAGTCCACAGAGGCAGAGATCAAAATGATGAATCTACAAGCCAAAAAAGGTCAAGGGCTACTGGCAAAACCAGAAGAATGGATTCTTCTAGAGCCTCTAAAAAGGAATCTATGCTGCTGCTGACACCCTGAGTTTGGACTTCCAGCCTCCAGAACTGTCAAATAATAAATTTCAGTTTTTCTAAGCCTCCCTCCCCCCCCAAAGAGTGTGGTAATTTGTTGCGGCAGTCCTATTAAACTAATAGTCACTAGGCAGTAACTTACTGTCTTAGTCCGTTTTGACTGCTTATAACAGAAGACCTGAAACTGAGTAATTAATAAAAACTGAAATCCATTTCTTATAGCTGGAAGGCCAGGAGCCCATGGTCCAGAGGCAGCCCCTGGTGAGGTCTTCTCATTGGTGGGGACTCTGCAGAGTCCGGAGGCGGCACAGGGCATCACAAAGCTAGGGGCTCCCTCCTGTAAAAAGTCACCAGGGCCCTTCCCACAATAAACCACTCATCCATTCATGACGGCCGAGCTCACATGATCTAATCACCTCTTAAAGATTCCACCTCTGAATACTGGCACACTGGGGATCAAGTTTCAACATGAGTTTGGAGGGGACATTCAAACCATAGCACCTACTTACAACCATACAAATTTGTTTCGTGCAGTGCTTTTGCAACATTTAGCATCCAAATTTAAAACAAACAGTATTTTATGGTAAACCTGGATAACAACCACACATAAACATAAAATGTCAACATCTTTTGGTCCGAGGTCTATTTTTATATGAAGGTTACTTTACCTTTCCAAGCATTCTGCCTAGGAAGTAGTAATGTCTGGCAAAAGAATCTCCCACAAGCATCTGAGCAGCCGGGTTGGGGTACAGAAGCCCTTCATTAGTAGTCTTAAAGAACCCCTGGTTGGGGTTAAATCCTGACTTCAGTAGTTCATTTAAAAACTCTCTGAAAATACCACCACCATCAATGCCAGCTTCATCCAGGCCATGGGCATTGAGCAAGTGCACACGGATCCGCTTTTTCAAATCAGGCTCTGTTAAAAAAAAATGGGAGGGTGAGGAGGAAAGATGTTACAAGCAAGCAATAACATCAACTAGCCTTACAGGAAGGCTTAAGGAAGGGGTGTGAGGATCTTAGGGACATTTTAACATAGGACTCAAAACAGCAATGATATTATCATTATTTTTTGAGACAGAGTCTTGCTCCGTCACCCAGGCTGGAGTGCAGTGGCACGATCTCGGCTCACTGCAACCTCCGCCCCCACAAACTCTCAGGGAATTGGTCCTCCAGAATCTACAGCAAGCTTGTCCTCAACCTGCAGCCCACAGGCCGATGTGGCTCGGGATGGCTTTGAATGCGGCCCAATACAGATACCTAAATTCTTAAAACATTAGGAGGTTTTTTTTTTTTTTTTTTTTGAGACGGGGTCTGCCTCTGTCATCCAGGCTGGAGTGCAGTGGTGCCATCTCAGCTCACTGCAACCTCCGCCTCCCGGGTTCAAGTGATTCTTCTGCCTCAGCCTCCCAAGTAGCTAAGACTACAGGCGTGTGCCACCACACCTGGCTAATTTTTCTATTTTTAGTAGAGATGGGGTTTCACCATATTGGCCAGGCTGGTCTCGAACTCCTGACCTTGTGATCTGCCCGCCTTGGCTTCCCAAAGTGCTGGGATTACAGGCGTGAGCCACCGTGCCCGGCCTGTAATTTTTTTTTTTTTTCAAAAGCTTATCAGCTACTGTTAGTGTATTTTGTCTGTGGCCCAAGACAATTATTCCTCTTCCAATGTGGTTCAGGGAAGCCAAAGGATTGGACAACCCTGATCTACGTGATCTTTTAAAAGCTGTATTTGGCTGAAAAGGGGGGAAAATTACTGGTTATATAATTTGCTACGAAGAGTAAATTAAGGCCAGGTGCAGTGGCTCATGTCTGTAATCCCAGCACTTTGGGACGCTGAGGTGGGCGGATCGCCTTGAGGTCAGGAGTTCGAGACCAGCCTGGCCAACATGGTGAAACCCCATCCCTACTAAAAATATAAAAACTAGCCAGGCAAGGTGGCACATGTCTGTAATCCCAGCTACTTGGGTGGCTGAGGCCGGAGAATCACTTGAATCTGGGAGACAGAGGTTGCAGTAAGCCAAGATCGTGCCACTGCATCCCAACCTGCGTGACAGTCTCAAAAAAAAAAAAAATAAATAAATTAAAACATTGCACAGAGGCTCACTTCTGTAATCCCAGCACTTTGGGAAGCCAAGGCAGAAGGACTGCCTGAGGCCAGGAGTCCAAGACCAGCCTGGGCAACACTAGCAAGACCCTGTCTCTACAAAATATAAGAAAAGCTGGGCATGGTGGTATGTGCCTGTAATTCCAGCTACTCAAGAGGATCACTTGAGCCCAGGAGTTTGAGGCTGCAGTGAGCTATGATTGCACCACTGCACTCCAGCCTGGCTGAAAGTGAGACCCCCATCTCTAAAATAAAAATTTAAAAACCCCAAAAACAGGCCGGGTGCAGTGGCACATGCCTGTAATCCCAGCACTTTGGGAGGCCAAGGCAGGTGGGTCACCTGAGGGCAGGAGTTTGAGACCAGCCTGACTAACATGGTGAAACCCCGTCTCTACTAAATACAAAAAAAAATTAGCCGGGCGTGGTGGTGCATGCCTGTAATCCCAGCTACTCAGGAGGCTGAGGCAGGAGAATCGCTTGAACCCAGGAGGTGGAGGTTGCAGTGAGTCAAGATTGTGCCATTGCACTCCAGCCTGGGCAACAAGAGAGAAGTTCCATTTCAAAAAACAAACAAACAAAAATCCAAAACCAAAAAAAACACAAGGTGGACCAAGTTAAGATGTGCTCTGATAAACAGGCTGAATCAGAGAACAGCTTTGGGGAAGTAAGTGAAATGTCCTTTATCTTTCCCTAAGAATGTTCTACAGGTGCTTTGCAGAAAAGATAGGGGGAAGGAGAGGGGACGAGAGTTGGGGACAGGCTGCTGCATGAAGTCAGGGGAAAGCAACCGCACGTAGTGTACATTCGACACTTTCACAGGCCCCATGCGCTGCTGCCCTCTGTTGGCTTTGGTGCATAGTCACCCAAACATATCTGCCCTGGAGCATCTCAAGGGACATGTAACCTCTAGAAGCATTCTGGAAAAGGGGTTTAGCAGAATGTTTGATAGAGCCTCCATGCAATCTCCTCAAAACCCTGTCTATCCCTAGATTGCTATGTACACGTGTCAGTAATTTTGAAGTTACCGTACCTGGAGTGTAAATAGTCTATGATATGTGTCAAATAGGGCAAATACAATTTACTGGACTGACTGAGGCTTACAGCCACCACACAGAAATACCAAGTTCCCATTCACTGAGCAGTGGTCGCTGACTGAATGGACAAGATGGGGCCACTCTGCACAGCAGCAGGGATGCAGTGCTGCCCTGCCGTGCCCGCCACCTCTGGGTCAGTGTCCGTGTCACCCTTGGGAATCAGGTAAACACATCTAAGCCATTTGGCTCCAGCTTGCTTTCCTGCTTCTGGAATAAATTTCCTCTGCTTCAGGAAGAAATGGTAATTCTGCCCATTAAATGAAATAAAATAAAAGTAACCAACCAACAAAAGCAGACAAGTGAGGCTCTCCAGAACTGATGACAGCAGAGTGCAGAGCCAGCTGTGCCTCACTCTCACCCAAGAGTCAATGACAGAGTGAGCTCCAGGCCCCGAGGGAACTTTGTTACCCACTTTACAATTCTTACAGCAATCCCATGAGGGAATGTGACGGTTTCTCCCAATATTCCACACTGCAACAAGGTAGTGCAGTGCAGGCTGGGAGTGCGTGGGCATCCCTGTGGAACCCCAGCCCATCTTTGCTCTCTGAGCACCAACTGCAGGAACAGCCATCAATCTCTGCATTCCACTCAGTCAACTTATGGGTAACAGGGGCTAACATGCACACTGCAGAGAATCGTTCGGAGATAAGACAACGAGCATCGTAAAGCATGGATTCACTTCAATGACTAGATGACACGTGGAATAATCACATTAGTTGATTATATGTAAATTTTTAGTCAAAAATGCACCTCAAACCATTCTCTCACAAGTAAATTAATTATTCTGAGATGATATCTGACTTTACTAATTTGCGTAGCAAAACACCACATTTTAACACATGGCTTAATCATGCTTACAGTATTTGAGTTGAGAACATTTATAAAGATTTCAAGCATTACAGTATAAACAATATGAGAAGATTCTTCCAAATCTTTTAACTTCAATGCAATTATTAGCATGCCCCTAGGGAGGTGGGTGTGATCAGTTTTTTAACAATTTTTAAAGCTTAAGGATTCATTAGGAAATTTGAGGCTTGTTATAATTGGACAGTAACATCAAAAAATCATCTACAGGGAGTAGTTTTTTCTTTTTTTTTTCTGAGATGAAGTCTCACTCTGTTGCCAGGCTGGAGTGCAGTGGTGCGATCTCGGCTCACTGCAACCTCCGCCTCCCGGGTTCATGCCATTCTCCTGCCTCAGCCTCCTGAGTAGGTGGGACTACAGGTGCCTACCACCACGCCCAGCTATTTTTTTTTGTATTTTTAGTAGAGACAGGGTTGCACCATGCTGGCCAGGCTGGTCTCGATCTCCTGACCTTGTGATCTGCCTGCCTCAGCCTCCCAAAGTGCTGGGATTACAGGCGTGAGCCACTGCGCCACGCCCAGGGAGTAGTTTTAAAGTTAATTTTAAATTGCTGGTAAGTAAGAAACGCATTCTACTCTGGCTGAAGAGCTTACAGCCCCCCCACTTGCAAGTACCCCTGACCACAGCACCCGTGCCCTCGGAGCTCCCCTCACCCACAAACTCAGCTCCTCCCCTACAGGTGCTGCTCCAGAACTGCCTCTTGGAAGGCCCTTCAAGGTTAAACATCTCACTCTTCTCTAAACACTACACGATCATTGGCAAACTCATTGTTTTGTCACATCTATTTTTTTCCCCTGGGATTCAATCACAAATTGAATAAGCATCTACTGAGCATCAGCTGTGTACACCAAATAAACAATTCCATCCCAAGCTGTAAAGACCTCCAGGGTCAAGTGGGAGAGATGAACGTGAAATCTGCTAATAAAAATACAATGTAAGAACTATTAGAATTGATTTATAAGGTACTGTGGGACCCCAAAACATCTCTCAATTAGACGATTAGTTAGATTAGGAGTCAAAGTACCTAGTCTCATCTCATTCACACCAAATACTCTGAAAACACAATCTGCTAGGCAAGACAAACCTGGCCCTGTGGAGAGGCCACAGCCTGCATGCAGACCTAAGTTTACTCGGTCTCAGCTGATGACACTCGGCATCAGAGGGCCATGGCAAGGATTCAATGGCAACGGTAAATTGTGTAAAAAAAAAAAAAAAGCTTGAAATAGAGTAAGGAAACAACTGATGTCAGCTTTCCTCCACTGTTCCAACATTATGATAAAATTAGTTCTTTATGTAAGCAATAAAAATTATTAGAAATCAGGTTTCATTTCCTTAGAAGAAAATTAAGTTGCTCCCCTAGAGGAAAAGGCAATTGTCATTTCACATTGGACAACTCATCACCTTCCAAAAGCTGGGTAAGATGATTTCATTTTTAATTTTAGATCCAGCCTAAACTTTCATTTTAATCCCCTCGGCATTGACCAACATGGAATTAATGTATTACCATAAGCACAATATTTGGAAGTTAAAACTGCTAATATATTAGAGGTTAATAGCACACGAACTTTCAAGACTGAGTATCAAATATGAACATACGACGAAACGTGCCAGTGAGCTCCAAATGCTATCACAGTATAATTCTCCTTTACTAACGGCAGTGTCATTGGAGCACACTTATCTTTTCATAAGAAACTTGGATTGCAATGGCACTTATTTTAATATGTTTAATTTGGCTTACAATTTGTGATTTCATATAAATATTTATACAAAAACGCAGAATATAAATGGCTACCATCGAGATTTTTAGAACAACAGCTTGCAAACTAAATTTTAGGGGCAGACAACAGGAGGTGGGGAACTGGTTACTTTCTTGCCCTTTAAAAATAATTAATATTTTTTAAAGGCTTCTGTTGTAGTAACTGTCAATTTTAGAAATATTACTTGATAACATGTCTCCCAAATCTGACTTGCTACACTTTTTTTTGGAGACTGGGTCTGGCTCTACTGCCAAGGCCTGAGCAGTAGCACAATCAGAGTTCGACTGCAGCCTTCACTTCCCAGGCTCAAGCCATCCTCCCGCCTCAGCCTTTTGCAGAGCAGGGACAACAGGGGCACGCTAACACATCCAGATAAGCTCACTTTTTTTGTTGTTGAGGCAGGGTCTCAGTATGTTGCCCAGGCTGGCCTCTAACTCCTGAGCACAAGCAATCCTCTCACCTCAGCCTCCCAAAGTGCTGGGATTATAGGTGTGAGCTGCCATGCCCAGCCTCACATTTCAGTTTTTAAGTCATTATGGAACAAGATGATGGACACTAATTTTTAAAGAACCACCATTTTCTAAAACAATTCCCTAGCCTCCACCTGCCAAATAATACACAGAAAGAATTATATATACCATTTTCTGGAGAAAGTTTGTCATAAGCATCTTCATAAATGTAATTTCTTCTTATTGTGACATTAATTCCATCCAGAAATGGACCATCTCCTTGAACTTCTTGCTTATCTGCATAAATCAACCTCTGAAAGATCTAACAAACAAGGAAAGCTGTAAGGTTATTAGAAACAAAAGACCTCTTACAACCTACCAAAGAATAAACTGCTAAATCTTATCTTTTGTATCTTCATAAATTCTGAAATAAATGCTAATAGTCAAGGTATCAAATCTTGATTTTTATCAATAAATGTATAGATAATATATAATGTATATCATATTTAAATATTTCTAAAGCTGCTCCTTTGCCCAGTTTAAAATAAATTTTAAAAATCCGGCCAGGCACATTGGCTCATGCCTGTAATCCCAGCTACTTGGGAGGCTGAGGCACGAGAATCTTGTGAACCCGGGAGGCAGAGGTTGCAGGCGCCACTGCACTCAGGCCTGGGTGACAGAGTGAATCTCTGTCTCAAAAATAAAATAAAATTAAAATTTAAACCCCTTGCGATAGAATATTTTCATTTATAAATCCTTTATAAAAACTTAGGTAGTGAGGAAAGAACAGCTTTGTAAAAAGCTGTATACTAACACTAGTAGAAATATCTCTGACAAAATTCAAATAATTTTTTGATGTTAAAAATCCAGTAGAGGGAGCTCAGGAATTATGTGAGTGAGTGAGTGAGTGAGTGGGAGAGAGAGAGAGAGAGAGAGTGTGTGTGTGTGTGTGTACGCACGTGCAGGGAGGGTTTAGTAAAGGGACATGAACAGCTTCAAAAGAAACTCTTTTGTTCACCATGCAAATAGAGTGTATAGGCCTAAAAAATACACTCTTGAAGCCATTACTGAAGAACGGAACCAAGTAATCTTTAGAAATTTGGTAAAAATAGTTGACAAATAAAAACAAAACATTTTAAAATTTGGAAACATATATAAACAAAGTTTTGTACATCAAAGACACCAGACAAGGAATTAAGATATTTGTCCATTTCTTTTTTTATAAAAAGTAAAGTGGCTGGGCGCGGTGGCTCATGCCTGTAATTTCAGCACTTTGGGAGGCTGGGGCAGGCAGATCACGAGGTCAGGAGATCGAGACCATCCTGGCTAACACGGCGAAACCCCGTCTCTACTGAAAATACAAAAAATTAGCCAGGCATGGTGGCACGTGCCTGTAGTCCTAGCTACTTGGGAGGCTGAAGCAGGAGAATCGCTTGAATCCGGGAGGCGGAGGTTGCAGTGAGCCAAGATCGCGCCTCTGCACTCCAGCCTGGGCGACAGAGGACACTCCATCTCAAAAAAAATAAAAAACAAAAAAAATAAAGTAGTGTTTCCAGGCCAGGTGTAGTGGCTGATGCCTGTAATCCCAGCACTTTAGCAGGTCAAGGTGAGATGGTGGCTTGCGCCCAGGAGTTTGAGGCTGCTGTGAGCTATGATCACAGCACTGCTTTCTAGCCCAGGTGACAGAGTGAGATCCTGTCTCAGAAAAAAAAAAACATCGTTTCTGATAAATAAACGTGAATGTACAGAAGCATATCTTCACAAAAAATTTGCTTTTTCAAAAACAATGCAAAGTTTCTTCCCCCCTTTGAGATAGGTTCTGGCTTTGTTGCCCAGGCTGGAGTGTACTGGCACGATCTTGGCTCACTGCAACCTCTGCCTCCTAGGCTCAAATGATCCTCCTACCTCAGCATCCCAAGTAGCTGGGACTACAGGTACATGCCACCACGCCCAACTAACTTTTGTATTCTTTGTAGAGACAGGGTTTCACTATGTTTCCCAGGCTGGTCTTAAACTCATGGGCTCGATCCACCTGCCTCGGCCTCCCAAAGTGCTGGGATTACAGGCATGAGCCACTGTACCTGGCCAAATAATGCAAAATTTAATAGAGAAAAATGACGTTAGACCCTCATTATAAGAAATCTATAGTGTTTACTGGCTTTCAATCAGTTGTAACTAAGAAAATACTTTCAGTTTGTAAAAAGAGGTATCTGGTTGGGTTTTATAAATCATTCTTAGCTATTTCAGCCTAATGAGAAAAGTATGTTATGTAATCAGCCAGGCACTAGGCACCTTTAGAGATTTCTCTGGTGGGTGTGTGTTAATTTCTTAACACTAATATGATACGTAGTGACAATAAAGAAGCCAAATTGCATACCTTTACTCGTTCCTCAAATGGAACCACAAAAGGCAACTCTGTCAGGACAGCAAGCTGTCTTTCCTCAGACACAGACAGCGGCGGGGACTCCAAACCCACTAAAACACATTTTAAAACCTTAATTAGTTCACTTGTACTTTCCCCTGCATTCCCACTGACAATTCTTAAGGTGAAGATTCTTGAAATCATCCTGATTAACTCATTTATCTAAATCCAGTTCCATGAACACATCCCCGCCTCAGGCAGACCCATGAGCCATGCACAGTGCAGGATCAGCACAGTAGCTCCCCGAACACATAACTTGATCGAATATTAAAGATGTCCTAATCAAGGACTACACTTCCACTCCAGCTGTCTAGCACGTCTCAAGTGCACAGCTAGCCCTAGCACTGGCGGTGAGGCCCGAATGCAGCCAGATCCAGCAGTGGGCGGTGCCCTGGCCACCCCCGACCACCTTCGTGCCCTTTCCCTCCTACTATGGCAACAAAGTTCCTCCCAGACCAGGCGTGTGTGCATGAGATGGTGCCTGGGAGAAGGCTGTATACACAGTAGGCCCCAGGCAGTATTTCATGAATAAACACATATCCCATTCCTTTCCAACAATAAATCGTAACTTGGCCTCTTAAAACTCATTTCAAGGAGCTGGGGATGGCAGCTTATGCCTGTAATCCCAGGCTGAGGCGAGAGCATCCCTTGAGCTCAGGAGTTTGAGAAACTGAGCATCACAGAGAGACCTTGCCTCTACGAAGAAAATTTTTTTAAAAATTAGCTGGGCATGGTGGCACGCGCCTATAGTCCCAGCTACTCAGGAGGCTGAGGTGGGAGAACTGCCTGAGACTGCAGAGTTCAAGGCTGCAGTGAGCTGTGATTGCACCATTGCACTCCAGCCTGGTGACACACTGAGACCCTGCCTCAAAAAAGAAAGAAAGAAAAAAAAAAAGTAAAGTGTTAGGTGAAGGTATCTTAGACATCATATCAAAAGCACAATTTCATTAAAGAAAAAAATGGTAAATGGGATTCTATCAAAATTTAAAACTTCTCCTCCTTGAAAGACACTGCTAAGAAAAGAAAAAGACAAGCCACAGATTGGGACAAAATATTTGCAAATCACATATCTGATAAACTATATCCAGAATAGCTTTATAACTCTCAAAATTCAATAACTAAAAAACATGTTCACAGGCAGTGTGCAGTGGCTCACACCTGTAATCGTAGTACTTTGGGAGGCCAAGGTGGGAAGATCCCTTGAGCCCAGGAGTTAAAGGCCAGCCTGGGCAACACATGGAGATTCCATCTCTACAAAAAAATTAAAAAATTGGCCAGGTGTGGTGGCACACGCCTGTGGTCACAACTACTTTGGAAGCTACGGCAGGAAGATCGCTGAAGCCCAGGAAGTCAAGGCTGCAGTGAGCCGTGATTGCGCCTCTGCACTCCAGCCTGAGCACACAGTGAGACCCTGTCTCCAAAAAAACAAAAAACAACCAAGAAAACACAACAAAAAAACAAATTCATGAAAAAGATGCTGAATATCATTAGTCGGCTGGTAGACACAAATTAAAACCACAAGAAGATACCATTTCCCACCTTTTACAATGGCCAAATTTTTTTTTTTTAGACAGTCTTATACTGTCACCCAGGCTGGAGTGCAGTGGTGTGATCTTGGTTCACTGCAACCTCCACCTCCTGGGTTCAAGCGATTCTCCTGCCTCAGCCTCCCAAGTAGCTGAGATTACAGGTGCCCGCCACTACGCTCAGCTAGTTTTTTGTATTTTTAGTAGAGACGGGGTTTCACTATGTTGGTCAGGCTGGTCTTGAACTCCTGACCTGATGATCCGCCCACCTCGGCCTCCTAAAGTGCTGGGGATTACAGGCGAGAGCCACCACGCCTGGCCCATAGAATTTTTTTTTTTTAAATGACAACTGTAAGTGCTGATGAGGACTGGGAACAACAGAGGCTCTCATTCATTGCTGGTCTGAATGCAAAGCCGTGCAGCCACCCTGGAACACAGTTCTGCAGCTTCTCATCAAGTTAAACATAAACTTGCCAAATGTCTCAGGATTCTTACTCCCAGTGAAACTTACTCCATGTCAAACAAAATGTATGTTCACAGAAAAACCTGTACATAGATGTTTATAGCAGCTGTACTCGTATTCCCAGAGACAGAAAAAATAACCAAATGTCTTTCAACCAATGAATGGATTCACAAACTGTGGTGCATCCCCACACTGGAATACTGCTGAGCAACAGAGGGAACAATCAACCCACACAGCACCCTCAAATGCAGCGTGCTGACCAAAAGGAGCCAGGAGCAGACTACACAGCATGGTTCCCTTTGGAGGCCTTTTGCAAAAGGCAAAGTGACAGGACAAAACAGAAATGGGTGGCTGCTGAAGAGGTGGCCGCAATGGAGCTAGAGGCAATTTTGTGGGTGATGAAACTTTTCTACATGGTAGCTCCTGCTGGGAGTGACATGGCTGTATAAGTTTATGAAAAATAACAGATCTGTAGATTAAAGGAGTGAATTTGACAGCATGTAATTCATACCTCAGTAACCCTGTGTCCTAGAGAACTCACCGTCCAGGGTGGACTGCAGCGGGCCTATCCTCCCCATCCGCCGGAACCTCCACACATGTCTGGATGCTGGCACATAGAGCTGAGTGACCTGTCGGGGGCAATCCTGGTTCAGAACTCCCCTGTGCTCTAGCACACACTTTGACCTGATCACACTTGAACAGAATTGGTGCTGGACATTTCTCTACCGTGGGCTGGGCCCTCTCTCTGACCTCATACCTTCATGTCCCCTTTTGCTTTACCTTTTCAGGTCCTCTCTCATGCTAGCTGTCCTTTCATACTTTTACAGTTAACTATGTTTTCTAATATGCCCCAAAGAAATCTCTAATTGTTTTATTTGATGGTGCATAATATCTAAACATAGTAAAATAATATAATTGCTTTATGAAGCAAAATAGATCACTTTAAAAATTAAGTTATTATTATCAAAAATTCACTTTCTAGTTTTTTTTTCAATTTGGTTGAGGCAGTATTCAAATAAAACAGACACAGTATATTTTCTCAAGTTATTTTTCATCTGTCAGTTCCTCTCATCCCTTATTTTTGGTCCTTACAATTTTTTATTTTTTGATACACGGTCTCACTCTGTCACCCAGGCTGGAATGCAGTGGTGCGACCTCAGCCCACTGCGACCTCCACCTTCTGGTTTCAAGCGATCCTCCCACCTCAGCCTCCTGAGTAGCTGGGACTACAGGTGTATACCATCACGCCTGGTTAATTTTTGTACTTTTTGTAGAGATGGGGTTTTGCTATCTTGCCCAGACTGGTCTTGAACTCCTGAGCTTAAGCAAGCCACCTGCCTCAGCATCCCAAAGTGCCCGGGTCACAGGCGTGAGCCACCACACCCGGCTGGCCCTTGCAATTTTTTTTTTTTTTTTAGATGGAGTCTCATTCACTCTGTTACCCAGGATAAAGTGCAGTGGCCTGATCTTGGCTCACTGCAACCTCTGCCTCCCAGGTTCAAGGGATTCTCCTGCCTCAGGCTCCCAAGTAGCTGGGATTACAGGCACATGCCACTATGCCTGGCTAACTTTTGTATTTTTAGCAGAGATGGGGTTTCACCATGTTGGCCAGGGTGGTCTCGAACTGACCTCAGGTGATCCACATACTTCGGTCTCCCAAAGTGCTGGGATTACAGATGTGAGCCTCCGTGCCCAGCCACCCTTGCAATTTTTAATGAAGAAACTTTCATCCTGTAAAATTTCCCATAATCTAGATTTTGCTAATTGCACCCTCATGGTGTTGTTAAAGATGTACTTCTAACCCCTATGTTTCCTGTAATTTTGTAGTTAGATGTAGAGGTTCCACCACATTTAGATTTAACTTTCTGGCGAGAACGTTTCCTAGGTGGTGTGGGATGCTCGATCACTGAGAGGCCCCATCTCTGCTTTTCACTGCAGAAGTGAAACCTACTTCAAGTGTGGGTGTGTGCACCGTACTACCAGCTGGTGATGAGATAAGGGACTTGTGCCAAAATATAAATCAATTAAATCACTAAGCACACTGCTGGGTTCAGCTGACATTTTCCCATCGCACAACTTTCTGGAGTAAGGAAGAGGTGCAGCTATTTGCATTCTGGGACCAGACCCTCCTCTCCTGGGAGGCCAACACACCATCTCAGACCAGCAGACCCTAGACATGCGCTGCACCTGGAGTGGCACCGCCCTGGTCATCTCCTTCACCAGAGCCTGCAACAGGCTGATTCTAGTTTGCAAAAATCCTTTTCATGTAGTATTGGCTGGAATACTTCTATGCAAAAGATCACACACTATCTGTTTTGCCTGAGGTACAGTTTATAAATGAAAGGTGGGTTAAATGCTTGAGTACTTCTTTTTTTCAAAACAGCATTCAAAATAATGAGATGGTTCCTTTGCATCCTACAAATATGATGACGAAGGGTTTTGTTAGCACCCTTGCGAACTCAGAGTTAGCTGTTTTCATGAATGCTTCAAGTTTCTGCCCATGACCAGCTAGAGACAGGCTCCTAACCCTGTCTCCCAGCCCCAGCCACCCTGCAATAGCTTCCTCGCTCTCCAGCATGACAGAGCACTCCACACCCATCTTGCAGGGTCTTCCCCAGACCTGGAGCCAAGCACCCTGCCAGGACTGCTTCTTTTGCTGTGAAGCAACCCCAGCCTGGGCCCCAGAACTGTTCACTGCTGGGGGATCTGCCACCATTGCTCTACCTTGTCAGTGGGCAGAGTTAGATGCAACAGGCTTAACTCACAAATATCTTATGAGGACATAGTCATGCTTATAAAATTGTTCTGAAACACTCCTGTTTTCTCTCCTCGAATATTTCTGTGACATGGTTTTTTTTTTTTATTTTTTGAGACGGAATCTTGCTCTGTCGCCCAGGCTGGAGTGCAGTGGCGTGATCTCAGCTTACTGCAACCTCCGCATCCCAGGTTCAAGCGATTCTCCTGCCTCAGCCTCAGTCCCAAGTAGCTGGGACTATAGGCGCACACCACCGTGCCTGGCTAATTTTTTTATTTTAGTAGAGACTGGGTTTGACCATGTTGCCCAGGCTGGTCGCAAACTCCTAAGCTCAGGCAATCCACTTGCCTTGGCCTCCCAAAGTGCTGGGATTACAGGCATGAGCCACCGCGCCCAGCCGACATGGTTTCTTTTATACCCTCCACCACTCCATCTCCTACTCCCAAGATTCTGAAATGAATCCAGTTACGACTTTTTCTCAAGAACTGAAAATACCTTATGTCCCTCTGTTAACATCACTTATATTTTTTGTTTTTTCTGGAGACAGAATCTCGCTCTGTCACCCAGGCTGCAGTGCAGTGGCACGATCTTGGCTCACTGCAACCTCCGCCTCCAGGGCACAAGGGATTCTCATACCTTAGCCTCCTGAGTAGCTGGGACTACAGGGGGACACTTACCATGCCCGGCTAATATTTGTATTTTCTTTCATTTTTCTTTCTTTTTTTGAGACGGAATTTCGCTCTTATCACCCAGGCTGGAGTGCAATGGCACAGTCTCAGCTCACTGCAACCTCTGTCTCCCAGGTTCAAGTGATTCTCCTGCCTTAGCCTCCCGAGTAGCTGGGATTACAGGCGTCTGCCACCACGCCCGGCTGATTTTTGTATTTTCAATAGAGATACAGGGTTTCGCCATGTTGGCCAGGCTGGTCTCAAACTCCTGGCTTTAAGTGATCTGCCCGTCGGCTTCCCCAAGTGCTGGGATTACAGGCGTGAGCCACCGCGCCTGGCCACTTAAATTTTTTACTAACGTATCATACTACTGAATCTGCTTTAGATGTAGGTATTAGTAATATTCAAATTTGTCTCTGTTCTTTTAGAAAATCAAGGATAAAGGACTGGTGTGGTGGCTTACGTCTGTAATCCCAGCACTTTGGGAGGCCAAGGTAGGAAGATCACTTCAGGCTGGGAGTTTGAGACCACCACGGGCAAACATAGCAAGATTCCGTCTCAAAAAAAAAAAATCACAAAAATTAGGTATAAGATCTATCTCTTTTAAATACTAGACATATATTAATACTAATAAAAGCAAAATATTTTTCAACCTCACAAAGAATCATTAAGGCTTTAATATAATCTCAGGTTAAAAAGGAAAATTGAGGATTAATAACTCAGAATATCATTTTAAGTCAATGATACTGCTATATGTTCCATTAAGAAGTTGGCGTAAGAGTTAGTAATAAGGTTTATCATTACTATTTAGTCATATGAGTCATAAAATAAATAATTTTAAAGTGCTTAATTCTTCTCTCCAGAAAGACACAAGCTGAATGTATTTTTTAATGATAAATATTAAAAAGATCTTTCAATAACACCTTATCTGCTTTAATATCTTCTTGTTCTGACAGCCAGTGGTTTGGAGGACAAAAATTTCTCCTCGTGTCTCTGGACTTCAACATTTTCACTAGATTGGTGATAACCTGAAAAGAAAGAACATATCCGCGTCACACACGTGAGCTCGGCAGCACAATGCACAGTGAGCCATACATTCACTCGAGGAGGAGCACACAGCGGTGGTGCAGGAACCCAGGTCGAGCCGGACACCAAACCCGCTCACAGAAAAGGGCTTCTTTTTGCCATCACAATAATGTATACAAAGCAGTTATCTGCCAACAAATATGTGCAGAACAACACAAACACATGTACATGATAATTTTTAAGTTACAACGGAGGTGGCGATTAAGCTTTGAAACACAAATTTGGCGGGAGCTACATGATAAGAACCCATGAACACAAAGAAGGAAAGAACAGACACTGGGATCTACTTGAAGGGGGAGGGTGGGAGGAGGGAGAGGGCAGAGAAGATGACTACTGGGGACCGAGCTTAATACCTGAGTGATCTAAGGATGCGTACAACAAACTCCGATGACATGTTTATCTATGTAACAAAACTTCACATGTACCCCCAAACCTAAAATATTAAAAAAAAAAAAACCCACGAATCTGGAAATGTCTTAGCTCATCTGAGTTCTAATGAAAGATACCTCTAAGTGGTGCAATTTTGTACAACTTTTTCCTGAAAGAGTATTTCTGAGTTTTCTGAGAAATAATGTACTAACGGCACTAGGGGAAAAAAGCAGCACCCCAGATATCACTGTCACATCTCCCAAAGAGAAAACAATTGCAGCACTTGCCTCACGTAAGCAAATGGAGTCAGATCTGTGATCTTAACTCCAGAAAAATCGAGTCTGATCTCCTTGATAACCTTTCCAAACAGGCTGGCCTGGACACACTTCACTATGTCATCACAGCTTAGTATTTTATTATGGTTTTAAAAAATTACAATATTCTTTCAGAACAGTTCCTCTCTGGTTGTTGTGCAGTGAGTTCCTCACAAATAGAATCCAACTAGCCACCTTGGAACCTAGCAGGTACTAAATGACTGACTTGAGATCAATAATTGTAAATTTTATAATACATGATTAAAGAGATATAATAGCATTACTTTAAAAAGACCTGAAGTTCTCTACCGAATAGAAATGCATTTTGTAATAAACAAAGATAAACCAAAATTGTAAATCCAACATTTTAAATGTCTACAACCAGGATTGGATCATATAACTACTACAGAGCTCAAGACGGCGTTTTCTGAAAAAGTCGGCCAGGCCTGTATGCATGCTGCCTCTAATTAAAGACAACGGAAATCACCACAGAAAAAACAAAATCAGGACAATCTGATTTATAATATACCCACCGGCTAGATTAGAAATAACATTTCTAATATATATCTATTATATATATACTAATTTATATAATTTATATTATAGTTATAAATTGTATAATATATACTATGTATCTAGTATATATAATATATAAATTTATAATATATCTAATCTATACTGGATATATTATACATTATAAAGATCACACAATCAATTGTTGAGATTTCCCTTTAAAATTCCATAATTTAGCATTTACATACAATGAAATACAAATGCTTATTTTATGAAATGCAAATCCAAGGCATGCAGGGATACCAGAAATTCTGTGTGCCCAAGAAAAAAGGGGAAGGGTACTTGGGTTGATATCTCAGGCCACTACAATGTGGACACCCCTTGAATGACCTACCCGTGGACAGAGAAAAAGTGTTATTCGAGCAATTTGGTCATGCAGATAAAACTGCATAGTAAAAACCCACTCAAGATCAAAGATGCACCTTTATAAGTGGTGGGTATTTCGTGCCAATTTAGAAGTGGCGATTCTCTTGTGGCATTTTAAAACCTATCACAACGCTATGGAAATACCGTCCTTCTTCAACGAGTGGAAATGTTTAGTGAACTAATCAGGGTAAACTGGAGTCAGCTATTCCTTGACCCTTGACTCTATGGTGTTGCTCAGGGGCTTAGCTGCACATACAACATCTTACAATTAATGGTTTCTTATGCAGCCTAGGCAGCCTGGGGAGAGCCTCATTATTAGTTCTGTCTGGTTAACTGTTTGGCTGAAACAAAGTACTGTCATTGACCTAATACACTAATTCTTGAAAGTCATTCATTTTACTCTTCAAAAGCAAAGATGAAATCTCAATGAGCTATGCTAATTACATGTGCTATCCTTGTATGGGATAAATTCAGGTAGTCCACACAGAGCACACACCCTTCTAAAAGGAACAGAAGTACAATCTTTTTGTATGAAGATGTTCGTGTCTGGTCTTTCCATTTTTGTGACCAATTAAATTGATACTTTAAATAAATCCAGATTTAATAGTTACCATGCTGAAATTAGCCCTTTCATAATCACCCCAACCGTTAACAAAGGTCATCCTTTCTGACATATTTACATATTTAATTGCATCATCCCATGGAATCCTGGGGTCCCCATGAATTTATCATCCCCAAGGAAACTTAGCTTTATTGAGGGGGTAACTTGCTCCAGGTCAGGCAACGGAAAGATCAGGTCTGCCTAACTCCTAGATATCTATTTCTATTCAATCTCTGTTCATAAGAACATATATTTTCTACAGATTACAAACATTATCAAATTATATGAGACAATTAAGTTCTCATTTACATTCTTCTACTAAATTATTATACAATTAAATGTTAAAAAAATTTCAATATAGTGTATCCTCTTTCATATTTCCTATCCTAAATATGAAAAAAGAAGTAATCACATGTTACCAATATAACATGCCAGTACCATGGATCCTTGGTCAATCAAAAAAAGGCGGTGGAGGGAGATGGGGAGAAAGGAGGAGGAAAGGAGAAGGTAAAAAAGTGAGTCCAGCCAAGGGAGTTATGTTAAGGATGGGATATCAAGATAGACGGCACTGTGGTAATGGATGGTTTAATAAACATCAAATAATATGTTTATATTTATTTATATCAAATAATACATTTTTAGTAGAAGTATGTCCAAAATATTGCTTTCTTTAAAGTATGTCCACAATATTGCATGGGACATAACTACATTTTTTAAAGTAATTGTGATTTATCCGTAATTCAATTTTAACTAGGTGACCTGTCTTTTTATTTGCTAAATATGGCATGACTAGTCCCGGACCAATTCCCAAAATACTTATTTAGAATATCAAATACCAAACCTTAAAATTCAACTGAGAACATTTTTCCCTCCTTCATATCAACTATTTTTCTCCTAAGTTTTAATGAAAAATATAAACATGAAAATTTGACTGGATCCATTTTGTGATCTCGAAACACCTTAACACATTCCTTTTTTCCACATTCACTTTCAGAATCACAAACTCAACTGCTCTACAAGTATCTAGCACCAAAAAGGGAAAGTTTGTAGAGGCAACCATGCCAAATCACATAAAGTGACTAAATGTGCTCAAAGTGAGTTATCTGCAGGGTTAGGCCTGTGGCTCTTAACCTTTGCTGCATTTTAGAATCACCTGGAGCACTAAGACAAGCCCACCACAGGCGTGCCGCCATCACTGACTCCAATTCAATTAGTCTGAGGTGGAGCCAGTCGAGTTTTCAACTGCTCCCCCAGATGACTCTGATAGGTAGTTACGACTTGAGAACCAGTGTGGTAAGTTATATGAAGTAAGATAGCAAACACTGGAACAACTAGCTGTATCTAGCTGAATATACAAATTTTAGTGGATTTTAAGTTCTGAAATACAATAGCATTATGTCCATCTGATGTGTTAACTCTTGTGCCTCCTCTCATGTTCTTCCACGCCAGATCAAAACGTTACATTAAATAAATGCAGAAACTAATACATTATTCAAGTACTAATAAATTTATTCAGAAATGCACACACTGCCGGGCGTGGTGGCTCACACCTGTAATCCTAGCATTTTGGGAGGCCGAGGCAGGCAGATCACTCGAGCCTAGGAGTTCAAGACCAGCCTGGGTAACATGGTGAAACCCTATCTCTACAAAAAATACAAAAATTAGCCGGGTGTGGTGGCACATGCCTGTAGTCCCAGCTACTCAGGAGGCCGAGGTGAAAGAATCACTTGAGCCTGGGGGGTGGAGGTTGCAGTGAGATCGAGCCACTGTACTCCAGCTTGGGCAACAGAACGAAACCCTGTCTCAAAAAGAAAAACAAAAAACAAAAAAACCCCACAAAGGTACACAACTGTTACACATGCTCTATTATGTGCCATTTGAATGAAAAATAGGTGATGCTGTAAGCAGGTTTCCCTTAACCCCAATATTAAAAAGATCAAGTAGATAACTGCTTAGAAACATACCAACTCCTTATAAAAATCACACTTGACAACTGTTCAAGGTAAACATTGTAAATTAACAGGCACTGTTTTCACAAGATCGCTATGTTTGAGAGTTCATGGCAATGATGATCATAAGAAAATCTTGCTTAACTGACCTTGGGGAAATATTCTTACGCACTAGCTATATTATCACAAATGTATATATAAATTAGATGACAAGGCTATTAATCCTAAATTGTGACATTTCTGTATGGAGATGACGGATATTTAGATATAGTATTGCAACCAAAAAATTAAGTACATATAGTCCAAGTTTTGAAGGGCAACTGAAAGACTAAATTGCATCATAACATAAAATAAAAGTATCTTTTTTATCTTAAATGTGATATGTAAAATCTGGTAACTAAAACCAAACAACTGAGTTAATTTTTTTTTTTCTTTCTACAGTAGATCTAGTCCTGAAACCAGATGAGTTAGTTCTTTAAAAAGCAAAATACAAAGCATACTTAGCATACAATTTCCAGGTTCTGAAGTGCAATAAATGTGCAATGTGGGAAATACATCAAATGAGAATGGATTTTTACAATTTGACTTCATAAGAAGAATATATAAAAGTAACATGTCAGAAAAAGCTCTAAGAACATGACCTCGTTGGAAAACAACCGTTTTCCTCAAGTGAGTCAAGTGCCAGATGACGCAGCAGCTGGTGCTTCTCTCCTGTGTGCTTCCACAGGACCGGCCTCTGTGGTTTGCTGTTTCCCACTGTCATTAGCTGAATGCATGTCTCCTTCACTACGTGGTGATACTGCAGGAACAGGCACCCTGTGTGAATTCATTTATGATCCCTTAGCATAGAGCTGTGTCACTATGGGTGGGATGAATACTGTGAGTGTTCAAATAACTGAGAATAAAACACTCTAACCTATGAAAGTCATGAAGTATCTGGTATGCACTGCTGCTGTCAAGGGTTAACCAAATTTTATATAGCCCTTAGTTACCACTTGTTAACCCATTTATGCCTAGTGTTCCATTACTGGAACGCTAAGCTTGTGGGATTTATATTCTACTGCTCAAGGTCATTGCCAAGGCCTGATTTTTCACACAAAAAATTCGCAACCTCTGGCACAAACGGGTTAAAAACTGGAGTATTTTGAAAAACAGTATTCTTCAGCACATATTTAAAACACTATAAAATTACTGCATATAGCATCCACTTTAGTAGTCAAAAAACAAAAACAAAATCAATCAAAATCTTCAATAACAGAAAAGGATAAGGCACAGCGCTACAAGCTTTGGATCTCTTGGTTGTAACATAGTCAAATGGTCGCATGTTAGGATTATATTAACAGGGCACTGCTGTTGCTTTATTACTTTTTAAAAATAGCTTTTTGGAACTGAAAAAATACAACTTAACCACTAAGGAAGTAAAAAAATCACTCATAGTATGGCTCTCTCTCTCTCTCTCTCTCTCTCTCCAGACATATGGATAATGAGGGCATGGGAACCTTCCTCCTCATTCCCTGCCACTTCCTCCTGTTTCCCTATCACAGGAGGAAACTCCTGTTAAGTTTGGTGGATGCACACAGACATCTCAAAACAGGATTTCCTATCTCATCAAGCTAAAGTAATTATAGCTCTAAATTACACTTCAAGAGGAGTTTATAAATTTGATAAATGCATAAACTGTTTTAGCAGTGTCAAGACAGGGCTTAGAAAGTGACCTCAATTCTTACAGTGACAAAGAAAGATGACTCTATCCACTTAAAATTCTATGCTCTGTGACCAGCCAGCAGAGCCTCTCACACAAATGACTTTGGGAGGACCATGATAGGACTGAAAAATGAAAATGGTCGGTGTTGAAGGAGTCAGGTCTCATCGTTTGCAATTCTGTCAAAATCAATGGAAGGCAGGAGATCATGGGCTAAACGCTTCTGCGTTCTTTGGTTGATTCTACCTCGAATTCTTCAACTCAAATTTGGCACAACAATAATATGAAAAATGCTGATACAATTTGTATTCTTTTCAGAAGGGGAGTGTAGAATAGCAGCTGGTTCTACCATCATATACATGACCTCATCTGTAAAACAAATTATAGTATCTTTCTCACAGAACTATTGTATTAAATGAATATATGCAAAACTCTTAGAATACTGCCTAAAACACAGTTAACTACAGAGGTGTAAGTTCATACAACTTCATAATAGAGATAGTATTTTCTTAAAAGAACAGCTAACAGCAGCTGATTACTCAAAAATTATGCAGTGATTTTTATTTTGGGGGCTCAGCTCAATAGCAGGTAGCATAAAATGGTTTGGGGGACAGGTGACCAAAGAACAGAAATCCTTTAAAAAAAAAAAGGTCTTTAAACAATTCTAAACTCAAAAGGTCTTACAACAACTTGATTTCAAACCTAAAACAATCACCACCACCAACAAAAAAAAGGTAAATTTTCACCCTCTTTTTTTTTGGAGAGAGAGTCACCCTACCGCCCAGGCTGGAGTGCAGTGGCGCTATCTCGGCTGACTGCAACCTCTGCCTCCCGGGTTCTAGCAATTCTCCTGCCCCAGCCTCCCTAGTAGCTGGGATTACAGGCGTACATCACGCCCAGCTAATTTTTTGTATCTTTAGTAGAGATGGGGTTTCACCATCTTGGCCAGGCTGGTCTCAAACTCCTGACCTCGTGATCCACCCGCCTTGGCCTCCCAAAGTGCTGGGATTATAGGCGTGAGCCACCACACCCGGCCTTGCCCTAACTCTTAAAACTTTCAATGATGAATAAAGTGGCAGGGAGTCATTTTGAGGCATAAAAAAATTCTGTACAAACTTTTCATTTAACGCTTAACCAAAACAAAATAAGGCCAGGGTGGAAAATATCTTATATGGCATTATTAAGTTCAGAGATTTCTACATACTAAAGATAAGCCTGTCATGGAAATTATGAAACTCTCAACAGATGCCATAAAACAGTGAAATTATCTGATATCATACACAACACCTGATATTGCACATCATGGAAAGCTTTATTAACAAAGACCCCAGGGTTTAATCAAATATTGAAAGGAAAACAAATATGCTACCGTTAACACCCACATCCAGGAAAAGCTTATGTAAGAATTATAAGTTTTAAATAGGTGAGACTGCTTATTTTTTAACATAGAAAAATTGCAAATTTGTCAATCTTTAAGAAAGGATATAGTAAAGGCTTACCATGTGACCGTCCCAGTTTACTTAGGAATACAGAAATAGGTAATTAAAATAAATTGTGCAAACATATATTACATCAATCTGCCCAAATTATAAATTCAACGATGCATTAGGACTGTATTCAGTGCAATCAAAACATTATCAGTTACGGCTGCTGCTGCTAATGCTCATGCTCCTAAGAGAAATGTGTTGTAAAACCAGGCAGAACGGGCTGGAGAGAGACTCTCGTGGACTTGGAGGATGAATAAGCATTCCTTAATTAGCCCATCAGGTTAAGTGCAAGCATTAATGGGCCCTTCCTAAAGTCTAGCTTGACATCTTTCTCCAAACATGGCCAAGAAGAAAGTTCCATTAGCAATATTAATACAAGCTTAGTTGATCATTTTCATTCAATTAACTTCTTTCAATTAAATAGATAGCTTGACAAAAGCAGTGATAAAAGACCCAAAGGGACAGCTGATGACTCGAACTGAACATTAGTGTGCGAGAGGTCGCTGGTATTAAACGGACTGTAAATCTAGCATTCAATTTGGAAAATGCATTTCTTCTGCTCTCACTCCTTTAATGAGCAATTTTAGCTGACTAGATGTGTTTGCTGCAGAAATTTCATGGGAAGTCAAGCACCCTTTTCCTTTTCTTTTTTTCCATCCCAACAGTTACATTCTCACTGGTGGTGGTTTCCTGCCAACATTCCAGCCACAGTAACTCAAAACTTCACTTTCTGGTTAAGAACGAAGATATGTTAAAATAATTTATATACAACTAGCATTAAAAATTAATGACCTACTTTACGTTGTTAATCAATTTTTGAAAGGTTTGAAAAAACAATAAAATCTAAGAAATATTTAGTGAAAAATAAAAACATTTTAAAAACTGTATTTATATTTCATCGTGTCACAGTTAAGTAGTTAGGGCCACATAGAAAAGATGCATGTAACAAGGTTTAAAAACATGGTTTTAAGTGAGGCAAATGTAAATTAAAATGAAAGTAATTTTAGTTAATTAAATTACCTTAATTAATCAAAAGTACTAAAATTACTTTTCTTAATTAAAAAGGTATATAGGCCAGCTGCAGTGGCTCACGCCTATAATCCCAGCACTATGGGAGGCAGAAGCAGGAGGAATCCATGAGGCCAGGAATTTGAGACCAGCCTGGGTAACACAGTGAGACTCTGTCTCTACAAAAAAACTAATAAATTAGCTGGGTGTGGTGGCATGTGCCAGTAGCCCCAGCTACTCAGGAGGCTGAGGTGAGAGGATTGCTTGATCCCAGGAGTTCAAGGCTGCAGTGGAGTATGATGGTGTCATTGCACTCCAGCCTGGGAGACACATCAAGTCCATGTATCAAAAAAAAAAAAAAAAAAAAAAAAAAAAAAAAAAAAAGTCTTGCAAATTAAAACATGTCTGAAACAAACCTGCATTTTTATTCCTCTGCAACGAGTCAAGACAAAAGTTTGTACATTTTTCAATGTCAGTAAACAAAAAAATACATATACTCTATACCTTAAATAACTGAATCCATCTTTTCTGTTCCATCTGTATGCATTGTTGCATTTCAGAGCTAGTAGTAACTCCAATACTCTGAAATGCTGTAATATATTCTTCTCGAACTTCTGGCTTGGTTTCTGGATAAGCCAACTTGATGATCCCCAGGCATGCATCTCGAAGGCATCGAGACAACATTATCAGCTCTTCTAAAGTAAAAGGCATCATTGATGATTGTCTTTGACCTACAACTAAAAAACACAATCCAGTTTTCTATTGTTTCTTTTTCCATCTTTTAACACACACTGAAAGACTTAAAAAGCTTAAAACTTTTCTACTGTCTATGAAAACTGATGGGCCAAGTGGCCAGCAGCAAACTGGTTTCTCAAAATCCTTACCTTCTATGGGATCACCGAAGAATTCGTTATCATGTATGGAAATTAGTGAATGACTAAACAAGGAGCTAAAAAGATAAAAGAGTGGGATGATTCGACTAGAATCTTCAAAAGACATAGGAGAACCCCTGGATATCACCTGAAGCAACGGTACCATAGACCTTGAATTAAAGAAAAGAAGAAAAAAACCAGTCACTTTAAAATTAGTCTTAGTTTGGGAACTAATTAAAACATAACATCAAACAAATATAATCAGGGAAAGTAACATTTGCATTAGGAATTAAACTATTTAAAGGCAAGGTAAAGTCACCATGGCAATGCAGGTTAATAAACAGCATAGATTAATACAAAAAATAGCATACCAACCCATTAATCTTCACTAAGGTTTCTGCTACCTGTACCAACTAGATAATGAAGTTACTAAGAGTAAGCCAGTCGTTCCCAGACTAAGGCCCTAAGAAGAGCTCTAATAAGGCCACTATTCAAGACACACATGTACTTTACTCTTATGAGGAAACCATCCCCCTTCCCTTCTACTCAACATATTTAATAAAGGCAAATCATTCTGGTCTCAGGAAAAATTTATCCAGCGACTTAACTTTTGGTAACGTTGAAAGCTATTCAATATTGAAGCCAAACTGGAACCTCAAGAAACAAAGTTTCCAGTTCTCTATGGTGGCCTTGCTCCCACTGTCCACTTTATTCACCAGCTCCCATCCTGCTCCTGCTTTCACAGCAGCTAAGGTGGTCTTTACTCAGCAGCCTTTCACCCATCAAGAGCTATGATATATTAAATTAATTAGCCAGGTGTGGTGATAGGTGCCTGTAGTCCTTCCTAGTTACATAGGAGGCTGAGGCAGGAGAATGGCTTGAGCCCAGGAGGCAGAGGTTGCCATGAGCTGAGATTGCGCCACTGCACTCCAGCCTGGGGAACAGAGCCAGACTCTGTTTCAAAGAAGTTTAAAATATTAAGGAAAAAAAAAAAGAAAAGAAAAAAGGCTGGGTATGGTGGCTCACGCCTGTAATCCCAGCACTCTGGGAGGCCGAGGTGGGTGGATCACAAGGTCAAGAGTTCGAGACCAGCCTGGCCAACATGGTGAAACCCCATCTCTACTAAAGATACAAAAAATTAGCTGGGTGTGGTGGCACGTGCCTGTAATCCCAGCTACTTGGGAGGCTGAGGCAGGGGAATCACTTGAACCCGAGCAGCGGAGGTTGCAGTGAGCCGAGATCGTGCCATTGCACTCCAGCCTGGGCAACAGGGCGAGACTCCGTTTCCAAAAAAAATAAATAAATAAAAAAGAGCTACGATATATTAAATTGACTTATTTCACCTAGAACTTCTTCCTTTTCTCTCGTTTTTAAGTCTGGTTCCTTGTCTTATGGAACTTTTAGCTAATAGGCTCACCTGCAAGCTCTTTCTATAAAGTCCATGGTCCCCTCTACCAAGTCAAATCAATCACAGGTTAACAGACACTGTGAGCAAGATCACTCTCTTATCTCCCCAAATATCCATTTCCACAAAACTACAGGTATATATTAGATGAGATGTAACCAGGAGTCAGGATCTACAAATCATGTATGAAAGCAAAGCAGAAGGTAAGGCCACTTGTTCTAATTAGCGGGGCCGTAAGGAGCTTGGCTGAGCCACCTGGAGCTTCTGAGTCTCCATGGTGCATGGTTCAGGGGAGGGCACTGCCATCATCAACCGCTTTGAGAAAAGGAACCCATATGTGCACCTGAAACTGTGTTCCCACAGAGAAGATACACTATGTCCACATGCTACACAACCTGAGCATACATGATCCATGTTTGCAGTTGTGATACTCTGCATTTAGCACTATGCTGAACAGATTCATCAATGAATGAATGCCATTCTTCCAAAATTTAAACATTGTGGGACATTCAAAAAGGGACAAAGCACAATTGTCCTACCTCATTGCCAAAGCCAGGATGACACAAAAAGGTTGTTTATATGGAGGATAAAAAAGGCACAGGGCTGCCTTAACTGGACAGGGGTGGCTTCTTTCAACAGCCCTGCCTATGACAGCTGGAGCCCACTCCTGCGTCTTGATGAGCCTGCTTTCCACTGTTATCCCCGACAAGAATCCTTGTACTTGTACTGTTATCCCTGACAAGAATCATCACCACCAACACATCATCAGTTATGCACACATATTGCAGGATGCATAAAATTCTTATATTGGGTCCAAAAAAAAAAGGGACAGGGTAATTAACCAACAAAAACTTATTTGTCCTCTTCAAACCCCCTGTGAAACAAGCAAAAGGAATGCATCATTTTTACTTTAATGACAAAAACTGGGATTGGCAAGGATATGTGCCAATGCTGCCCTGCAGACAGGGCACAAACGAGACACAGGTCTCTTAGTTCTCTGCTGACCATTCTTTCTGCTATAAACACTGACTCAAATATTCCTCTGAAAACAGGTCAGTCTCAAAGACTTATGTGCAAATAAAGTCTGCAACTTACTGTAATGGAAAAGACACTGATTCACACATAACTCAGGGGAGCTAGGTGAATTACTGACCATCAGTGAGACCCGAGGCAATCCCTAACCTCTGTCTAGATCTTGAGAACAAGGGTTTTCAAATTGCGTGCCTGTGGGAACCACTCCTCCTCCTCGTCCAATGTCCCCCACCCTTGCAAAGAGCTTTTAAGAACGGATTCTTGCTTTAACAGGTTTTCAGAATACTACTGTAGACTGTTTTGAGATTATTTATCAAACAGCCAACACCAGCACCTACTGCCCACACTGAAGACATCTGGGCAAAGCATCTCTATGTTATGTTGTAGTCAAGGGATGCCTAATGGAAAACAGTACCAGCTGGCTATGGGTTCCCTCATCTTCAAGAAGAAGGAAACTAAACTGGCTGATTTCAATAGCAAGTACTGAAAATGAGGTAAATGAATAAAGATGTTATTTGCAAAATGTCTGATGTGTCAAAATTCACTATCCATCTGGAGATTGTTTAAATGTGGTCTGCTAGACTGGGGTGAAGAATAGTGCTTCTCGGTTGGCCCCCAAACCATCTGTACCTCGATTACCTGATAAGCTTGTGAGGTTGCAGTCTCCAGGGTTTCTAACCCAAGTCTTAGGGCAGGAACAGAGAAGCTGAAATTTTTTTTTTTTTTTTTTTTGAAACAAAGTTTCCCTCTTGTTACCCAGGCTGGAGTGCAATGGCGCAATCTCGTCTCAGGAGAATATGCATTTTAACACGCTCCCCTGATGATACTTCTGCCCACTAAAGCTGTAAGTCCTAGCAATGCAAGCCTTACTGTTAAACTATTTTTGACTTAAATTGAGTGCCAGTTTCAGAAAATCAGTTATTTCATTTTAAACTTTATTCCCAGTAGGAAATATGAGACATTTACAGATGGTGCCTGACTTACAATGGTTCAGTTTAGGATTTTGCAACTTCAAGATGGTCAAAGGTGATTCCCATTCAGTAGAAACCATACTTCGAGTATCCATAAACCATTCTGTTTTTACGCTTTCAGTACAATATTCAATAAATTACATGGACATTCAACACTTTATTATAAAATTGGCCTAGTGTTTGATGATTTTGCCTAGCTGTAGGCTAATGCACATATTTTGAGCACGTTTTAGGTAGGCTAGGCTAAGCTGTGAGGCCTCAGTAAGCTGGGTGTCTTGAATGCATTTCAACTTATGATATTTTCAACTTACAATGGGTTTATCAGGACAAAGCCCCATTGTACCTCAAGGAGTATCTGTATTGGGAACGCATTAATACACTGTCAGTTTCTTGAGGGACTTCATTCTAATAAACAAGTAAAAAGACATTCAAATTATCAAACTGTCTTTTAATAAGATTTGTAAAACTACCCTATCATAAAATAGTATTAATAATTTAATATAATTAACAATATCCCACTTTTCTTTCACACACCATGACTCCATTTCCTTAGCAAGAGACAAATGCCATAAACAAATAAGCAATTATCAGGCAGAACTATGACAGTGTTTCTGTTGCTAAGCTGAGGCACTTATGGGTAAACGATAATTTCCTGTCCTAATGATTCTCAATTCCCTTCTGCCCAAAACAAACCTGTCACTAATGAAAACCAAAGCTGGCGTAGTCAGAAGTGGCTGAAATGCACCAAAAAAAACACAACAAAACATACTTAAAATCTTGTATTTTGGTTTGGAAATGAAAGAAAAGAATTTCTCAAGACAGTAAATCATTGTAGGAGTCTTTTGTCTCTGCTTTAGCCACCCACTGTTGATGCAAGATAACTCACTTAACCTTTATGAGTTTCACCAGTCACAGCGGCAGCAGTAAAACTCCCCTTTCCTCACTTAAGATTCAATTAAAAAAATGAAAAATTTGAAGTAATAATATTGAGAAACTGACATTCCCCTTTCATTAGTATGAACTGTTTTGTCCAGATGATTTGAACACCAGTCCCATCATAAAGGGGCTGACTGTGCCTGGCTGAACAACATATGAATATCTTTTGCTCTACATATTGCATGAAAAAGCTCAAAATCCAGAAATCTCAACAAGAGTTTTCATTATGACTGCACACAGCAAGTTAGATTGCAGATGAGTGTGTTTATATTTTAGATATACCACCCCAACCCACCAAAAATTCTTTCTTCTAACTTCTTGTTCCTAAAAAGAAAACAAGACCACTTTCTACACTCTTGCCCTACAACTGAGATGTGTCTTCCCACCACCGAATGAGCTGGTTCACAGCATGGAGTCAGTAACAGTGACTGCTATTATCACTACTACCATGAGCATGACACACAGTTGCATCTTGTAAGTTTAGTCTCCAATTAACTGAATTACACACTTCATCTTTTCCGATTACAGCACAGGGGGATTGGCATAGACTTCTTTTTTTCTTTTTTTTTGAGAGGAAGTCTTGCTCTCACCCAGGCTGGACTGCAGTGGCATGATCTCGACTCACTGCAACCTCCGCCTTCCAGGTTTAAGCGATTCTCCTGCCTCAGCCTCCCAAGTAGCTGGGATTACAGGCACGCACCACCATGCCCGACTAATTTTTGTATTTTTAGTAGAGATGGGGTTTCACCATGTTGGCCAGGCTGGTTTTGAACTCCTGACCTCAGGTGATCCGCTGGCCTCGGCCTCCCAAAGTGCTGGAATTACAGGCGTGAGCCACCGCGCCCGGCCGGCTTAGACTTCTGGCAGAGGAAAAATTCAACAACAGAGTACTAGGCTAAGTCAGTTTACCATGAAGGATTTTAAGTATGAAATTCCTACCTATTACATACTCAGTTAAAATATGTTAAGTCAAAGATGATATTTTTTAAATTACACGATTCAAATAAGAAAAATCAAATTATTTCAACAAATGTTTAAAAACTTCTACACTGTTCTAATGTTTGCAGCAGTCTTTAATTTACTTCAAATCTGTATTTTCACTGTGAAAAGAGGAGTAAAGTCATATGGAGCAAAGCAATTTCCAAATGTCTGCTTTTTTAAAAACATGGCTAGGATGTTTAAAGGAAACTTACCTTCAGATAAAACCATACTCTCTATAATATATACAGATAAGTAACTGTTAAGATTAGACACTGATTTTTCTTTTTGTGCAACTGAGACCATCTGGAACTTACCTTCTAATATGAAATAAGCCCAGTATAAACAGGACTTAAAAACAGGTTCTGGCAACATTTTTGATTAGGCTGCCACTTCCTGTGCCCTTGAGCTCAATTTATAAGTCTGTATAATACATACCCTGTGATCATCCGTGTTGACATGGAAGATATTAGAAACCAAAGATGTCTCAGAAACCTGGCATTAAAGGCTAAACTGTAGAGAAGCCTAAAAAGGAATAGGAGAAAAACACAGAACAGTAAAGCAATTACTTATTCAAAACATTTCTTAAAAAAAAAAAAAAAAAAAAAGCGATACACTGAAGATCAACGTACAATTTAGCAAATCTCTGTACTAATACCACAAAAAGCTGCCTCAGACAACCAGCCATTTGATGAGACACCGAGACACGGCTCCCAAAGGTGTAAATCTGTGCTGTTACCAAGCTAGGAAAGCCCGCCCTCCCTCCCCTGTGGCTGTGAGACCTACCCCAAAAGATAAAGATATAAGCTGTTTTCATGCACAAGTTGAACCTGCTCCCCCTCTGCTACATATCGTATTAATATATCACAATATTATAATTACTATTGTTATTACTGCTTATACTTTTCTTTTTATTTTTTTTGAGACAGGGTCTTGCTCTGTTGCCCAGGCTGGAGTGCAGTGCCACGATCTTGGCTCACTGCAACCTCCACCTCCTGGGTTCAAGGGGTTCTCCTGTCTCAGCATCCTGAGTACCTGGGATTACAGGTGCCCGCCACCACGCCTGGCTAATTTTTGTATTTTTAGTAGAGATGAGGTTTCACAACGTTGGCCAGGCTGGTCTTGAACTCCTGACCTCAAGTGATCCACCCGCCTCAGCATCCCAAAGTGCTGGGATTACAGGTGTGTGCCACTGCACCTGGCCTACTTAACACGTTTAAAATTTGTAAAATATTTAGTGACGGACTCAAGTCACTTTTCTTGAAATACAAAAAATGTGCTGTTAACATCTCAAAAATAAATCTAAAAAAATGTATCTTAAAGATTTTTAGGCCAGGCACGGTGGCTCATGCCTGTAATCCCAGCACTTTGGGAGGCCAAAGGAGGCAGATTGCTTCAGCCTAGGAGTTTGAGACCAGCCTGGGCAATGTGGTGAGACCTCATCTCTATGAAAAGTTGGGTGTGGTGGCTGTAGTCCCAGCTACTCATGAGGTTGAGGTAGGAGAATCGATAGAGCCCAGGAGTTCAAGGCTGCAGTGAGCCAAGATTGCACCACTACACTCCAGCCTGTGTGACAAAGTGAGATCCTATCTCAAAACAATAAAAATAAATAAAAATTAAAAACTTTTCCTCTATAATATTAGATTTAAAAAAGATGAACTTTGTGAAGAATGCATGAGCATTTAAATTAGCTCTGTTTTATACTGCATGTTTGTGACAGGATAAACATTCTAGCCACAATTGTGTAATCAGCTAGCATAAATATTTTTTTAAGAGATGAGGTCTTTCAAAATCCAATAAAAAAATCTCATATTTGATTGGTCGAGTAATTTCCTGCACTCAATCCAAAACATCAAATGCATTGTTCCATATTGGCACTTTCTGAGTACACCATAGGAATCATGAAGTACTGATTAAAAATAAACAACAACTAAACTCCATTCTTATTTTAATGTAATGCATTTTGAGATATCCAGATGGCAATAAGGGTACATCACTGAAAAAACAGTAAAAGCATGAAAGAGCATGTGAAATTTCCTAGAATCAGGAAACCTTAAGCTAGAAAGAATCTATTAGATCATTCAGCCCAGCCATCTTTCCAATGTCATGTAGGCTAAAAGCAATGTTTGCATAAGAAAATGAAGGGGCAGTGATACATCTGTTCTAAGGTCCTTCCAGCTCAGAAGTATTATGATTTTATGAAAACATGCATGATGTTTATCAGTCACACGCCATGACAAAGTGGGGGCACACTGCATTCATTCCAGTAAGAGCAGAATCTCAAACGGGGTCTCCAACAAATATTATTTAATATTATTGGAAAATATTACTTAATAATAAATATTTAATAATATTGGAAAAACGAAAAAATGGTAATAATACAAGTTAAAGGAGACCAATTAAGACAGGTAACTAAGTATGCTGTCTGTCATTAATGTTCGAGCAAATTTCCACTTAAAATTCACTCTGAAATATGGCTGGACCTGGTGGATCACGCCTGTAATCCCAGCACTTTGGGAGGCTGAGGCGGGTGGATCACTTGAGGTCAGGAGTTCGAGACCAGACTGGCCAACATGGTGAAACCCCGTCTCTACTAAAAATAGAAAAATTAGCTGGGCGTGGTGGCAGGCGCCTGTAATCCCAGCTATTCAGGAGGCTGAGGCAGGAGAATTGCCTGAACCTGAGAGGCTGAGGTTGCAGTGAGCCGAGATCACACCATTACACTCCAGCCTGGGTGACAGAACAAGACTCAGACTCAAAAAAATAAAATAAAATAAAATAAAAATAAAAAAAATTCACTCTGAAAAAGACTATACTGTTGAAAAGGGAAGCTGTATTAGAAAATGATAATAGATACCCTATCTCTGAGATATTTAAAATCCTTACCATATGCCTGATAAGAGTGTTAACGTTTTTTCTTGCCTTTGTGGAGTTTTATTTGCTAAGAATACGCAACAGTCATACGGAAAAAAGAGTAAGAAAAAAGCTACGAAAAATACGAACTTTCAAAATAATTTGAAAAGGTATTATTTGCTTATTTTCTCTTCAGTTGAGAAATTGAGTTTTTAAAAAATGTTATTAAAACAAAACAAGGCAAAAGAATGTTAGCCACATGGCATCTTATCTACCCAGAAATCATCAGTTAATACCCTGCTATAAATCCATCCAGACCCTTGTGTGTAGACATAGAAACAAAAATGAGTTCTTCCTACAGGTTCTAAGAGTTTGTCACTAAGATTATAATTAACATCTTTCCATGTGAATGTATACATATTTCTGAAATACCATTTTCAGAAATACACATTTAAAATACACATTTTAAAATTTGTATTTCAAGCTAACCCTGACAGAATATTTACTAAATCACTCAATAAGCAATAATAAAACAAACTATTAAACTTTTAAAAATAAATTTCTGGGCCAGGTGCTCACGCCTGTAATCCTAGCACTTTGGGAGGCCAAGGTGGGTAACCACCTGAGGTCAGGGGTTCGAGACCAGCCTGGTCAACATGGTGAAACCCCGTCTCTACTAAAAATACAAAAATTTGCTAGGTGTGGTGGCGCATGCCTGTAATCCCAGCTGCTCAGGAGGCTGAGGCAGGAGAATCGCTTGAACCTTGGAGGTGGAGGTTGCAGTGAGCCGAGATGGCGCCACTGCACTTCAGCCTGGGTGACAGAACAAGACTCCCTGTCGAAAAAAATAAAAAAAAAAAGACAAATACAGCCAGCGGAAGATGGCGGAGGGCGGCGGCCCTGAGCTCGGTGAGCAGGAGAGGAGATCTTCCAGGCTGTGGCCTCCGAGCGCACAGGATTTGCAGAACTTAATGTGAAGAACCTGCAAAGAAACTTGAAAACAGCCAAAGGGATGACATATCAAGAAATAAACTGGCCTTGGAAGAACTGTATGAAGATGAAGTGAAGCGCAAATCTTCCAAGTCTGACAGACCTAAAGCTGCAGTCTTCAAGAGCCCACGGACACCACCTCAATGTCATTTACAGGTGGAGGATACAGATTGGGTAATTCCTTTTGTAAGCGGTCTGAATATATGCATGGAGAAAATCAGCTACAAGATGTTCAGATTTTGCTTAAACTGTGGAGCAATGGTTTCAGTTTAGATGATGGAGAATTGAGACCTTACAATGAACCAACAAATGCTCAATTTCTGGAGTTTGTTAAAAGAGGAGAGATCCCCCTGGAGCTTCAGTGCCTTGTTCATGGTGGCCAAGTGAATTGGGATATGGAGGACCATCAGGATCAAGAATACATAAAACCTAGATTGAGGTTCAAGGCTTTTAGTGGAGAAGGGCAAAAACTTGGAAGGCTTACACCTGAAATAGTCAGTACACCTTCCTCTCCAGAAGAGGAGGATAAATCAATACTTAACGCGGTTGTTCTTATTGATGATTCAGTGCCAACAACAAAAATTCAAATCAGGTTAGCAGATGGGAGTCGTTTGATACAAAGATTCAATAGTACACACAGGATCCTGGATGTCCGGAACTTTATTGTACAGTCTTGTCCTGAATTTGCAGCTCTTGACTTTATTCTTGTGACTTCATTTCCGAATAAAGAGCTAACAGATGAAAGCCTGACACTGCTAGAAGCAGATATTCTTAACACTGTGTTACTCCATCAACTAAAATAATATTGTTCCTATCCATGCAGTACCATGTGGGAACAGATGATGTGTCGTATTAATAAGGACAATACCTCCAGCATTAAAAAAAAAAAAAAACAAATTATTTTTATTATTTTTACAGATAAATTTTGGTTTTATTGTTATTCTGTCTTCCAACCTGAATATAGACAAATCTGGATTAGGAATAGACCTTAAGATAAGTATGTTTGAGTTTTTAGTTGAAGGACTGGCTTATGTTGATAGTTTTTGGATTTGTAGGCAAATCAGTTTGTTACATACTTAGTGTTAATGTTTTGTTTGCAGAAAAAAATGAAAACCCCTTTTTGATAAATGCATTTGGTAAAATTTGCACTAAAGTTTCTTGATGCAGCATTGACTAACAGCCATTAAGAAATCTTTTGATCAAATAAGTTGAAAATTTGTCTGTAGTAAATACTGAAAAGTGTCTAGTTTGATTTTGAAATTGTTTGATCATACAATAATTATTTCTCCTATTAAGATGTTACACATCCTTTTTACTTACTGATTTAGATATATTACTAGTATCAGAAACGACAGTTTTGCCTTGTATTTTGCAGAATTATGACTGCTGTGAACTTAAACAGAAACACATAAAGTTCAGCAATTCTTTTTTTTGAGATGGAGTTTTGCTCTTGTTGCCCAGCCTGGAGTGCAATGGCGCTATCTCCGCTCACCACAACCTCCACCTCCCAGGTTCAAGAGATTCTCCTGCCTCAGCCTCCCGAGTAGCTGGGATTACAGGCATGCACCACCACGCCCAGCTCATTTTTGTATTTTTAGTAGAGACGGGGTTTCTCCTTGTTGGTCAGGCTGGTCTCAAACTCCCGACCTCAGGTGATCCACCCACCTCAGACTCCCAAAGTGCTGGGATTATAGGCGTGAGCCACTGCACCTGGCCTAAAGGTCAGCAATTCTTAAGAAGATATGATAAACAGCAACAGCATTTTAAAATCAAGTAATTACAGTTCCTCCCAGAGCTTGCCTTGATCACATTCATTTATTCATTCAACACATTTTTCTAGGAAACTCACTATATACACTAAACACTCTTCTATGTGCTCAACCTAGAACGTCTTCTCCAGAACAAGACTAGTGTAGAAATACAGGAATGTATATTCTGTCGGACAGACTAGATCTAAAGAACTACCAGCATAAATGTTTGTATTTCTGAAGTCAGAAGGTTTCCCTTCTTCCCAGACACCACTTCATCCTTAGTTATCACTTCTGGTTAGTTTCCCATTGCCACCATAACAAGTTACAAAATGTGGCTTAAAATAGCACAAATTTATTATCTTAACAATTCTATAGGTTAGGAGTCCAAACGGGTTTCGCGGTGCTTTTAACATCAGTTTGTCGGCAGCGTTGCATAGGAGAATTATTTATTTCCTTGTCATTCCACCTTCTAGAGAACATCCGCATTCCTTGGCTTGCGGCCTTCTATCTTAAAAACCAGCACTGTTTCATCTCTATGACCCTTCTGTTACCACATCTCTCTGACACCACCCTGGAGAGGTTCTCTGCAGGACTCATGATTAAATTAGTCCCATTGCATAATCTGGGCTTATCGCCTCGTCTTGAAATCCATAGTAACCTTAATTACATCTGCAAAATCTCTTTTACCATTTAAGGTTACATACAGGTTTGGAGATTAGGACATTAACGTTTTACATGGAACATTATTCTTCTTGCCTACTACAGTGCAACCCCCGCCCCGCCACCACTCCACCCCTGTGTTAAAAGATTCAGATCCATCACAAATAAATTTACGTCACTCATAGGTGCTCAAAAGTCACAACCCATTATTACAGCATCAACTCTAAATCCAAAATCTTATCTGAGTCTCACCAACTCAAAAGTCTCAAATCTCACACTAAAGCCATCTAAATTTGGGAGAGGATCTGGGTGTGATTTCTGGGGCATAATTCTCCTCCATCTGTGCACTTGCGAACCTAGAAAACAAGTTATCTGCTCCCATGTATGATGGTGTGACAGGCATACAGTAACAGCTATACACATTCCTGTTCAAAAAGCAGAAATTGGGATGAAAAAAGGAGCCATCAGCACCATCAATTTACAAAACCAGCCAGGCACCCTCCTTTCAGTTTCAAGGCCTGGGAGTAATCTTCAGCTCACTGCTCAGTTCTCTGGGCTTGTGACTGTCTCAATCATCTTTACTTTTTCACAAAAGGTAGCACATGTTTGCAGCTGAGTATCAGCTTATCAGTTTGTTTCTTCTTTTATATTCTCTAAAGCATTCTGTTAAAAATAGTGGTGTTTCTGCTGCTATAACATTGTCGAGAAACTTGTGGGTCTCTTACATATGTCATGGGGATTCACTCATTTACACAGGAGGCTCCTCACATATCTTTCCTGGAAAATCCCGTCTCTAATTTTGGCTTTTTCTGAAATAGCTGGGAGGATCTATGATTCACACTCTTAATCTCCTCAAAGAGCCTTTTGTGTGACTTGATACTCAGACCTTTTGATGTTTCTGAAGTATTAGCAGAAGGTTATACAGCCATACCTTCATCACTTTCTCTAGAGAAGGCTGTCCTGACAGTGAATCTCTTAGTTTTAGTGGCTTTTGCCTTGAATAGGCCACGAATTTCCCAAATCAAGTCCTAGTTTCTTTATATTCAACAGTTCTTCCCTCAATTTATCTACCTCCTTCCATATTTTACCATAATCAGCAAGAAGACAGCAGGCTGTACCTTCCACAGCTTGCTTGGAAATATCCTCAGCTAATACTGAAGTCATCACTTAAAAATTCTGCTTTACACATAACTGCAGGACACAATTCAGCTTAGCTTTTTGCCACTATGTAACAAGGACCCCTTTTCCTCCAGTTTTCCAATAACATATTCCTCATTTTCTACCAACAGTCTATTCATGATGATTTAGATATTTTACCGCAATCGAGGTATTCTCTGCTATACTCCTTTCTTCCTTCAAGGCCTCCCTAGCATTAACATTCCACATTTCTACTAACAGTCTGTTTAAGGCAATTTGGCTTCTTTCTGGCATGCGCCTCAGAATTCTTCCAGCCTCGACCTACTGCCTAATTCCAGAGCCACTTTTCCATTTTTAGATATTTGTTACAGCAGCATTCTAAGTACCTAGAAAAGTCTTTTATGCCTACTTCTCTGCCAGATGACCTGAATATGCTACTAGATTTGGAATATTCACCTTTCTCCAGGATCACTGCTTATTTCAAAGAGGTGAAATTACCTGTGCTAGGGTTTTCATACCAGGAGTGCTACCAGAACTACCACAGGATGGAAGTGGTGAGCCCACCACTGCAGAGAAGTTTTCTCAGTGCCATAATTTAGAGGAATTCTTCTCAAGACAAGCCCAACTCCTTTTCACTTAACTGAAAACAACCTGTATAATGTATAACAGCCAGCCCCATTTCAAAAAGATTACCAGGGGTAAAACAACTTTTTCATGGGTCAAAATCATCTTCCAAAGAAAATGATTTCTTAAAAGAACTGAACATTGTAAATCAAAGGGCATTGTCCTGTTTTGGATTAACAAAACAGGAAAAAACAACCAAACCTTGTAAAATTATTTGAAATTTTGTTCATATCAGTTCAGTGCCTATAGATGCACATACAAAAACAACTGCCATTTTTGTAAATAATAGTCTTCCAAAATAGAGATTTACGTTAGGAGAGAATTAAACATCCAGGAGGGATGAACAGTATTTCATGTGTGCTATGTAGTGTTTTGCTTCATTGAGAGTCATTTTCATGAATTATTTTTACTACTGCAGTCATCTTAAATTTGTAATCATCTCAAAAAAGATGTCACAATGAACAGACAACCATGTGTGAGGTCAGTCATTTTGCATGATGCATGTAATCAAAAAGTTTCAAATGTCTGCTTACTAATAAAGAATGTTTTCACCAAAAAAAAAAAAAAAAGACAAATTTCTGAAGGTTATTTAGTCTGGGGCTCTACTTCTAAAATGTAAAGAAGTGATATTCTTCTCCCACATAGTGGGATAGATTAAAAATTACTCATTAAGCTTTATTTAGCTGTAACAATCCTATGAGTTAATCAGTAAGCCGGGTCATAAATTCAGGCCAGTTTTCCACGGGGACTCTCTTGAGTTATGAAAGAGAACACAATGGAAGACACTGGCTCCCACACAAGGAGTCAAGGCCACCACAGCATGGCATCCTCTGAGAATTCCCCTCTAAGTCCAGGTGCCACAGGTAAAAGAAACAGCGAGACACCCAATGATCTGTCGAACTCTTATAGCACACAAGTACAAAGGCAATAATTTGTTCTTCTGAAATTTTTCTTTTTAAAAAAATATTACTGGACACTTCTAATGCCATAAAAAGCAATAAAACAGATATATAATAATTTGCATCAGATAATGCAAGATTCAAAATAAATTCCAATGTCCTTACTAATAAAAATTTTAAGGTGTATTTCGTCTGGAGACAAGCTGCTAAAAATTGCTCTTCACAAACTAGGAGCTAAGAGTAGGAGGTAAGCCTTAGACACTCAGGCGCGCTAGCATTCCAGCATTGACACCAGAACCAATTTAAACAGCCAGCCCTTCTTACTGGCAACTGATTTTCTTTAATTAAAAGATTTACAGATTCAAAAAACATACTTTCCCTCATGCTACAGTTTAAATTAAAATGGGGGAAAGTGGCATTCACTACCTCAAATGTCTTCTTTGATAATCCCTTCTTTTTTTTTTTTTTAAGTTCATGTCTTTTATTAACTCATACGCAGTTACTTGTCTTCTGGTTTGTTGAAGCAGTAGTCAGACAACATTTGCCACAATAATGTCTGTCAAAGTGACTTGCCATAAACACTCCAGCACCACATTCATCAGAAGGGCACTCTCGACGAAGGCAGCTCATTTTGTCATTCTCATCCACCTTCTAATACTTCAGGACAGCCAGCTTCCCCTTCTTTCTCTTGCGCTTATTCTTCTTGGGAGTGGGGTAAGACTCCTTCCTTTTCTTAGCACCACCACGAAGTCTCAACACAAGATGAAGAGTAAGCTCCTTTTGAATGTTGTAGTCAGACAGTACATCCATCTTCCAGTTGCTTGCCAGCAAAGATCAGTCTTTGCTGATCAGGAGGAATTCCTTCCTTATCCTGGATCTTGGCCTTTACATTTTCTATCATATCCAAGGGTTCAACCTTGAGGGTGATGGTCTTCCCCGTAAGGGTTTTTATGGAAATCTGCATTTTGGTGGCGGCTCCACCGCAGATGGCGGATCGAAAAGGAAGCCCCTTCTCTTACTATTTCTTAACAAGCTTAAAAGAAAACTTTAAAAACGTGGTAGGGATTTAGAATCACTTTGGTGGAATATGCTTCTTCCAAGTGTACTCATATTTCCCGGGAAACAATTATCATTCACAAATGTTCTAAGAATTCTTAGAAGATTCAGAACTATGAATGATATTGCTGAAGCTGACGAAGGCAAGTCTATTTTATTTATTTGATGTGTCTAACAACAGCTAGTGGAAATTAGTTTATAATCTAGATAGGATTTCAAAATACATTTAATTTTAAGATCACTATGTGCTGAAATGTTTAAAAGCTCATCAATGTTATTTGAACTTCATGAAAGAGAATGCAATTTTTAACATGAATCAATAGCTTATTAATTCTATTGATTATAATGAAAATATCACTGATAATAAAAGCAGCTATGAAATTATAGACAAAATTTACTTCTCTCTCCAGGCACATCCTCAATATTTTTTCCAAAATATTATAAAAACTTGTTTACAAACACATGGACGGTATATATATTTAATTCTACACATACAATGAAAAACAAATCTGTATTTTTCTGCTTTGAAGTCATCTGTGTAATCATTTTATCCCAAATTATTAAAGTATAAGATATGAAGCTATAAATCTCTCAGAGCTAAAGAGCATTCATCCCCACCACATACACCACAGTTCTTAGAAAACACATGGCAAAGAAATGGTTAGAAAACACACGAGGGGCTGGGCGCAGTGACTTGCACCTGCAATCCCAGCACTCTGGGAGGCTGAGGGCTGAGACAAGCAGATTACTTGGGCCCAGGTGTTCGAGACCAGCCTAGGCAACATGGCAAAACCCCGTTTCTACAAAAATTACAAAAAATTAGCCAGGTGTGGTGGCACGCCTATCGTCCCAGCTACTCAAGGGTGCTGAGGTAGGAGGATCACCTGAGCCTGGGAGGCGGGGTTTCAGTGAGCTGAGATCACGCCACGGCACTCCAGCCTGGGTGACAAAGTGAGACCTTGTTTCAGAAAACAAAAACAAAAATAAAGACAAAACCAACAAACACTACACACACACATACACACGCGCGTGCACAGAAAAGAAGCACTGCGCTTCGAGGCGCACCGCTGTTTATCTAAATCACAATGATTAACAACACAAGACATAATTAAGCTGCTTCACTGTACTACTTTTTGGTGGAAAAATCAAGCATATGTTGAAATAAAACTAGGTGTCTTATGATTTATGTATTTAAATGAAACTACGGGCAAATTATAACATCAACCTCTTCGACCCCTAAAACACTATCTTCAAAATTCTGCTTCAAAACTTTTAGATCCATCAATGGGGTAAAAGAGCCAAGCCCCTGAGAACATGCCAGCCCAGACATTAACTGGAAGAGACTGGCATACGCAAAAGGAAAGGGGCACGAAACACCATGGAGGCATAAAAAAGCGCAATGGGATCAAGAAAATGCAAGATATGCCTTTTTGCCTCATTTATGGTTGGAGAAAAAGTATTTTGTGCTAGAAATAAAGTTGAGAGGTAAACAAATGCTTGATAACAAGGGGATACTGCACAAATCAATAATCCAAGGAATGTGAATTTTTTCCTAAAAGCAAAGGGAGTCTACACTGTTCAAGAGAATGCAATAATCAGGGTTGTATTTTCCACAAGTCAGGCTGGCAAACCATGACATAGAGAATACAGCTCTCGAGCACCATGGTGGGAATACTGAGCCAAAACCCTGGGCAGCACCGCCCACCAGCACCTTCCGTGAGGGTGGGTGTGTTCTAATCTGTGATGTCCAATAAGGTAGCCCCTGGCCACATGTGGCTACTGGGCACTTGAAATGTGGCTTTGGTAGCCGAGGACCTGAGTCTGTGCTTGTATTTAATTTACTTTAAAACACACGTCACTGGTGGCTACCATGCAGGACACTGCAGTTTCAGGCTGCAGGTACAGACAACCAAGTAGATGACGGGCCTGTTCACCAAAACAGGGACAGAAAGAGGAGGCTCTTAAGAGGGAGAGATGCTGGACTCAACTTCAGACCCTGGGAGGGGACAGAGGAGAGGTCCCCAGGGACATCTCCTATTAAGCAGGTACACTTGTGTCTGGAGCTCCAGAAAGTTACTTAAACTAAAGACACAAATGTGAGAGTCACTAGAATGTAGCTGAAGCCACTTGTATGAAAGAGATTACCCAGAGGACCAAATAAAGAACTAAAAAACTAAGCAGGGCGCAGTGGCTCACGCCTGTAATCCCAGCACTTTGGAAAGCTGAGGCGGGAGATCACCTGAGGTCAGGAGTTCGAGACCAGCCTGGCCTACATGGTGAAACCCCATCTCTACTAAAAATACAAAAATTAGCTGGGCATGGTGATGGGTGCCCGTAATCTCAGCTACTCGGGAGGCTGAAGTAGGAGGATCGCTTGAACCCTGGAGGTGGAGGTTGCAGTGAGCCGAGTTCACACCACTGCACTCCAGCCTGGGCGACAAGGCAAGAGACTCCGTCACAAACTAACAACCCTAAAAAACTGAATACAAAAAGAAGTTTAGGAAAGAGTGAGAAAGAGGAGAAAAAAGAACCCACAAAGGAAACTGAGAAGCCCAAGTAAAGGAAAAATCACATGAATATGGTATCTATGAAAGAAGCCGCTGAAAGAGTCAGGAAAAGGAAGGACGAGGAATGTGAAATACACACAAAGGCCAGGAATGCCGCGGGGCTGAGTGGGCACCGCAGGCCTCATCTACATGTAAGTAGGGTCACAAATGCAGTCAATGAAACTCTGAAACAGTACCCACTAAAAACCCCACGTATGCCAGATGAAAGCCAAGCACTTTTCTAACAGGCTATCTTTGGTAGCCTACTTTCTTATTTTAGTTGTCTGATACTGCAGTAGAGCCTTTATTTTTTGCCCCCTTAAAATATAGCCAGTGAATATTTAATCATATTTTAAAATAGTGGATATTAAAAATGTTAAATCCAAATTTCCACGTCCAATGGTAATATATCTAAAATTTCCTCTCAGAAAAGGAGCTGGCAATTCATTTATTACTTAACCAATTTTAAAATATTAAGTCATTCACCTAATCCAAAACTTAAAAGTGATATAAAAATAGTGTACTCAGAAGAGCACTTCTGCTCCAGCCCCAGCTTCCTCGGCATATTCAGACACGAGTGTTCACTTTCATGAGTTTCTTGTATATGCTTCCAAGTTTCTTTATGCAATATGAATATATATTCCTATTTTTTCCATCCTTCTTATAGGAAAAGCCGGTTCTTCTACATACTGTCCTGTGTCTTCCCGGTTTTCATGTACGCATCTGTCTCGGAAATCTTTCCATGTCAGGGTACAAAGGTCTCCACATTCATTTGTACACCCTGACAATCAGTGTTAAACAGAAATTAAATGGCAAATCCTAACTCTGAAAATAAAAGGGACTAATATTAATCAGTGAGGGCCTGTGAATGAGTTATCAGCCTGGGAATATACTAATCATCTTTCAAATACTTTTTTAAAAAAATCAAAATTGAAAGCAGTTAAAATCTGTAACAGTTAGAGTAAGCCTACTTGCTCTTTCTAAATACTAGAACCTAATATGTTTAAGCCATAAATAAAATTCCTAGAGTAGTTTCTTAGAGGAAATAGGTGCTGTACTCATAAAATCAAGCCTACACAGAAAGTTCCTTCACCCATTAAACACCTTTTGGAAGCGGTTCTCTAGTAAACCTCAGCCCAGGGCAGTGATGCATTGAAATCCAGCAATTACCATCCACAGCAATGGGTTGTGCGACAATAAAAGCAAGTGTCCTGGTTCAGCTGCTGCGATCCTCAGATCTCACATCCTGCTCTCATGCAATTAGCCGGCAAAGAGCTAAGGACCTAATCTAGGAGCCACAGTTTCACTGACATCTACTTCCTCCGATGGTAATAAACACCAGTGAGTGAAGACAGCACCTCATTAGTTGGCCACATTAGTGTTTACAAGGCCATTTCAACCGATGGGTTCCTTACTTACAGTTCATTTCAAAGAATGCTTTCTTAGCCAACAGAAATCACTCTTTTCATATGATGGGATGGCATTTTATAAAAACAAAGAGAATTCTGTAGGGTAACGTGAATTAACGTCAGACCTGCTTACTTACTGACAGCTTTTGCCTATGCAACATCAGTCCCTTGGGTCCTAGCAGAACTACTACATATATTTTACTCTGTATCCAATTGAATACTTTTCTGTTAAATTCTCAAGAAACCACTAACATATCACTCAAATTGGAGGGAGAGAAAACAGTTCAAGATTATTGTCACAATTATTTAAGCACAAACAGGCCATATTTTTAACTTGCAGGTTTTGTTTTGTCTGAACCAAAAGTTTATTTCAAAGGCTGAAAAACAAAAATTTACTTTTAGGGATAAATTGTCAAGGACAATCTAATTAAAAGGGTACTATGAAGGCTGGGTGTGGTGGCTCATGTCTGTAATCCCAGCACTTTGGGAGGCCGAGGCAGGCGGATCACAAGGTCAGGAGATCAAGACCATCCTGGCTAACATGGTGAAACCCCGTCTTTACTAAAAATACAAAAAATTAGCCGGGCGAGGTGGCGGGCGCCTGTAGTCCCAGCTACTCGGGAGGCTGAGGCAGGAGAATGGCATGAACCCAGGGGGGCAGAGCCTACAGTGAGCCGAGATCGCGCCACTGCACTCCAGCCTGGGCAACAGCAAGACTCCATCTCAAAAAAAAAAACAAAAAACAAACACACACACACACAAAAACAAAAAATTAGCCAGGTGTGGTGGTGCACACCTGTGGTCCCAGCTACTCAGAAGGTTGGGGTGAAAGGATCGCTTGAGCCCAGGAAGTGAAGGCTGCAGTGAGCTATGATCACACCACTGCACTCTGGGCAACAGAGTGAGATGCTGTCTGAAGAAGAAGAAGAAAAAAAAAAACCCCATAAAACACGAGTACTATGAAAAAAGCCTAAAAAGATATGTAACATAGTGTTTCACTAATGCAGGTATGAGTCCAGCCTTTCAGATGGGTGAATAAACTCACATTCATAAGGTACTACAGAAAATATTACAGATAGGGTACTTGAGAGCCTCACGGGCCAGGAAAAGGTCTCAGTATTTGTTGGTTTAGAAAAGAAAAACACAAATTATTTTTTATGAAACGCTTGGACAGTAGAATATCCTACATCAATCTCTACCAGAAAAGAGCAGACAAAACTTAAGAGGAGAGCAATTCCCAGGGAGGAAGGTATGTTCTCTGGCTGGCACCCCCTGGCACAGACGCCCACGGACACTTGCCTGACTTTGGGTACCATCATGCGGTGCTGCACCATCAGCGTGTGGCAGACGGAGGCCATGGTGGTGAAGACCTCCTCGCTCGCAGAGTCCCTCCACACCAGGTTGAGCAGGGTGTTGGTCTGCTGCTTTGTGTCCAGCTTCTTCAGGCATTCCTCTGTTATGTATGATACTGACAGTCTGCCATCCTCCTAGAACATACCAGAACAACCAGTCTCCATAAATGTGCTCAACTGGAACGTCCTCTACACTACAAACATATACGAAATCACATTTTTCTTCGGGCAAAGAAAGCTAGGCATCATCTCAAAATTATCTACATCACAGTACACTTAGTGTGAAATCCTCTAGGGATCCAGTCAACAGTAGGCATCCATTTTGCCTAACACAGTAAACTCTGAATACCCGGTTTTTGCCTATGATATAACAGTAGCTTCAGTATTTACATTTCAAAAAAACTTCATTTCCTACTTTTTTTTTTTACATCAAGCTGCACTAAGACAACCATACATAGTGAAACTATCATCATCTAATGGCATTTTCATTTTAATTTGAGATCACAGTTTAAGCAAAATAAGTGAGAGTATTACATAAATTTTTTTTTTTTTTGAGACAGTCTTGCTCTGTCACCCAGACTGGACTGAGTGGCACAATCTCGGCTCACTGCAACCTCCGCCTCCCAGGTTCAAGCAATTCTCCCACCTCAGCTTCCCAAGTAGCTGGGACTTGCCCGCCTCCACACCCAGCTAATTTTTGTATTTTTAGTAGAGACAGGGTTTCACCATGTTGGTCAGGCTGGTCTCGAACTCCTAACCTCAAATGATCCAGCTGCCTCAGCCTTCCCAAGTGCTGAGATTACAGGTATGAGCCACTGCTCCCAGCCTATTAACGAATTTTTTAAAATCAAAGGCTACACAAATCTATTTTATACCTTAATCTCTCCAGAAGATTTGATTCACTGAATATAACCCAAGCCAATCTATGCAATTTACTCATTTGGGGCAGTAACCAAAGATATATACTTTTTTCATATGTATGTGTATATATGAATATATATATATGAATGTGAATATATATAACATTGGGTATTGCTGACTGTATTGTCTGGAAACTTGGATGAATACAATTTATATAATTTATAATAACTTACCAAACAAAACACTGTTTTATAGATAAAAGCAGTAAATTCATCTGTCAAACCTGAATCTTTAACATTAAGACTAACAAAAGTACATCAGAATGAGAAAGGAATCCTAGCACTACTATTTTTGTAGTGTACAATTTTAAAATAAATTGTACATAAGCTGTAAGTGAACAGATTATACAGAAACCTAAAGGCAAAAGAGCTTATCAAGGGTGAACTTTGACCTTGGAAAAATCTCATACAATCACATTAGGTTTTATATAATTAAGTGCCAGGGGAAAGAAAAGGCAACACAGAAACATACAGGTAAGAGACATGGCAAAGAAAGAATGACTTGCAGTGAAACCTATGAGTGCCTGGCTCAAAATGGGGTCTTTAGTTCTCAGCCCAAATGTGGACAATACCCAAGACAAAGGAAGAATGAAGAGAATAAACAAAAAAAGGAAAATTAAAGTATAAAGTTAAATAATACACAGACCTTGAAACCCTTATGTATTAAAAAAGAATATAGAGTAATATTTTCTATGGTTGTAAATAATTTTAAAAATCAAGAAACTGATCCCACTTCTTAAATGTTCAAAGTGTGAGCACGAGTGAGAGCCTGCAGGTGATTTCCCGGTTCACGGGTCCGCATGTTCTGCTTTCATCGTGTTTGCACACCCACAGCGAGGAAAAACCTGTCCTCTCTCTCGCTGAGAAAGCCCACAGCCTCATCTTCACATGAATACAAAATACACTGCATATAAATAAGGGTTTAATTTCACAAATTCTATGGGAGGTGACTATTTAATAACTTTCTTCCAAAAACAAAAATTTATCTACATTCCATCTACAGAACCCACTCTTTTTTATAAACATACAAAAAAATGAATACTTGTTGGTGTACAGTTTGGACAGATGCAACAGTTCCAGCATCCACTGTCCACTATAAAAACGGCTTCACTCCTTTGTCATCAGCCCACCCCTCAGCCATGAGCCCTGGCAGTGAATATCTTCTGTTCCTTTCTTTGTCTTCTCTTATTTTTTAAAAAAAATCAAGCCCTGAGCTGACTTATCGATCCTTTTCTTATTGCTGTGATCTCTTTCATTCGATACTAGTGAAGCTCTTTGTCCAGGAAGGTGCAGCACTGCACTGACACACCCACTTCACAATATTCTAAAAATTTACTTCACCTGGAAGCCCTGAGACCCTCTCAAGTATATTCTGTGATTACACTTAGTAGTAATCAATATAAAACTCCTTAATGAAAAAATAACAACTTATGATAGCCATACCTCAAGCCATTTCAATTGCTTAAGACCAAAAAAAGTCATTGGCGGTTAAATTCTTTAAGTAAAACACAAATTATGTATGCATGTATATATAATTTTAAAGTTTTTTATTCCCTGAAAATATACTGTAAACTCAATAGTAAGGAAGAAAAGAGATAAGAACTTGAAAGTAATTTTTAAGTAAATAACATTTATCCTCTATAAAATCAGCAGGAATTAATGGAAGACACTACCCGGTGTTCACAGGATAGGGTAAAAAGGATCTTTTTGACCCAACAATTTCACTTCCAGAAAATATTTCCTAATAACTAAGTTAACATATAGTATGATCCTATTTTGCCTAAAAAACCAAACACAAAGCTATGTGTCTCCATTTACACTTCCATGAACGTGCTAACAAAGCGGTGGGAGAGACTTTCCCATCACTAGAAACTGTGGTAGTGGGGCTGACGGGGCTTCTCTGCAAAGGCTGCTTGAGGGTCTGACTTGTGTAACTGAAACTACGGGTGGACAGAAAGCTAGAAGATCCGACGGGGCTGCCTGCATCGCAGCCCCCCAGATGCAGGGCACGGGGCTTACCGGGCTTGAGGGCTTGTCGGCTTCTTCACTCTCCTCCTCAGAGTCACTGGCTGAGTCGTGACAGCTCGCGCTGGCAGGAGAGACTGGTAACTGAGAGAGGAAGGTCTGCAGCACCCGCAAATACACCAGCAGCCCTTCCTCAGAGAGGGCCCCTTTGCAAAACAATCAGTTAAAACGTATTTTAGTTAAACATTATTTTTTAAAATGGAAAACGAAGACGCCATTTTTCCTCACACGCAGAGAGGCATTTCTGACCAGATCTTATTTTTAAAATTCTAACTGTGTTATAATAGGAAACATATTTAGATTTTGTCCCCGTTCATGTCAGAAAGCACCTACAACTCTTGTAATTTCTTGAAAGATAAAGAGTCTCTTGTTATTCATAGCCAGCCCTTTGTGATCATACTTGAGGTGACTTATGGTGAGGCCATCTAGGGGACTCAGAATGGGGCTTTTCACCAGAAAAACCAAGTGATCAGAGGGTTGGAACTTTCAGCCCCACGCACCAACTTCCAAGGGGCTGTCTGTGGGAGGGACACTGGAGAAGAAGCACCATAAAACTCAACAGGAAGACACAATGAGCTCAACACAGGGAGGTGCCGAGAGTGTGGAGTGCCTGGAGAAGGCATGGAAGCTCCCCATTCCCGCACACCTCGACTTCCCGAGTTCTGTGAACTGTCTTAGTCAATTACCAATCCCAAGGAGGGGCTGAGGAACCCCCATTTTTGCAGGTTGGTCAGAAGTATAGGTGACAACCTACTACTTGTAATCGGCCTCTGAAGTGGGTGTAGTCTTGCAGGACTAAGCCCTCAGATGATGGGATCTGACATTATCTCCGGGTGGACGGCATCAGAATTGAACTGAATTGTAGAATACCTAGTTGGTGTCCACTGAAGAATTGCTTGGTGTGTGGGAAAAAAAACCCCACATTTCTGCTCACAGAATTTTTCAGTGTTGAGTGAGAGAGTAAGAAAAACAGTTTGGGCTGGGCACAGGGGCTCAAGCCTGTAATCCCAGCACTGTGGGAAGCCGAGGCGGGTGGATCACGAGGTCAAGAGATTGAGACCATCCTGGCCAACATAGTGAAACCCCGTCTCTACTAAAAATACAAAAATTAGCTGGGTGTGGTGGCGTGCACCTGTAGTCCCAGCTACTCAGGAGGCTGAGGCAGGAGAATCACTTGAACCCGGGAGGCGGAGGTTGCAGTGAGCTGAGATGGAGCCACTGCACTCCAGCCTAGTGACAGAGCGAGACTCTATATACCCCCCCGCACCCAACCCCCAAAAGTTTGGTTTTCACATTTTCCTATATTTCTTTCATGAATAATTCATGCATGTATGTATGTATGTATGTTTTCAAACATACTACAGGAAGATGTTATTCTAGAAGAGGCACACTGGAAATTTAGCAGAGGGAGGGAAACAGGCCTGACTCACAGAAGAGCTTTCCCATTTAACTCTGTTAACTCTATTAAAATAATCTGTGTGGCCTCATAAGACACATATATATGTCAGTCTTTTCCACTGTATCTGGAAACTGTCCCCAGGAACACACTGCCCAGACCACATCCCTCCAGCAAATACACTCCTCCAGGAGAGGCCCACCTTTCCATAACACCTGCCACTGCATGGCCTTCTCTTGACTCATCTGCCAATGCTACCCATATGTGTGTTCAGGTAAAAAAGATCTTGTATTTCATACCCAAATAATTTTCGCCAACAGTTAAAACGAAATAGAAAAGCCAGGGTGCTCCACCACTCTTTCTTGAACATCTACTCTCTATTAACAACAGTGCATTCAGAAAGGGCTCGTAAGGGAAAACGGTCTGCGCATCTGCAAGCGCCGGAATGATGAAATGAAAAATCTGATCTGTAAAAGGTGCTGCCAGAAACTCCTCTGTGAAGGCTGTAAAAACTTGTTGCCTGAAAAAGAAAAACAGAAGCTTTTTATAAAATCAAATTATACTGTCCATCCAATCACTGATTAAAATCACCTTTCAAAATATCCTTCTAAAAGGATAATCTACTCTTCTAAATTAGCCAAGTTAACCATTTTAATATCAACTAGATCAACCTAAAGTAAACTTAATGTCTTCTCTATTAAGATAACTACCATGTTTTCGTTAATTTTTGACAGTTACTTAGAAAAGCAGGAAAATAACCATGTTATCAGAATCACAAATTTGTATTAGGCTACAGGCCAGAAAGAAAAAGTACACTTTCCTATAAACTAAATCAACACTAATAAAGTAAAAACCTGAATTTCAAGTCTATATTTAAAATCACATCCTATGTAAAAGTTACCATCAGATATAGATCTTGTGAAAGGACAAAATCAATAAATCCATTCCAGTCTCACCTCGCACCTTCCGGACAGGAGTTGTAAGTAAAGTGCAATGGTTTTAGAACATTCTCTAGCAAAATTTTTGCTATAGGAACTCGAGATAAATCAGAATATTCAATACTTGATGGAAGCTTGCTGTTAATCAACAAATATAGAGACCTATAATACCCTAAAAGGAAAAACACATATTTAAAATTTAGTGCCTTTTCCTGTAATAAGGGAAAAAACTTGCCAATTTTTAAATGCTTTTAACCATCTCTACAGGTCCAAACTTAAGTTAGTTCTTTAACATGCTAGCAAGGAAAACTAAACAAATATATAGGCAGCCGAACGGTATACAAACCTCATGTACCAACAACTGTCAACTACAGCCAATCTCATTTCACCTGTATACCACTCATTTGGAAGGAAGTCTAAGATATAATTATTTTAGTGTATCATTAAGAGACTATTTTTAAAAACATTATCACAGCTAAAATAAATGAAGAGTAGTTCCTTAACATCACAAATATCTAGTCAGTATTCAAGTCTCCAACTGTCTCATGTTAGAAATTCTATTTAACTAGTTTGCTTGCATCAGGAAGGAGCTCAATAAGGACCACATATTGTGATCTTATAATTTGTCTCTGATTTGTGCATTTTTTAAACACCGTGTTGAATTCATAGAGTTGAACATATTGGTAGGTTTCATTCCACTGTAGTCCTGACCTCATGCTGCTCCACCTGGGGCCCCGGGGTGGGCTTTAGGAGGCTCCTGAGCCCCAGGGTCACTGGCAGTCCTGCATCCCGCCCTACAATCAGCCTTTTCTCCAGAAACTCTTAAGCTCCTTTTAGAGGAGATGATGTATTTGGAGACCACAATCTGGGAACTGAAGAAGTTAACTGTTTAAAGGCAGCTTATACGTAAACTGAAACAACTTTCAGAACCTCTTAAAATATCCAGCCTACGCTTCTGATAGGAACTCTGGGTGGGAGGCAGTGAACATAACTCTGGGTATCAAGAATGATCCAAATCATATATTCTTTCAGAATCATTTACTCCATTTTTATAGAATAAGAAGGTTCAGGTGCAATTTTTGAGTATCTCATCATATACAAGCGTATTTGGTAGCACATTAAAAACAATCCATCTGCATGGGCTAGTTTTTGAAACAGTCCTACACAGCTTCGTATTTGAGTGAAGATCACCAAACAATGCATACTCAGTACTTTATCATTAGACCTACTTTGTAACTACCCCAAGTCTAACCTAGTGTATACTGATAACTAGTGAAACTCATATGAAAGCTTGAAAGCTCTTTTGCTATGAAACTAAAAAGATAAAAATACATCAAGAATTTTAAAAAATACACAGAGACTTTTTTAAAAAAGTGACTAACATAACTAACAATGTACTTACTGAATAGACTGACAACATGACAAAGGTTCTGTTGCAAATGTTAAAAAGCTTCATGGCACAGAATGTGCAATAACAATACAAATAATGGTAATACTATAATTTAAAAGGCTAAAATTTTATCGACTGTTAGAAAGTAAACAACTGCTGTACCACAGAAGATGCTAGAAGCGGCAGTTTCTGTGTAAGATTTTTAAGCATTTCGTATATTGGGACACATTTCAAATAATGCATATTTCTTAAATATCTTCCTTACAATTTTAGAAAACAAATACAAATTCTCAAACGCTTAGTCTTAAAACAGTATATATGTCAACTAACACAATGAACCACTTTTAATTATTAGTTTTTAAAAAGATCAAATTCCACAACTTTCAGTTTACTTTTAATTAACTCGGAATACTGTTTCCCTAAGTTTTCAACAAACTAAGGAGTCTAAAAAATAGTAACACGCCAAGCAGCAAGGCTGAAATGAGTATGCGTTTAATTTCTGTAGTTTTGACAGAGGACCAAGAGGACCAAGTGGTCCAGACTTCAAGTCCGTTAGATGTAACCCAGACTATGACTTCAGGTGAAGGAAAGCACAGCTGCTTATAATTCTGTCTGCAGCCACGGCTCTCCAGACCTCCCTTCACAACTAGTCTCACGCACATTTTTAATGCTGACAAATACTTCTCGAGCCCAGGAGTCCTGAAGTGCTTGGGTTTCTACCTATGAGGATGTCGAGACCAAAGGTTCTTTTGTGTTAGGATTTATACTGCTCACTTCATAAAATTTTTAAAAATCATGTTTATTTCATCCTTTTTCTCCAGAAAGTGTCACTAATGTGTCCTCAAGGGTTTCAGATGCAGTTCAGTATAGCTTCTACGATGCAGTCATTTTAGGAGCATTATCAATGTATTAAAACTTTAGCACTGAGTTAGAAAATTCAAACTAAATATCCTATTCTCTTCTACTGAACTAATGTGAAAGGACCTCACTCTTGGAAGAAAAATCATTTAACAAAATTTACTTTTTCATAAGGCTCTTGGAGTGATGTTCAACTCATACATTGGTGGCATTACCTTTCCCATTCACTCAGAATGACCAGGAGGTGGTAAGAGCCCTTCCTGGTCAGGTGAAGGACCGGCAGCTGCACTGCAGACACCAATCTTGGATGACGGGACAACTGATGAAAGCATATGTCAATTTTGGTTCACTTCCAAGCAAAAGAAAAAGGCAAAGAGAGTAGCATGTTTCTGAATTTTCAGAGTGGGTGGAGCCAAGGACAGATTTTGGAATCTGGGACTCTGGTGGGCACCTGTGGATGGAGCACAAGGCGTCTGGGACACCAGTACCGCTCTGACATTGAGACTGAGGGCACAGGCTCACAGCAGCAGGCTGGCCTCTGCTCACTCCCCATCAGGATGCTGAGCCACAGTTCTGATCCTGCCTACTACTTACCATTGTGAATCATGTAGTGCAAAATTTGTTCAATCACTGACACCACATAGCTAGCATCTTGTAAAACAGGCAAGTAAGTATTCTCAGACGAAAATACTTCAAGCATTCTCATTGGAAGTGCAACATTCAAACTGTCATCATTACAGTTTTGCAGCAACCTGTAAAAATGAAAAAAGTATTCACACACTTACAGGATGGCAAAATGTCACCAGTTTCCCCAAGTTACTCTCAGTGACAATGGTTAAGAAACTATTCCAGTACAAGATTATCTCTGAAAATAGGGACATCTTACAGATAGACAGGGAAATCATCCAACTAACATTCAGTCATTCAGACAGTTTTTAAAAGAATTCTCGTTATGTGCCAAACGGTATGCTGGCACTAAGTTCACAGACAAGAAAAATGGACAGTGGAGAAATGAACACGAAAAATTAAAGATTACAAAACACTGTAAGAAGTATTATAATCCATGAATTGTACCAAGAAGCTGCATTTAATTAAACTCAGATACGAATCTCTTTAACAGTGCATCTCATCTCCTTAAAGATGCTTTTGAGACTTTCCACGCCTGCAATATCCCCCAAATAGAACAATGATATATTTCTGGTCCTAAGTCAACTCTCATTTTGACTGAGGCTTCCCTTCTTACTATGAGAAGAACTGCAGGTTAACTATCCGTTTAGAGAGGGCAGCACAAGCAGTCGGGCAGGCCGCACCAATCAAGACACAGAGCACATCTGCCACTCCCGAAAGTTTCTTCTTGGCTGTCTCTAGTCCACTCCTCCCTCTTTCCCCCCACCCCAATCCTTTTTTCTATCAAAAACTTTGTCTAACACCGAACTTATTTTTAGATTTCTCCTGTTGCTTTCACAAGGTATTTTACAGCTGTTTTTCCTTTTTCTTAAAAAAAAAAAAAAACAGAATCCATCTGACCACACATCACCTTTAATGAGGGACCCAGGAGGCTGTTTCAATGCCTCACTGAAACTAACTTCTCTATGTGACAAAAGCCTTCTGCCCTGCCAGGAGGGGAATAACGTGCAGGGTTCTGGGTGGGGTGTGTCTACACGGCTTATCCGCTTACCGCAGGCTGCCTTCTGTCTCAACAGCCGCAAAGCCCAGGAGAGACAGGGGGTGAGGACCCAGCGGGCAGGCTGGGCAGGACACCCAGCCAGACCTTGTTTTGTCTTTGCCCTTTTCACAACTTTCCCCTCAGCACCACACTGGTGTCTCTCGAGGGGTGTACGAGTGCAGGAGGAGCGGGGCTACACATAACAAGCCGCTGGGACGCAAAGGGCAGCGGCGGGCGGTGGGAGAGCCTCTTGTCAACCTGGAAAAGTCAGCAGCATGTGTGCTGATAATCCCATGTGAGAGGTAAACCTGATAATGCAACAGAGAGAAGTGCTGGAACGGTGCCTCGTGTGAGAGACAACATAGGATGTAGCTCCAGGTTTATCGGGACAGCCTTGGACGGGAAAAGGATATCCATATTGTCAAGAGACAACCCACCTTAAAAAATGAAGTAAAAGATTTGAACAGACTCTTGAAAAAGAGCCATCTGAGTGACCAGTATGCTCCTGAGAAACACCCGTCATCATTAGTAATCCAGGAAATACAAATTCCAATCACAATAAAATACAGCTACACACCCATCAGAATGGCTGGGTTTTGACAAATGTCAATACCAAGGGTTCAGGATATGGAGGAACTGCGCCTCTCCTATGCTGCTGTCCTAAGTTTGGTAGTTTCTTCTAAAGTGAAATATATAACTACTATGTGACCCAGTGATTCCATGACTTCAGAAATGTTCAACGGCATTAAAAAATATGTATGTGATTAGTCATAAAAGGAGCTGCAGGTGGTTCTGGAAGGCCACATTTACAGAAAAAGAAAAATTCAATGTTCTGGCACGTGGCAGATAAGACTGTCGACTTACTAACATACACTTGAAGTACAATTTCTAACATTTACATTTTGTTAAAATTCCATTTCTCATCAAAAAGAATCAGTGCTCCTTAGAGAAAACAGCCCCAGGCCTGGGGCAGAGAGAGCACTTAAGGCTTTGTGACCTCACAGAAAACAAAGATCTCTCAAAATACAAATGAGGCCAAGCCAAGAAAAACGGGCTGCTTACAGGGTGCTCTCTACCTATAAGCAGACCATTAAAAGTCATCTGTCACACACTGTATTTTAAAAAATACATGAGACCTTACTGAGATTAAAGAGGAAAGATGAGGAGGAGTGTTTTCTTGTTGTTAAAGAAACATGGGTTTGGCTGGGCACGGTGGCTCACGCCTGTAATCCCAGCACTTTGGGAGGCCAAGGCAGGCGGATGACCTGAGGTCAGGAGTTTGAGACCAGCCTGGCCAACATGGCAAAACCCCATCTCTACTAAAAATACAAAAATTAGCTGGGCGTGGTGGCACGTGCCTGTGGTCCCAGCTACTTGAGAGGCTGAAGCAGGAGAACTGCTTGAACCCAGGAGGCAGTGGTTGCAGTGAGCCGAGATCACGCCACTGCATTCCAGCCTGGGTGACAGAGCAAGACTCTTATCTCAAAAATAAAAATAAATAAATAATAAAAAAAGAAACATGGTCTTGCTCTGCTGCCCAAACTGGAGTTCAGTAGCACAATCACAGCTCACTGCAGCCTCGAACTCCTGGGCTTCAGGTGTTTCTGGTATTAGAAATTTTTAAAAATAAAAGTTGGGAAAAGAATAATTATATTTACATATATCATGTATCAAAATTATTTGCTTATACAAATACATTCAAAAGTTACGTTAAAGGTGTTTTGCAAACTACAACCCACAGGCCAAACCAGCCCTAGGGCTGTTTTTTGTACGGCTGTTGAGTGAAGCATGATTCCTTTATTTTTAAAGAGTTGTAAGCAAAAGGCAAGAAAAATACATAATAGAGACCATATGTGGACCACAAACCCTAAAATATTTGCTATCTCGCCATTTACATAAAAAGTTTGCAAACTCCTGCTTCACAAAAAGAATGTATACAATGTGTTTTTCAAACTAAAAGTTTATTAAAGAAATAAGTTAGAAAAAATATGAATTACTGGCATCTAGGATCCTCTTGGTTCTCTCTTCTAATAGGTTCTTTATTCCTACCTTTGGTCCAGCTAAGTATTTTGGAAAAATCAGTTAATAAAGACTAGTTCTGACAGTAATCCTAAACAAATATTACAGACAGTGTCCAGAAAATTAAGTGAAATTATATGGAAGGCTCAGGATCATTTGAAAATTTTACTACAGTTGAGATATAAGCAATTTATTAAAAGCTGGTAAAGGTGTTATATTCAGGTAATGTAACTCACATCACTTACACGTGTTCTTTCGGACACTGAATGCAAGAAAGTCACGGCAGTGGCTTATGCTGCGTTCCTACATAAATAATAAAAAGCCTGATGAAAGGTGTATTCTAAAGATGGGGCTTTCAAACTGCATTTTGGTGGAGACCCCTATGGAATGGAATCATTCTCACACATCAGGAGTCCTCTTTTGGCTGGCCTTCCATTCTCCAGTAACCAGGATGGCCATCATTCACAAGATAATTCAAAGGCATCCGTGAAAGAAAAAGTCATCTGAAAGATACTGAATATGTGTCTTCATTTATACCTCATGCCGGCCTGAATCACCTACAGTAAAAATTGTAATATATACAGAAGTCCATGACCTCAAAAAAAAAAAAAAAAAAAAAGTATGGAAAAGCCACTGTCTCTGAAAATAAAAGTCAAAAGGTGTTCCCCTAGACAAGGTGATCAATACATTATATACGTTACTGACTTACAATAGAATTTTACCTGCAACAGAGGCTCATCAATCTTTTTATCTGAAATAAGCATGTAAGTCTCTCAGATCCATCCAACTGCTTGACAAACAGAGAGCTGTGTTTAATTAAGTTCTGATACAGCCATATCTGAAACAGCAAAACATAAAATATACAACTCTCAATGAAAATTTAATAGTTTGCTAATTTACATAATACCCCAAATTTCCTTTAGTGGCAATGCACATTTAATCAAACCTAATCAAAAGATGGTTAAGAAGTAAATATTCTAAGTCGGTTTTATTTAGAGGTATGTGCATTTTCCAGCCAGGCACAGTGGTTCACGTCTGTAACTTTGGGAGGCTGAGGCAGGCAGATCACCTGAGGTCCAGTTCAAGACCAGCCTGGCCAACATGGTGAAACCCTGTCTCTACAAAAAAATACAAAAATTAGCCGAGCGTGGTGGCACACATCGGTAGTCCCAGCTATTCGAGAGGCTGAGATGGGAGGATCACTTGAACTTGCGGGGTGTGGGTGGAGGTTGCAGTGAGCCAACATCAAGCCACTGCACTGCCTGGGCGAGAGAGAGAGAGACCCTGTCTCCAAAAAAACAAAAGTATTTGCATTTTCAATCTTAAAATAACACATCAGTATTAAATTACTAAATTAGTAACTAAAACAAAGTACACTTAAAGCTCATGTCAATCTGAAACAAAAATAGTTCACTTGCAAATATCAGAAATCTGTAATAAAAATATATGAGAAATACGGTATTTCTCATATATTAGGCATAAGTCTCATGCCTTAGCCTCCCAAGTAGCTCGGATTACGGGTGCCCGCCACCACGCCCAGCTAATTTTTATATTTTTAGTAGGGGCGGGGTTTGCCATGTTGGCCAGGCTGGTCTCGAACTCCTGGCCTCGAGTGATCCACCAACCTCAGCCTCCCAAAGCGCTGGGATTATACACGTGAGCCACCACCCTCGGCAAAGATAGCCTCTTAAGTGTAGCTAGTCATAAATACGCCACATAGCCTTGTCTTTGCCTATATTTTTAAGTAGTTTCTTCGACATTAACATTTCTTTGCCATAAAACGTTATTAAACAATGAAATTACCAACACAAAAGCACTCTGCATAATAAATTAGCGCATGTCTTAAACTGGGATGAAATAATTCTGAACTACTCCGAATATTAGTTAATTTGCCTACACACAGGCTTTCTCTTGAGGTGTTTGGAGCCACCTTGCCCACATTTTCTCAGGAATGAATAAGGTATGAATACTCCCTTCACCATCTGACATGTAGTTCGTCCTAAAATTTCTATTATCAGTTAACAAATAAGATGTAAAATAACTATACATTATATAATAGGACTGTTGGAAGAAGACTTTATCAAAAGATTCAAAGAAAATTAAGCAACTAAAAAGTGAGGCAATTAATTCCAGAATTAAACTATACATAAAATATAATCTTAGTACCATATTTGACTTAAAGTCGTAAGAAAAATTTTTTAAAAAGGAGGTGAGGAAGAAATAGCCATATATGTTGATTTTTGCATAGAATAACTTTGAAAACCCATCAAAAGTGGCATTATGCTTACTCCTAGAGTAGAAGGCAAACAATGTGAAGACTGGGGCAGGAGACATTTTCCCCTACGTTAAGATTAATTTATTGCTATCGCATCTATGCTTGAGAACTGAATCAACATTCAACCGCCCAGGCTGGAGTGCAGTCGCAGGATCATAGCTCACTGCAGCCTTGAATACCTGGGCTCAAACGATCCTCCTGCCTCAGCCTCCTAAGTAGCTGGACTACAGCAGCAAGCTACCGCAGCCAGCTAATTTATTTTTTGCTTTGTTTTACAGGTGGGGTCTGGTATTTTGGCCAGGCTGGTCTCAAACTCCTGGCCTGAAGGGATCCTCCCACCTCAGCCCCACAAAGTGTTGGTATTACAGGCCTGAGCCACTGTGTCCAGCCCACTTTTCTTTTATCCTTTTCCTGGACTGGTCTTATGACATTTAATTCTATTTCAGGTTTCAGAATCTGCACATGAGCAATTTGCTTGATATTTGCTCGAGGCCGAAAGTCAAATATGTTCATTTACCTCCAAGCTTTTCACAGATGGCTTCTGAAGCAAGACTGTGTAGCTACACCATGTCGTGACTGATGACTAAGATTGAGGACCTCACTCAAAGGCAATAGGTGCTCTGGAGAGACACCAATCGACATCTCACAGCACCTGCCTGTCTGTGCTCCTTGGTGATCTTGTAATCTACAAGATTAGAGTATGTGAGGCCAGGACATCCTGTTCCAGAAAGCAAGCCCGATTATCTGCCGTTGTACTATTCTGATTCTTTTTTTCAACAACTTCAGAAAGCAAGCCTGGAAAGAGCCTGCACTTAACTGAAGTCCAGAATGGGTAGATTCAACGGCTTTCACTGCCTCTCTAGACTGGCTCTCAGTTCCTTCTCTGCACGTTCTCGGTTTACAGAAAGTCTTCACCATGTTCCACCTTAGCTCAACTCTGGAGGCAATGCTGGGTTTTAAAGCCAAACACTAGAGGAATAATCATGTATTCCTTTGTCCGCTGTAATTAATTCAAGTAGGATCATTCTAGTAGGGATGGTTTGTAGCGAGGAAGACTTATTTTTCACTGTATACTCCCCTTTCATGCAATTTGAAATTTTTAACACAGATAAACAAAAATTTCCAAAAATAAATTATATATTTAACCTGGCTGGGTGTGGTGGTTCATGTCTGTAATCCCAGCACTTTGGGATGTCAAAGCAAGTGGATCACTTGATGTCAGGAGTACAGACCAGCCTGGCCAACATGGTGAAACCTGACTCTACTAAAAATACAAAAAAATTTAAGCTAGGGGTGGTGGCATAAGCTTGTAACCCCAGTTACTCAGGGCGCTCAGGTAGGAGAATCGCTTGAACCCAGGAGGCGAGGTTGCGGTGAGCTGAGATCGCACCACTACACTCCAGCCTGGGCGACAGAGTGAGCAAGACTCCGTCTCAAAAAGGAAAAAAAAAAAAGATAAATAGCATATTTAACCTAGGCCAGGTGCAGTGCTCATGCCTGTAATCCCAGCACTATGGGTGGCCGAGGCAGGTGGATCACCTGAGGCCAGGAGTTCGAGACCAGCCTGCCCAACATGGCGACATCCCATCTCCACTAAAAATACAAAAATTAGCTGGGCGTGGTGGTACACGTCTGTAATCCCAGCTACTTGGGATGCTGAGGCAGGAGAATCGCTTGAACCCGTGAGGCGGAGGTTACAGTGAGCCGAGATGATGCCACTGCATTCCAGCCTGGGTGACAGAGCAAGACTCTGTCTCAAAAAAAAAAAAAAAAAAAAAAAAAAAAAAAAAAAAAATATATATATATATATATATATATATAAAATATTTAAAAATGTATATAACCCAACAATTATATACAAATCTCTTAATATTCCTTGAGAAAATGGACAGTAACAAATTCCATTTTTTAAAAAAATTATTCTTCTATGCATCTGGTTGTATTTTCCACCATTAATACACACTGTTCCTCAGCACTGATAAGATCAACAGCCTACAAAATTTTAGAGAACTACGATTACATTTGGGATTTTTTTTAAAAACATGAGACCCTAAGGCTGGGCATGGTGGCTTATGCTTATAATTCTACCACTTTGGGAGGATGAGGTGGGAGGATCACTTGAGGCCAGGAGTTGGAGGCTAGCCTGGCCAACATGGTGAAACCCTGTCTCTACTAAAAATACAAAAATTAGCCAGGCATGTTGGTAACACGCCTGTAATTCCAGCTACTTAGGTGGCTGAGACACCACCGATTGCTTGAGCCCGGGAGGGGAAGGTTGCAGTGAGCCAAGAATGCACCACTGCACTCCAGCCTAGGTGACAAGAGCAAGGCTCTACTCCCTCAGTGCCCTCCCCACAAAAGAGACCCTAAATCATGTACAGTGGCTCACGCCTATAATTCCAGCACTTTGAGAGGCCAGGGAGGGAAAAATCACTTGAGGCTAGAAGTTCACGACCAGCCTGGGCAACATAGCAAGACCTCATCTCTACAAAAAAAAAAATTAGCCTTAACATTAACAAGGTGTACACACACCTGTAGTCCCAGCTACCTGGGAGGCTGAGGTGGGAGGACTGCTTAAGCCTGGGAATTCAAGACAACTGAGTAAGACCCCATCTCTAATATAATAATAATAAAATGTAAACACTGAGACCTTGTATTTTAGAGTTTGCAAGTAATCATGATGTGGTATTCAGGGTGCACGTCCCACTGACCTAGGCGTGCTGGCAACTGCTAAGGCTGTGTCAGGGTACATGATAGGTGGGCAAAATATTCTGCTTTTTAAATGCTTAAGGTTTTCCACTGCAAAAAATACGAAAAAGCCTATTTTTGGATACACATTTTTATGTGTATCAAATTTTAAGAGGTAAAACACATCACCACATAGGTAACCTCTCACAGCTAGCTGAGAAGTTTGCAAAGCCTGGATGCAGTGGAGAGCTGTTTAACTTTCTGATGAGAAGCCATTTCCACTTTAAACAAAAAAGCAGAACACGTGTAAACGAGGACAAGTGAAAATGTAGTTAACACTCACCAAACGTTTTGAGTCTTCATTTTGTTTGTAAAAAAACAGAAGCTGCCTTACCAAAAGGGTAAGGTTGGGGCCATTAGCAATGGGAAAAGCGCCCCCGGACTGTGACAAGGTAGCACAGCGATCAAATGCACTTCTTTGGATGGAATACTGGAAGAAAAACAAAACAAAATGACCCATAAATATAGTATTTGGACACACAATTCTTATGATGTAAATATACGTTGCTGTGTTTACAGGAATGGTGGAAATTGACAACGAAAACACCATTATCGGTCCTTGCTCACAGTTGAATTGTAGAAAAAAAATGGTTAAAAAGAAAAAAAAAAAAAAAAACCAGGCATGGTGGCTCATGCCTTTAATCCCAGCACTTCAGGGGGCCAAGGCAGGTGGATCACCTGAGGTCAGGAGTTCAAGACCAGCCTGCCCAACATGGCGAAACCCCATCTCTACTAAAAATACAAAAGCTAGGCAGGGCACGATGGCTCACACCTGTAATCCCAGCACTTTGAGAGGCCGAGGTGGGTGGATCACCTGAGGTCGGGAGTTCGAGATCAGCCTGGGCAACATGGTGAAACGCCATCTCTACTAAAAATACAAAAACATTTAGCCAGCTGTGGTGGTATGCACCTGTAGTCCCAGCTACTCAGGAGGCTGGGGCAGGAGAATAGCTTGAACCTGGGGGCAGAGCTTGCAGTGAGCCAAGATCGTGCAACTGCACTCCAGCCTGTGTGACAGAGCAAGACTCTCTCAAAAAACAAAAAACAAAACAAAAACAGGCCAGGCGCAGTGGCTTATGCTTGTAATCCCAGCACTTTGGGAGGCCAAGGCAGGCGAATCATTTGAGGTCATGAGTTCCAGACCAGCCTGGTCAACGTGGCAAAACACCGACTCTACTAACAATACAAAAATCAGCTGCACGTGGTGGCACATGCCTGTAATCCCAGCTACTCGGGAGGCTGAGGCAGTAGAATTGCTTGAACCCAGGAGGTAGAGGTTGCAGTGAGCCGAGATCATGCCACTGCACTCTGGCCTGGGCAACAGAGTGAGACTCAGTCTCAATTTAAAAAAAAAAAAAAAGGATCTCTCATGACTTCCTTCTATTTTGATTTTCAACTGTGGTGAGGCCCATGTTTGTATTTTATTATTTAAAAATTACCTAAAAACTCACCTATCTATAAATCTTCACAATAATTAGAACAAATAAAATTATTTATTGGGAAGAATACTACTGTCAGCATTGACTTCAATTAACAAGGTGTACAAAGATACCATATTTAAAATAAGCTCTCCCATGCCCTACTAATCTCCTCATTTTAAAACAAACTTACTTGCTGTTTTCTGTCTCTATAGCCTCGAATAAATGACTGGATAATTATTGCATTTTTCAACCTTCGCCTTTCTTCCTAAACAATAAAAGGAGGAGTGAGGGAGCAATTGGTCAGAATCCAGTGAAAATGACATTTTGCTAGTAAAGACTTTAAAAACACTAACAGCTATGTAATTCACATACCATAAAATTCATTCTTTAAAAGGTAACACCCACTAAATATGCATTTAATATATTAAGAGCTATGCAACCATCACCACTGATCTTAGAATACCTTCATCACCACAACCAGAAGCCCCGTCTCCATTCGCAGTCACCCCCCGTTTCCTGCCGTCCCTTCTCTTGCCCCTGGCAATCACTCATCTACTTCTATCTTATGGATGTGCTTATTCTGGACACTTCATATAATGGAATCATACAATATGCTGTGTCTGGTTTTCTTCACTTAGCATGATGTTTTCAAGATCCACCTATGTTACAGCATATGTGAGAACTTCATTCCTTTTTAAGGCTAAGTAAGAGTAATGTTCCATTGTATGGATGGACCACGTTGAATTCCTCCATTCATCTACTGATGGACATCTGGGCTGCTCCCACTTTGGTCTATTATGAATTAAGGCTGCTATGAACATTCATATATAAGTTTTGTTGTGGATACAGGTTTTCATTTCTCTTGAGCATAAACCTAGAAGTAGAGTTATCATTGAGGAATTGCCACACTGTTTTCCAAAATGGCAATACCATTTTACAATCTCACCAGCATAGTAGGACCTTTTTTTTTTTTTTTTTGAGACAGAGTCTTGCTCTGTCGCCCACTTGATCTCAGCTCACTGCAAGCTCCGCCTCCTGGGTTCACACCATTCTCCTGCCTCAGCCTCCCGAGTAGCTGGGACTACAGGTACCCGCCACCACACCTGGCTAATTTTTTGTATATTTAGTAGAGACGGGGTTTCACCATGTTAGCCAGGATGGTCTCGATCTCCTGACCTCATGATCCTCCAGCCCTGGCCTCCCAAAATGCTGAGATTACAGGCATGAGCCACCGTGCCCGGCTAGCAGGACTTTTTAAAGTTTTAAATATTAAAGGAATACAAGCAGACAACACCAGCATCTATTTTAAAGGTCACTTTCTTGTTTCAAGAGAAAATTCCAATTTTCATTGACTTGAGAGTATCTTTAAAATGTTCAGCGACCTGGCAAAAATATGCGTTCTTCATCATTGTTATGACCAGTGCTACTGCTGTTGGACAGCCTACTACTATGTGCCAGCCCTATGAGAGGCACTTTAGGCCAGGCATGGTGGCTCATGCCTGTAATCCCAGCACTTTGGGAGGCCGAGGCAGGAGGATCACAAGGTCAGGAGATCGAGACCATCCTGGTTAAAATGGTGAAACCATACCTCTTCTAAAAATACAAAAAATTAGCCGGGCATGGTGGCGGGTGCCTATAGTCCCAGCTACCAGGAGGCAGAGGCAGGAGAATGGCGTGAACCCGGGAGGTGGAGCTTGCAGTGAGCCGAGATCGCGCCACTGCATTCCAGCCTGGGTGACAGAGTGAGACTCCGTCTCAAAAAAAAAAAGAAAAGAGAGAGAGAGAGGCATTTTATATACAAATGCACAGTCATCTTACAGGTGAGCATCACTTCCAGTTTAAAGATGCAGAAACTGAGACTGCTATAAAAATTAAGCAACACCCAAAGATGTAAAGCAGAATTCAAACTCAGGTATGATAATAAAGCCTGTACTCCATCTCACCATACTACCTTGTTTCATGTCTTCTATGAATGCCATCTACAAAGCTGAGACTAACACACACACTGTGGGATTCAAGAACACCATCAGGTCATGTAGATGTAGTTCCTGGGCTTGAAATGGTTATAAAAAAATCCTGTGAGGTCGGGCATGGTGGCTCATGCCTGTAAACCCAGCACTGTGGGAGGCTGAGGTGGGCAGATCACTTGAGGTCAGGAGTCCCAGACCAGCCTGGCCAACATGGTGAAACTCCATCTCTACTAAAAATACAAAAAATTAGCTGGGCATGGTGGTGCACGCCTGTAATCCCAGCTACTTGGGAGGCTGAGGCAGGAGAATCACTTGAAGCCAGGAGGTGGAGGTTGCAGTGAGCTGAGATCATGTCACTGCACTCCAGCCTGGGTGACAGAGCAAGACTTTGTCTCAAAAACCACCACCACCACCACCACCACCACCACCAACAGGAAAAAGCGACTTTCACCAGATGCACATGGCAATGTAAGGATGCTGGAAACATGAAAAAACAAGGAAATACGACATCTCCAAAGGAATACAATAATTCTCCAACAATAGATTTTAATCAAATAGAAATTTTGAAAATCTCAAATAATTCAAAATATTGATTTTTTTTTTTTTTTTTGAGACGGAGTTTCACTCCAGGCTGGAGTGCAACAGCGTGATCTCAGCTCACCACAACCTCCGCCTCCCGAGTTCAAGCAATTCTCCTGCCTCAGGCTCCCGAGGAGCTGGGATTACAGGCATGCGCCAGCATGCCTGGGTAATTTTGTATTTTTAGTAGAGATGGGGTTTCTTCATGTTGGTCAGGCTGGTCTCGAACTCCCAACCTCAGGTGATCGGCCTGCCTCGGCCTCCCAAAGTGCTGAGAATACAGGCGTGAGCCATCGCGCCCAGCCCTCAAAATATTGATTTTAAAGCTCAGTGAGATACAAGGGAATTCTGAAAAATACAAAGAAGTCAGAAAAATAATTCAGGATATAAGTGAGCAACTTACCAAAGAGTAAGTATTTTTAAAAAGAATCAACTAGAAATTCTGGAAGTGAAGAATTCATTTAAAGAAATACAAAATACATTTGAAAGCTTCAAGACAGACTAATCAGGCAAAAGAAAGCATCTCAGAACTTGAAGACAGGTCTTTTGAAATAATCCAGCCAGACAAAAATACAGAAAAAAGAATGAGCAAAGCATTCATGACATTTGGGATAACATAAAGCAATAAAATATTCAAAGTATTGGTAACACCAAGGTCAAAGAGTCAAAGAAAGGATTAGGAAACCTATTTAATGAAATAATAGATGAAAACTTCCTGTCTCACAAGAGATTTAGACACCTACATACAGCAGACTCAACGATCTCCAAGCAAATAATCAGACTATCTAAAGTCAAAGATAAAGACTGAATTCTAAAAGCATCAAAAGAAAAGCAGCTAGTCACCTATAAAGGAAACCCCATCAGATTAAAAATCAAGAAGACAAACAATAGAAACAAACCCCACGGAAGATCCAATTACTGGAGTTTAAACATTGTCTTAAAAAATCTATAATTATGTTCAAGAAATTAAAAGAGAACTAAAGACTATATAAAAGAATGAAAGAAAATTCTAGAACTGAAATAACAAAAACTGAAATTACGAAGTCAATGGATGTATTTAACAATTAGGCAGCAGGGTGGCTCACGCCTGTAATCCCAGCACTTTGGGAAGCTGAGACAGGCAGATCACTTGAGGTTAGGAGTTCAAGACTAGCCTGCCCAACATGGCAAAACCCCATCTCTACTAAAAATACAAAAAATTAGCTGGGTGCGGTGGCGTGCACCTGTAGTCCCAGCTACTCGGGAGGCTGAGGCAGGAGAATCGCTTGAACCTGGAAGGCGGAGGTTGCAGTGAGCTGAGATCGTGCCACTGCAGTCCAGCCCGGTTGACAAAGTGAGACTCCACCTCAAAAAAAAAAAAAAAAAAGTCAATGCTAAAGAGATCAGCTGTAAATCAGAAATTAGGTCAGGTGAAAATATCCAAACTGAAGCAGAGATATTCAAAAGGATAAACACAGAGAAAAGCACATGAGGGAAATATGGGAAACGACGCAAAGGTCAAAAACATTTACAGTTTGCGTCCAAGTAGGAGAGGAGGAGAAGAATGAAGCAAAAGCACTAATGGAAGAGATAATGGCCGAGAATTTTCCATAAAACAAGATTAAAAACACCAACCAACAAATATCTTTCTTGGTTGAGCAGTGCCCTCCCTGGGACATTTGGTAGTTTCTGGTGACATTTTTGGTTGTCACAACTGAGGTAACGGAGTGCTACTGGCATTTAGTGGGTAGAGGCCATGGGTGTTGCTAAACATCCTCCAATGTACAGAGCAGTTCCCCCCAACAAAGAATTATCTGTTCAAAAATGTCAGCACCAAGGTTGGAAAATCCTGCCTAAACTCTTTTCACTGTAACCACCTCAGAGAGCCCTTCCCCTAAACACCATCTCTAATATAGGCCCTTCCAGCTGTAATCACATTACTCTGTGGCCCTCACAGGTTTTGTCACCACCTCAGCATCCTGGTTCACGGCAGGAACCTTGTCTGTCTTATTCACTATCTGTATACCCAGCAAGCAGAGCAATACCTAGTACATACATAGTAAGTTCTCAATAAATATTTGTCAGGGGCCTAAATGAATTGTTAAAATAACAAAACAAAAAACTCTACCTAAAAAAGCAGGTCATAAGATAGTACAATTGCTGATTAATCAACAAAATAAAGCTATTTAAAGAAACTATCACAAGATATAACGTAGGATAAACAATAAAAATGTCATTAGTGTCTTTCTTTTACCTTCTTCACAAACAGTTAAGACACATGTCTTAACAGTGAGCTTTCTCCTTATGCTTCATGAAACATCAACATCATCAGCCAGACGAGGCAGTTCACGCCTGTAATCCCAACACTTTGGGAAAATGAGGGAGGCGATTGCATGAGGCCATAGTTTGAAATCAGCCTCGGCAGCAAAGCAAGACCCTATCTATGTAAAAATCTTAAAAATTAGCTGGGCATGGTGGCATGCACCTGTAGTCCCAGCTACAGGAGGCTAGAGCAGGAAGATCACCGAGCCCAGGAGGTCAAGGCTACAGTGAGCTATGATCTTGCCACTGCACTCCAGCCTGGGTCACAGAGCAAGACTCAGTATCTTAAAAAAAAGAGAAGAAAAAGAAATATGAACATTATATTTATAATACGGCTTTCTAGATCTTCTGGAAACCATATCATTATGTAAGTCAACCAAAAGCCCATGTTCCTTCTCCAGTCTGGAAACTGCCCTTTTAGTCCATCTCTTTCTACACCGGCTCCAGAATAAATGTTTCTAAAGCTAAACACACATACACACACATTCTGTCATATATAAAAAATACATACACACATACATATATACAGTAAAACCAAGGCATGTTTAAATGCTGTAGAAAAAATGCTTATCTACAGAGTATTACAAAACTGTTTTTACCTCTCTCTTTCTTCTTTCTTCCTGAGTACGATGTAAAAGAGAAGCCTTTTCCTCCTACACCCAAACAGAGAAAAAAGGAGGTAAGGTTATAATTTCAATTTTAAAACTCCCATACAAAAATTACAGAATGTTTTCACCCAAAAAAAGATCCTAAAGATCATCCAAACAAGCTGTCTTGACTTAATCAGATGAGAGAATCTGAGGCACAAGAAGTTAAATGGTTTCCCAGAGGTCACTAGATATAATACAAGTTAGTACTTCAGTAGTTTTTTAAGCATAAAATCTGATTTCTTCACATATACAAATGAGTACAGGTAAAACTGGGGAAATGTTGAGTAAGACTGGTGCTCCGTACCAATGTCAGAGTTCTAGCTGTGACATCTTACTAGCTTTGTAAAATATTACCCCAGAGGAAACTGGGTGATGTGGACAGGGGTCTCTGGGTATCATTTCTTTCCTTTTTTTTTTTTTTTTTGAGATGGAGTCTCTCTCTCTGTCGCCCAGGCTGGAGTGCAGTGGTGTGATCTCGGCTCACTGCAAGCTCCGCCTCCCGGGTTCACGCCATTCTCCTGCCTCAGCCTCCCAAGTAGCTGGGACTACAGGCGCCCGCCACCACGCCCGGCTAATTTTTTGTATTTTTTTAGTAGAGACGGGGTTTCACTGTGTTAGCCAGGATGGTCTCGATCTCCTGACCTCCTGATCCACCCGCCTCGGCCTCCCAAAGTGCTGGGATTACAGGCGTGAACCACCGCGCCCGGCCATCTCTGGGTATCATTTCTAACAGCTGCATATGAATCTACAATTATCTCAATAAAAATTTCAATGAAGAAATCAATTTCTTTGATGAAAATTTTTTTTCATAAATAAAACTAAGTTTTGAACAAAATGACTTGGTTTGTAGAAGGAAGTGAAAGAATAAAAGGAAAACTTCAAATAAATGAAAAATACTTAAACAGAACCCTCTTCTCCCCCAAAGACTGTTCCAGTCTTTAGTGTATGGACATTTTATTTTTGTAAATTTCATCCAAAATAAAATTAAAGGTCCAGGCTGGGCAAGGTGGCTCATGCCTGTAATCCCTGCACTTTGGGAAGCCAAGGCAGGAGAATCACTTGAGCACAGGAGTTTGAGACCCTGCCTCTACAAAAACTTTTTAAAAATAGTTGGGTGCAGCAGTATGTGCCCGTAGTCCCAGCTACTCAGGGGGCTGAGGTGGGAGGATCACTTAGGCCCAGGAGGTCAAGGCTGCAGTGAGCCAGGATTGAGCTACCACTCTCCAGCCTGAGTGACAAAGCAAGATCCTGTCTCAAAAAAAAAAAAAAAGTTCAAGATTGGAGACACTATATATGAATCATTACAAAAAAATAAATTTAGGCTGGGCACGGTGGCTCACGCCTGTAATCCCAGCACTTTGGGAGGCCGAGGCGGGCAGATCATGAGGTCAGGAGTTCGAGACCAGCCTGGCCAACACAGTGAAACCCCGTCTCTACTAAAAATACAAAAATTAGCCGGGCATGGTGGCACATACCAGTAGTCCCAGCTACTCGAGAGGCTGAGGGAGAAGAATCGCTTGAACCCAGGCAGTGGAGCTTGCAGAGAGCCAAGATCACGCCACTGCACTCCAGCCTGGGCAACACAGCAAGACTCCGTCTCAAAAAAGAAAAAAAAATTAAATATCTTAAGAGATATACTTTATCAGAACAGTGTCAGAGAGTAGTTAAGCCAACTTAAAATTATACACTGATACATGAACTAACAATATTCAGAATCAAAGTTTCTATCCTTTTTTTCTAAATTGAGACAGAGTCGTGCTCTGTCACCCAGGGCTGGAGTGTAGTGGCGATCTTGGCTCACTGCAACCTCTGCCTCCCGGTTTCAAGCAATTCTCGTGCCACAGCCTACCGAGTAACTGGGACTACGGGTGCATACCATCACACCTGGCTAACTTGTATTTTTAGTAGAGACGGGTTTTCGCCACATTGGCCAGGCTGGTCTCGAACTCCTGGCCTCAAGTGATCTGCCCGCCTTGGCCTCCCGAACTGCTGGGATTACAGACATGAGACACCATGCTTGGCCTAGAATCAAGTTTCTAATTGCCAAAATGTAAAGCCAGACTTGGCGCAATGGCTCATGGCTATAATCCGAGCACTTTGGAAGGCCATGGAGGGCAGATCACTTGAGCTCAGGAGTATGAGACCAGCCTGGGCTACATGGTGAAACCCTATCTCCACAAAAAATACAAAACAAATTAGCAAGGCATGGTGGTGCATGCCTGCAGTCCCAGCTACTTGGGGGTTGAGGCAGAAAGATCACTTGAACTGGGGAGGCTGAGGCTGCAGTGAGCCGAGATTGTGCCACTGCACTCTTGCTGGAGTCACAAAGCGAGACCCTGTCTCAAAAAAAAAAAAAAAGTAAAATCAAAGAAATTAATCCTCCAGATACTTTCTATCAAAGAAAATTTCACATAAAAAACCTTCATCACATGTCCAACAGCAGAAAAAATATTGTTTTAAACTTAATTAAAATGATTCATGATTGTTTACTTAATATTCTTTAATTTTTTAAACTTTTAGAAACTAATTTTAGACAAAGAAAAGCTACAAAAATGGTACAATTTCCCTTATCCCATATGTCTTACTCACTTCTACATTAAGCAGATACAATTATCCACAGGAAATTAACACTGATACAATAACATTAACTAATCTACAAACTTAATTAGAAATCCACCAATTTTCCCACTGATGCTGTTTATCTGTTCTAGAATCCTATCCAGGACCCCACATTATATTTAGGTACTATTTCTTCTTAATCTTCCTCCAATCTTATAGAGTTCTTATCTTCATCTTTCATGTCCTGGATGCTGTCCCTCAATTTGGGTTTTTCCAATACTCTCATGATTACAGTAAGGTTACGAAATAAGGATAGCATTAGATTTTAATCCATAGGATTATACGCACAAACACGCATCATGGACTCAATACTTACATAAATAACCAAATCAATAAACAAGGAAAAGAAAACTCTTTTCCTCACAGAATCCAGTTTAAAAATGTAGAAGGAAAGAGAAAAGCAGAAAACAGAAAAACACTGCAGACAAGATCTACTAATGTATGCTAAAATTAGTGGGCAAAAGTTTGAGGAGAAACAGGATTTGCCTAGTCTCAAAGTATCTCTCAAGATATAGATCAATTAACAAGGGAAAGACAGAAAATTTAAAGGGGAGAAATTTTGCAGACACCAACTAAGACATCAACTGGCTCAGTAATAAAACATAACGGCATAATGAACTACTACTTGGTACCATACAAATGATACAATCAACTATTGTGTTAGTCTTGCCAAAAAGACTCTTTTTAACCTAAATATATTTATCTTAAGGGGAAATCTTTCATCACTAAACAGAAAAACAGCATCACTGGTCACAAACAGAAGGCATCCCCCCAAATTAAATACAATGAAAACTGTATTTTTAAAGTTAAATTTGAAAGTGGCTGCTGCAGGGGCTCACACCTGTAATCCCAGTACTTTGGGAGGCCAAGGCCGGCAGATCGCCTGAGGTCAGGAGTTCGAGACCAGCCTGACCTACATGGTGGAACCCCGTCTCTACTAAAAATACAAAAATCAGCTGGGCGTGGTGGCGCGCACCTGTAGTCTCAGCTACTTGGAGGCCTGAGGCAGGAGAATCACTTGAACCTGGGAGGCAGAAGTTGCAGTGAGCCGAAATCATGCCACTGCACTCCAGCCTGGGTGATAGAACGAGACTCCATCTCAGAAAAAAAAAAGAAAAAAAAAAGTAACTACGGAATTACATAAAAATCTAACAAGTTTATTTATAAAAAGTCCTATCTGAAACTTGATTCCTCAAGGTAAAAGAAACTGTTTATAATCACAACAAAAGAATACGAGACGCTACGCTGCTTAGTTTAAGAGGAAGATTAGGCTCTATTAGACAGTTTTATTTTTAAATTTTGATATTAACCAAAGAATTCTGATTTACATGTCTGTAATTAGATCAGGCAAGCAAATGGTATTTATTTTTTTGGAGACAGAGTCTCGCTCTGGCCCAGGCTGGAGTGCAGTGGGGCTATCTTGGCTCACTGCAACCTCCGCCGCCGGGATTACCATGTGCCACCACGCTCGGCTGTTTCTGTATTTTTAGTAGAGACAAGGTTTCACCATGTTGGTCAGGCTGGTCTCAAACTCCTGACCTCAAGTGATCCACCCGTCTCAGCCTCCCAAAGTGCTGGTATTACAGGCATGAGCCATCGCACCCAGCTGCAAATGGTATTTAATCACGTTCTCTGATACAACTGGATTCTGAAAAGGAATTCCTAACCAAAATGCCATTTTGCTTTAACAAACTTTTGCTTCAAGAAACCATCCACAGTCTGATCTTTTGAATGTGTCCTTTTACTTGGTAATATTCACATATTAATAAAACAGGGTAGGGGGAGACTGTCTTTATCCATTCACCGCCACCAACTGGTTTAGGAAAACATTCATGGAGACCTTTAATCCTAATTCTGTTTTTTTTTTTTAATCTTTTCTTTTTTTCCCCACATGCCTGCTGTGTCAAATACTCCTAACTTTGTAAATGCCATATTCAAAATACTTTTTTCAAGTTTTCCACAATTCTTTCCTCCACAATCATGGTGTGTATGCCATGGTGAAAGTTTGACTCCACAAAGATGTGACACTCTTCTTGAGATAACAGTCAAGGAGAGAGAGACTTTCCTACCTACAAGCTTTCAGGATGAAGGAGAAGTGGGTGCTGGTAGTTACCGCCCATGACTTCACAAGGCTAGAGAATTAAGTCTCCGCCTTTCACAGGAGTGATTATTTCACACTCTATTGATAACGGACTTAATATCCCCGCATACATGAGACTAGTAGGACTGTGTTTTCAATACAAAAAGGGAGCAGACTTTAGTTCTGGTAGTTTCTGGTGCTGGAGCACAATGGACCAAATTCTCATATTAACCCAAGACACCATCTCTGCTTTTACCATTCAACACACTTGGAGTCTATGTTGTCATTTGTCATAAAATCAACAATAGATTTTAAAGCATTTCTTCTAATTGACGAGCTAGAAAAAAAACGTCCCCATGGGCTTGTCTATTCAGCTCATGCCTGACAAAGCAAAGGATTAGCTGAGTTCAGAGTATCAGTGGGCTCATCAGTCTCTAGTGAACAGAACCAAGTTTGTCTTCCCCAGGAAAATAACAGCTGCTCAATGTATTTGTCCCTATCTAAAAATGGACAATGAGCTAAATCATTAGACAAAGGAATCTTGTCCATTATTTTATTTGCTTTGTGACTAATCATCACTTTTAATCACAGCTTTGGCAGCAGCTTCCCACTTGGCCAATTAGCAGCTCTAGCCTTTGTGATTAAATACAACGCACAGATGCAGTGTTCTCTACACCGGTCCTGCCACTCTGTGCATCTACTTTCAACCTGTTTGTTCCCAAAAGTTTAACAGGTTTTGGGTGCTATGGCTTACGGTTTCAAAATAAAGTATGAGTGCATGGTTTCACACTGGAATTTGGCATGTAATAGAATAGGTTCCCTCTCTCGGCCAGTCCATGAAAAACTGGTTTTCAAAAGGCTTCATTATATTTGTGTTTCCTTTGAATTTTCTTCGCAGCCTCCAAGTTAAAGCTGACTCTAGGGCCAGGCACAGTGGCTCACACTTGTAATTCCATCACTTTGGGAGGCTGAGGCAGGAGATCACTGGAAGCCAAGAGTTTGAGACCAGCCTGGGCCATGAAACAAGGCTCCCTTTACAGGAAAAAAAAAAAAAAAAAAAAAAGGAAAAAAGAGTGTACAGATTGGGTCTCACCATGTTTATATGTATCTCTCTCTCTCTCTCTCTATATATATATATATCTATATATATCTGTTGCCCAGGCTGGAGTGCAGTGGCACGATCTTGGCTCACTGCAACCTCCGCCTCCCAGGTTCAAGCAATTCTCCTGCCTCGGCCTCCAAGTAGCTGGGATTACAGGCTTCCACCACCATGCCTGGCTAATTTTTGTGCTGTTTTTCAAAGTAGAGACCAGGTTTCACCACGTTGGCCAGGCTGGTCTCAAACTGTTGACCTCAGGTGATCCACCCACCTTGGCCTCCCAAAGTGCTAGAATTACAGGCATGAGCTACCACGCCCAGCCACCATGTTATATTTTAATGGTCATTTAGGTTGTTTTCAGTTTTTGGCTAATTCAAATAAAACTGCAGTGGATATCCTTGCAAATGTGTCAGTAATGTCTGCAGGTTAAATTTCTTTGTAGGTCAAAGGCTATGTGCATTTGAATTTTAATGAATATTTCCAAATTGCCCTCCAAGGAGATCATGTCAATGTATGAAAAGTGACTGCTGTCCCTTGTCTTCACCTGCACAGTGCAGCGTCTAACTTTTTATGTTTCCACAGTTTGAATCATTTAATTTTTTCATTTGATTATCTTTTCATCTTGTTCTACAAATAATCATTTTCATGATGCTACAAATATTCCCTTTGTTACTCTTTAACCTTGGTTATGATATTTTTATGTGTACAAAGTTTTAATTCTTAATGTAGTCAAATTTCTCGCTTAAGAATTCAGTAGCTGCAGCTTAGGATTATATGCACAGCATGGACTATTACCGTCCACATCACTAGCATGGATTTCTGTATATTGAATTTTTTAATTCATTGTTGCAGGTTTATTTTTAATAGTATGCTGAAATTTCACTTTCAGAAGCTGACACTTACTAGTGTGAGCCACATGCTGATATTCATAATTGTGAATTAGGATCATGCCTACACCTTTATTTTTTCCTCCTACCGCCTGGGCCGGACATGAGTTTTTAAAAGGGTAATTTAAAAAGTCTAATGATGAAGACTCTTATAACTGAAGACATTAACTATAAATAAGGCTGTCTTCACATATAATAAGGACCACATTAATAACTCACTGGAGTCAGCTTTATTTTTTTGGCTGCTGAAAATTATAGGGCATTCACTACATGGAATATCATATAGCTCTTTAAAGGAATGTGGTAGATCTATCTACTGATCAGGAACTGTCTCCGAGAGTATTATTAAGGGGGACAGGAGAAGTACAGCAATCTGTTTAATATGCTCTAGCTTGTGTTTTTTTTTTTTTTTTTAAAAAGAAGGGAATTTACACACCTATATGATTATGTATGTAGAGAACAGCTCTGACAGGATGTGTAAAAATCCCAAAATAGAGTGTGAATGTAAGGATTAAAGAATTGGGGCCGGATGCGGTGCTCATGCCTGTAACGCTAGCAGTTTTGGAGGCCAGGGTAGTGGATCACTTGAGGTTAGGAGTTCAAGACCAGCCCAGCCAACGTAGTGAAACCCTGTCTCTATGAAAAATACAAAAATTAGCCGGGGGTGGTGACATGCGCCTGTAGTCCCAGCTACTTGAAAGGCTGAGGCACAAGAATCACTTGAACCTGGGAGGTGGAGGCTGCAGTGAGCCGAGATCATGCCACTGCACTCCAGCCCAGGTGACAGAGCAGGACTCTGTCTCAAAAAAAAAAAAAAAAAAAAAAAAGAACTGGGGGTGTGAGGAGTGGAGGTGAAAGGCTCTAGTATTTTATTTGACTGTTTACATTCCCATCTGAATGATCACCCATGTACTTATAATATTTTCTCACTTTTAAACAAAGTAGTAACAAAGCAATATGAGAACAAGTTCTAAAAACAGCTCAATATAATGAGGAACAAGTTCACCACTGAGTGGCTGGGAGGAAAGGGGCAAATAAGGTACCAGGAGAAAGCAGTTTGATTTTGAAAAAGGACTGAACTTCCTATTGATTAACAAGTTTTTGGTTTCAATTTATTGTACTCATAGTTGAAAACATCCTTATCTTTCAAATTATGCAGATGTAGAACCCGTAAGGATGCCTAGTAGCAGTTACAGACAAGGTCCATCAAACACCCAAAGGGTCTCTGAAACGACCGAGGCCATCGTCCTGACAGCGTGCACGCTCCCTGCTGTAACTACCCACCAATGTGAAATCCACAGTGAGCACAGCCAACTGCTCTGGGTGCCTGTGGAGCTTTAGGTACTATCGTTATCTTCTCTGAACATTAAATATGACCAAATCTTACAAATGCCATTTACCAAGGTGATTTTCTTTTCGTTTTGTCTTACCAAGATGATTTCAAATGGGGGGAAAATGCTTTCTTCACTAAATAAATTTAGTGGTAACAAAGTTTATTCTTTATTTGAAATAGTAAAGCGTACACAGTTTAAATCAGATTTCATTAAACCCTCAGAATAAAATTTTTATGTTAAAAAACTAGAGTGAATGTCAAAGTAAATTTAAGTAACTTCCAAAAGACCACATGCCCAAATTAACTGCTAACCATTTACAGAACGATTGTTAGCATGTTTGTAAATATCTTGATTTAAAAAAAACCCCAAAAAACTGTGAGGTTTTTGTTTCACCTATTTGGCTTATCTTCCATTAACAATTTACTCCATTTACACAGAATTATCAGCTTCACATCTGTTTCAGTTCAGTATTTTCTGGCTCTCAGGCACTAACATAATGCTAGCCATTTTATACACTTCAAAGAACATTGCCTTTGAGTAAAGGAAAATGTTAAAAGTTAACATTTGTGAGTAATGCATAAGCTACAATGTGTGTGTGTGCGTGTGGAGGGGGTGGGATTCTTTTTTGCAGACCTACATGAAATAAGAATCTCTATGAAAATATGAGAACCGCCAATTTCACAAATGCAAAACATACTTACAGGTGCATCATCATCAGCCACTAAAAATCATATTTATAAAACATAATGCACAAGATGATGCAAGTTCAAAAGAAAGTTTTTAAAATGCTAGGAAAATATTTGACCATTTACCATCACAAAGATGGGGAAAAAAACTGACTATGCATTAACAGCATTTCATTTCTAAGGGATGGGTAGGGTTCCAATAGGTAATTATTAAATACATTTCAGTATAGCCTACATTTCCAATTATAAATATTATTTTACAATCACAAGAGCTCATTTTTAAAAATAAAGTCTGACTACAACCAGTTATAGATTTCTTTGTTCCTTCTCCACTCCTTCTGCTTCACTTGACTAGAGAAAAAATGAAGTATCCAATGCAAAACGCAATCATTTAAATATCACAATATACGCCAAGAGACTTTCTTTTCTTACCTCAGAATTGTGTGGTAAATAAGGCACTATTTTAATAGCAAAACTCTAAAGACAATTTATATGTATCCATTGATAGGAAAGTGGTTATATTAAGTATCAAACTATGCTATGGAGTATTATATACCATGAAAAATAACAAATATAAAGATGCCGATATGGAATCACTAAGATATTTTGTTGAGGTGAAAAAGCAATATGATCTCTCATTTTAACTGAAAATGAGAGGGGAGGACATGTTTATGTTTAGACTTGTTCTGAGAGGATACTGAGAAAATAATGGTGGGAAGTTAGGGGATTCAGTGAGAAGATGATTTCATGGATACTCTTTAGAAGGTCTGACCTTTTATCTTTTTTTTTTAGACAGAATCTCGAACTGTCACCAGGCTGGAGTGCAGTGGTGTGATCTTGGCTCACTGCAACCTCCACCTCCCAGGTTCAAGCAATTCTCCGCCTCAGTCTCCCAAGTTGCTGGGATTACAGCCGCCTGCCACCACACCTGGCTAATTTTTGCATTTTTAGTAGAGACGGGATTTCACCATCTTGGCCAGACTGGTCTGAACTCCTGACCTCGTGATCCACCCACCTCGGCCTCCCTCCCAAGGTGCTGGGATTACAGGTGTGAGCCACCGTGCCCGGCCTATCATTTTTTTTAAACAGAAAAAGTTAACTTTTCCCCCCCCAGACAGGGCCTCGCTCTGTCACCCAAGCTGGAGTGCAGTGGCGCGGTCTTGGCTCACTCACTGCAACCTCGCCCCCGCCCCACCAAGCCGTCCTCCCACCTCAGCCTCCCGAGTAACTGAAACCACAGGTACATATACCACCATGCCCGTTTTTTTGTTTGTTTGTTTGTTTTGTATTTTTAGTATAGACGGGATCTCGCCATGTTGCCCAGGCTGATCTGGAACTCCTGGGCTCAAGGCATCTGCCTGCCTTAGCCTCCCAGAGTGCCGGGAGGAAAAGTTAACTTTTTAAAAAGGCCACTGACTGCAGAGTAGAAACGCAACCATTCTTAGAGCAAGGAAGATTCGTGATAATCTAGTTTGGTTTTATCCTTATCAAGAATTATGACTTTCTGGCTGGGCGTGTGGCTCACACCTGTAATCCCAACACTTGGGATTACCTGGGGAAGCCAAGGTGGGAGGATCAATTGAGCTCGGTTCAAGACCAGCCTGGGCAACGCCGTGAGACCTGGACTCTGTTAAAAACAAATTAGAAAGAGAATTGTGACTCTCCCATTACGCAATACAACAAAGAAAAGCCCAGAAAAGATGAACAGCTAAGTCACAGACAGTTGGTTCCAGAGTTAACTATTTTTTTTTCAAGGTTACACTTTCTAAAATTTCGTCTTTTGCAGTAAAGGGGTTTCACAGTGGCAAGATGTGATGTGAACCATACTAACTGCCAACAATCTAGCGTCTGCTCACACAGCTCTAAAATAATATGTACAAAACTGAACAATTTTGTTTTGTTTTGTTTTTGAGAGGGAGTCCCACTCTTTCATCCAGGCTGAAGTGAAGTGGTGCGATCTCTGCTCACTGCAACCTCTGCTCCCCTGGGGTTCAAGCCATTCTCCGGCCTCAGCCTCCCAAGTAGCTGAGATTACAGGCGCCCACCACCATGCCTGGCTAATTTCAGTATTTTTAGTAGAGACAGGGTTTCGCCATGTTGGCTAGGCTGGTCTCAAACTCCTGACCTCAGGCAATCCACCCCCCTCAGCCTCCCAAAGTGCTAGGATTACAGGCGTGCATCACCACACCTGGCAAAAAATTAAACAACGTTAAAGCTGCACTGTAAGAAAAATTAGTTCCAAAAGATGTAGGACTGTTGGAACCACCTTCTCAGTGCCTGCAGGATGTGGTCCTCAACTTCCCAAGCAGTTACAGGAATGCACAAGTAAAGCAGGAGACAGAAGCAAGATGTGCCGGCAAGACAACCTGCCCAGACACGAGGGAGAGGCCGTACAGCATCCGGATAAACAAACCACAGGGCAGTGTTGGGGGTTTTGCTAAATTATTTGGACTCCAGGCCTTGATTTCTTCCTCCACAGGACACTAACACCTCTGCCTCACATATCAGAAGTCGAGATCAATGAGCTCATAAACGAAAAGTGCCCTGCAGGAGAACAAATAGTGAGGAGCGCAAGGATCTGCATGTGACAAACAAGGAGAGAAACACAAACATCCTTAAAAGAAAATGCCCACTGCAGGTTTTAGGCCCTCATTGCTCTTCAGGCACAAGTGTGGGTGCTTCTCCCTTGATTTCCCTGGCTTCAGGCTTTGCCTCCCTAGATTCAAACACCCAAACTGCCCCCCACGCATCTCTAAAACCTAAGTCTCATTAATGTGCTTAAAACTCTTTAGCGGCTTTCCAGTCCTCCCTGAATATGCCTTAGTGTGGCCTACAATGCTCCCCAGCTCTGTCCCTAATTACCTTTCCCCCAGCTCTCTCCCTGACTACCTTCCTCCCAGCTCTGTCCCTGACTACCTTCCTCCCAGCCTTCTCTTCCACTTTCCCTACACCCTTTGCCCACCCCCATTCTGGCCACAACCTGTAGCTGAACACCACGTCTCCATGGTTGGACAGCTTTGCCCATGCTGTCCCTCTAACTGGTGACAGTAATGTTAATATGTAAATAGTCCTAAGAATCCTACCCAGTCCAGCACACAAAAACTGATGCTTGCTTGGGGTTCTGGAAATAGGATACACACATGGTACTAGAACAGAAGGGGAACAAACTTCTGGGTACGAGGCTGTGCAGAAGAGTTCTCAGATGACGGCCACTTTACTGTGATGCTCCCCTGCTTCTCACTTCACTCACCTCTCCTCCCTGTCATGATGTGGCTACCTCCTGCTCCACGGTTGTCATGGTGACAAACCAAGGGCTGACTGACTTCAAAATCATTGACTCCTCTTGGTCCAATTGCATAGCCCCCTCTTCTCTCCAAGGGCAAATGGATTAAAAAGCTAAATGATCTAAATCAGTGAATTTGCATTGTTACAAAAAATTACTCCTTATGGTTCTACTGGGCTTTTTTGAGGAAGACACTTAAACGGCTTAATAGATAGTATTTCCGGCAGGATAATGCAGGAACCTAAGCATTTCCAAGCAGCATACGGGAGAAGGTAACAGTTCACAAGAAAAGCCAGCACATGATCAGGAGGGCACATCTAGAAAAATAGCATTTTAAGTCAGGTCTCTATTTACTTGTTTTTTAAGCTGCTCCTAGTTTGCCAATTTCTTTGTTACATTTCCAAAGAGCTATACAATCTTCTCCGAGTGAACTCACATTCACCAAAATGTATGTTGACAATGCTTGCTTTTTAACTCACTGTGTTGTTATTTATGTAGCCAATAACTACTGATACAGAAGGTAAGAGGTAAGAAGGAAAACCACAATTTTTAACTCCTAATAGGCTGAGGCAGAAAACACAGCGTATTTGTTTTGCAGCGCCAGCGTTTACGACTAAGCTAAACCTGAAGCTCCCTTCTACGGTGGCTTCAGGATTATGTCCACAGACGCTTTGCTACTGCTGCCCTTTAGGGGGTGGAGCCCGACTCCCCTCACCCCGAGAGTGGGCTGGACAAATACACCATGACCAAAGTCACCACAGGCTTTGCCCTTCCTCCCTGCTCTGTCTGCTCAGCAGCTTAGCGGGAGGCCAGCTGCCATGAGGACACGGTATCCCTAAGAAGCCCCGCAAGCGGCCGAGAACTGACTCTCCTGCCAACGGCCAGCACTAACTTCCAGGCTTGTGAACAGGCCAGCGCAGAAGTAGATCCAGATGCCTGCCCCACAGAACTGACCAAGGTAACAAAAACGTATTGCTTTAAGCTCTATTACACAGCAATAAGCAACTAGTATCTTTCTTTTATTCAATGGAAATTAAGAAACTGGGAAACTAGCTATCTTTACTGTTCAGATAAACATAATTTAAATGCAGACTGCAATCCTGTTTTGTAATCTACTTATTTCCATTAACAATAAATCATGTTCATAAATACAAGTATGTTAATAAATTAATGACAGACATTAATACGCATCATGACCATTTTAAATGGCTGCACAGTATTTCACTGCATTGTTATATTAACGGTTATTTAACAAATGTCCTGTATTTAGACATGTAGGCTGTTTCAGTATTTTTCAGTATTATAAGTAATGCCATAAATCACCTTTCCCATGCATCTTCTCTTATGCATATTAGTTCACTAGAATAAATTTTTACGTTTCTAAATGTAGAAATTTGTTCTGCTGGATTAGAGGGGACATATCTTGTTAGACTCTTTTTTTTTTTTGAGACAGAGTCTTGCCCTGTCACCCAGGCTGGAGGACAGTGGTATGATCTCAGCTCACTGCAACCTCTGCCTCCTGGGTTCAAGCGATTCTCCCGCCTCTGCCTCCCAAGTAGCTGGGATTACAGGCGGGTGCCACCACACTCAGCTAATTTTTTGTATTTTTAGTAGAGATGGGGTTTCACCACGTTGGCCAGGCTGGTCTGGAACTCCTGACCTCAAGTGATCTGCCAGCCTCCACCTCCAAAAGTGCTAGGATTACAGGTGTGAGCCACCATGCCTGGCCTTGTTAGACTCTTGATAAATCTGTTATAACCAACCCTAGGTAGGTTGTGCCCAGTGTCTGTATGCCCTCAGCAACAGCAGGTATTACAGCCTGTAATTTGACCACCATCGAAGGTGATGGGCTATGGAAAGCATGGCTTCTCCTTCATGCTGACAAATGGTAAAGGGCGGCATTTGGAGGCCTGAGACAGGAGAACAAGGACATGCAGAAAGCAGCTGCTTTAAAGGCAGTAAAAAACAGGGGTCACAGTCAAAGAATAAGATGCCCCACTTCCAAATTCCTAGGTGCCTACATTCTATAATAGAAGAATTAAAGAAAAGTCACAGAGTGAAGCTCCTTACAGCTTTTGCAAGAACTTCTTTTGAGGCTATTCTATGGTCTTATGAGACCATCTATTTTTTCAACCTTTTAAGGACCCTAGCTGGCAATTCACACTGTAACTCAAGAAAATCAGCACACATTCAAGTGGTTAAAGCCAAGTAGGGGATATCATGAGGCAAGCCAGATGCTTAAGGCACAAATTTAAGGAGGCACTCACTCTCAGGGATGTGCCAGTGCAGGGTCCGCCTGTGCATGAACCTGAGAGTAAGTGCCTCCTTAAATACTGTATGGTGCTTTACTCACCTCCCTGTAGGCCCAGATTTAATGTCCAAAGAAAATGAGACAATGAGACAATTAGTCTCAAGTCTCACTCCTTCCATTCCGCTTGGTTTCTATTTTTAAAAATCGGTTGAATTCCTGGCCAGGCATAGTGGCTCACGCCTGTAATCCCAGCACTTTGGGAGGCTGAGGTGGGTGGATCACCTGAGGTCAGGAATTCGAGACCAGCCTGACCAAGATGGTGAAACCCATCTCTACTAAAAATAGAAAAATTAGCTGGGTGTGGTGGCAGGCACCTGTAATCCCAGCTACTCCGGAGGCAGAGGCAGGAGAATTGCTTGAACCTGGCAGGCGGAGGTTGCAGTGAGCCGAGATTGAGCCATTGCACTCCAGCCTGGGCGACAAGAGCAAAACTCTATCTCAAAAAACAAAAAAAGAATTCTTAACCTTATCTATAGCAGGGAACTACAGTCTTTTGCTCCTACATGTAAAGGATACAGCATAACTGTATTCGAAGGAACAAATGCAGTGTTGCTAAATAATACCAGTCCTGACAGTCAATTAACATTTTCAGAGCCAGGCTGGGGTTGGGTAGTGGCAAGCCTGGAGTTCCAGCTCCTCAGGAGGCTGAGGCAGGAGAATCGCTGGAGATCAGGAGTTTGAGGCTGCTGTGCACTATGATCATGCCTGTGAATAGCTACTGCACTCCAGCCTGGGCGACACAGTGAGGCCCTGTCTCTTAAAGGAAAAAAAAAAAAAAAAAAGAACTAATTTGATCTTAGAAAATATTTTGACTTTATTTGATGCCAGATCTGTAAGAAAAAGTTTTTATGTTCCACTACAATGTATATGGAGCATTATACTATCACATCCATTACACCTCTGCTTTTTAAAACAAAATAGCACAAAACATTTTAAGTTAAAATATTCTAGGTAATCCCTTCAATTATATAATAGAGGGCAGTTTTACAAAACTAGGTAATCCCTTCAATTATATAATAGAGGGCAGTTTTACAAAACTAAGCAATCAAGTTCTTACCATCTTAACAGTCTAGACCTATCATAGGGGAGGAATTAAAACTAGAGTAATTGAGGCCAAGCATGGTGGCTCACACCTGTAATCCCAGCACATTGGGAAGCTGAGGTGGGCAGATCACTTGAGGCCAGGAGTTCAAGGCCAGTATGGACAACATGGCGAAACCCCATCTCTACTAAAAATACAAAAAAATTAGCCAGGCCTGGTGGTGGGCGCCTGTAAGCCCAGCTACTTGGGAGGCTGAGACAGGAGAATCACTTGAATTCGGGAGATGGAGGTGGCAGTGAGATCGCACCACTGTACTCCAGGCACTCCAGCCTAGGCGACAGAGGGAGACTCTGTCTCAAAAAAACAAAATAAAACAAAAAAACTATAGTAATTGGTTTTGGTAGGCCCTAGAGTATCCTCATTCCATAAGGCCAGTATCACCCTAATACCAAACCAGACAAAGACATCACAAAAACACCCTAAATTGATGTCCCTCATCAAAAGAGATGCAAAAATCCTGAACAAAATATCAACAAGCTCAATCTAACATCGTATACAAAGAATTATGCATCACAGTCAAGTGGGATTTATTCCAGATACGCAAGACGGGCTCAATATTCTAAAATGACTTAATGTGATCCATCATATCCACAAGCTGCAGAAGGAAAATCACATAACATTAACAGATACAGAAAAAGCATCTGACAAAACCCAACCTTCATTCATGATAAAATTCTGCAAACTAGGAATAGAGGGGAATTTCCCCAATTTGATAAAGAATATCTACCAAAAAACCCACCAAACATCATACTTCATGATGAGAAACTCAAAGCTTTCCCACTAAGATTAAGAACAAGGCAAGTTCTCACCACTCCTTTTCAACTATAATCCTACCTAATGCAGTAAGACAATAAAACACATTGCTTTCTGATGGTCTTAGAAAAGAAAAAAGAAAAAAAAGGCATACAGATCAGGAAGGAAGAAATAAAACTGTCTTTGGTTGCAAATGAAATGATTATCTGTGCAGGAAATTCCAAGTATCAACCAAAAAACCACTCCTGGAACTAAGAAGTGATTATAGCAAGATTTCAGGACATAAGGTTAGTACATGAAAGTCAATTGCTTCTCTACAAATAAGCAATGAACTGGAATTTGAAACTGAAACACAATACCATTCACATTAGCACCCCTTAAAAATAAACGCTTAGGTATAAATCTAACAAAATAGGTATAAGGTATATATAAGGAAAATTATATAACCAATGAAAGAAATAAAAGAACTAAACAAATTAAGAGATATTCCATATTCATGGATAGGAAGGCTCAACACTGTCAAGATTTTAGTTTTTCCCAACTTGATCTACCAATTCAGCACAATCCCAATCAAAATTCCACAGGTTTTTTTTGTGAATATCAACAAACTGACTCTTATGGAGAGGCAAAAGATCCACAATAGCCAACACAATACTAAAGAAGAAGGAAGTCGAAGGACTCACACTACCAGACTTCAATGCTTACTATGGTTGGGCGCGGTGTCTCACTCCCGTAACCCCAGCACTTTGGGAGGCTGAGGCAGGCGGATCACTTCAGGTCAGGAGTTCAAGACCAGCCTGGCCAACATGGTGAAATCCAGTTTCTACTAAAAATACAAAAATTAACCAGGTGTGGTGGCACATGCCCACCCAGCTACTCAGGATGCTGAGGCAGAAGAACCACTTGAACCCAGAAGGCAGAGTTTGCAGTGAGCCGAGGTCACAACACTGCACTCCAGCCTGGGCAACAGGAGGCTCCCTCTCAAATTAAAAAAAAGTTTAGTTTAATATATATACTAAGTAGTACAGTTTACTACAGATCTGTTACAGTAATCAAGATGGTATGGTATTGACAAAAGGGAGAGAGATCAATGGAGGAGAGAATAAAGCCATAACAGAGCTTAGAAACAGATCGTAAAGGCCGGACGCAGGGGCTCATGCCTGTAATCCCAGCACTTTGGGACGCCCAGGCGGGCAGATCACGAGGTCAGGAGTTCGAGACCAGCCTGACCAACATGGTGAAACCCCCGTCTGTACTAGAGTAGCCAGGTGTGGTGGTGCACACCTGTAATCCTAGCTACTCGGTAGGCTGAGGCCGGAGAACTGCTTGACAGAGGTTGCAGTGAGCCGAGATTGCGCCACTGCACTCCAGCCTGGGAGACAGAGCGAGACTTCGTCTCAAAAAAAAAAAAGAAATAGATCCATAAAAATATAGCCAACTGATCTTTGACAAAGGAGCAAAGGCAGGCATTCAATGGAGTTGGGGAATGTCTTTTCAGAAATGGTGCTAACTGGACATCCACAAACAAAAAAACTTCAAAAATTAAAAATCTAGACACAGATTTTATATCCTTCACATAAATTAACTCAAAATGGATCAGAGACCTAAATGTAAAATACAAAATTATAAAACTACTAGAAAATACGAGAAAATCTAGGTTACCTTGGCTTTGGTAATGACTTTTTAGACACAACGCGAGAAGCAAGATCCATGAAAAAAACACTGGTGAGCTGGACTTCATTAAAATTCAATAGTTCTCCAATGTCACAAATGTACCACACAGATACAAGATGTAAATAACAAAGGAAACAGCGTGCAGCGGAGAGGAGGTTTTGAGGACTCTATTATAGTTTCCCATCAATTATTCTGTAAACCGTAAACCACTCTAAAAAAAAAGCTTATTAATTGATAAAAAATAAAGTAAAAAGAAATGAACTGTCAAGCCATGAAAAGAGCCTTAAATGCATAGTACTAAGTGAAAGAAACCAATCTGAAAAGATTACATAGTATATGATTCCAACTATATGACATTCTGGAAAAGGCTAGAGTAGAAACAGTAAAAAGATCAGTGGTTGCCAGGTGTTACAGGGATGGGAGGGATGGATGAATATGCAATGAGGATTTCTTCCTTTTTTCTTTTTTAAAAGAGTATCACTCTCGTCACCTAGGCTGGAGTGCAATGGCGTGATCTCAGCTAACTGCAATCTCTGCCTCTCGGGTTCAAGCAATTCTCCTGCCTCAGCCTCCTGAGTAGCTGCAATTACAGGCACCTGTCACCACGCCTGGCTAATTTTTGTATTTTTAGTAGAGATAGAGTATCACCATGTTGACCAGGCTGGTCTCGAACTCTTGACTCCAGGTGATACACCCTCCTTGGCCTTCCAAAGTGCCGGGCCTCCTCCTTTTTTCTTTTTTTTGGAGACAGAGTCATGCTCTGTCACCCAGGCTGGAATGCGCTGGCACAATCCAGGCTCACTGCAACCTCCACCTCCAGGGCTCAAGTAATTCTCCTGCCTCAGCCTCCCACGCCCAGCTAATTTTTTGTATTTTTAGTAGTGACGGGGTTTCACCACGTTGGCCAGGCTGGTCTCAAACTCCTGACTGCCTACCTCGGCCTCCTAAAGTGCTGGGATTACAGGCATTAGCCACCACACCTGGCCAGCAATGAGGATTTCTAGGGCAATGACACTCTTCTGTATAACGCTGTAAGGGTAGATACATGTCATCATATATTCGTCAAAACCTACACAATGCACAACACACAGTGTGAACCTGAATGTACACTATGGACTTCAATTAATAATAACACATCGACATTGGTTTATCAATTGTAACTGATGATCCACATTAATGCCAGATGCTAGTAATAGAGAAAAGTGAGGTGAGGGAGACTAGGCATATGGGAACCCTACCCTCTGCTTGATTGTAAACCTGAAACTGCTCTAAAAAATAAAGTCTATTTTTTTTTAAAAAAAGCACTGGACAAACATTAAAGTGATCTTAATTCTACTCCCACTATTGTCAGATCTACAAAAACTTAAAAAATTTCAGTTCCTCCGGTCTACAAACTTTTCTATATCCATATTCATCCCTAGCTTCTTTAAGTCTCAAAATATTTCCCATTGCCTGCTCCCACTCAG